>NC_000002.12:43523685-43826715 GCF_000001405.40 Homo sapiens
TTTAATGACAAAAACTACTAAATGTCACAATTTAATTTTTTCAGGCCAATAATGTGAAAATGATTATAATTACTGCAATAAATATCTGTAGATTAAGCTACATTACAAGTAAAGCAATTCGAATATTTGAAGAGTAAGACAACATCAAGCACTAATAAATCTCCCTTCTAGATTTAGAATTATAATCAATGATTTTATCCCCTTATAGTTAAGTTTGTATCTTACGGTTGGACAAATTAAAGTTGGATTCCCAACTTAACATCCTAGAAGTCTGTTCATTTTCATCAGAAGAACGACTTCAAATAATAAGATCACAGAAAGTAAACAAGCAAATATGAATGTCACCAAAAAGTTGAATTTAGAGTTTTATGACATTAACAAACTTAACCACTCCAATCAAATGCTTAGACAAGTAATTATGCACAGGCAAGCAATGATGTTTTTTAAGGAGAACAGGAATATTTCACTGACTTCTAAATAGAAAGCACGACATAAAAAAATCAGATTACAGAAAATTAACTCAACACACTATTTGTGTTATGTGTGTTGCAAGTGTTGCTTTCAAAACATTCCCAGAAAAAGTAACAATGTCTCCATCCCTATTTATTCTTAGATGATTGTTTAATAGTGAAGTCAGTTTATATTTGAAGACATTTTGCATAATCCTATTAAAAACCAATTCAAACAATGTGGGTCATGTTTAACTCTTCAGTTATTTATCCATTAATCTCTTTAAGTGCTTCCTTCCTTAACACAGCTGTAGTTCAAGAGGTGGCCAGCAGTTGGCCTCCATTTCTGTGGATTTTCATGAATGCCCAGATTTCTTTTTGCAAACTTTTTAAATGTTGTATGCCTAAACAACTTTTTCATAACTTAAGGGCTTATAAAACGCTCTCAAAAGGGCTCCAAAAGAAACAAATTTTCTTTTAAAAATAAAAACCAAACAAAAGGAAGCCACACACACTGTAAAGATGTTCTCTGCAAAACATTCTGTTCAGCAGATTTGAAATGTCTCTAAAGGGATCAAGAACTACTTGGTTTGAAAGCAACAGCTGAGAACTCCTAACAGGTTGGTTAAAAGCCAACAGTAACAGCCATGAGAAAATCTTTAAACTAGATTAGGAGGGGCTAAGATACCAGGCATTGGGCATTCCCTAGTCTCCCCGCTCCATTTATTCGGAATGCCTTCAACTGTACCATTCAACCACAGTTATTCAAAAGCCTCTGTCCTTAGACCTCTGTTCTTTTTTCCTTTCATGCTCTCCACCAAAGACTGCAATCTTACTATGATATTTTTGGAGAAAACTCACAGATCTACATCTCTGTTTTTGTTATATCACCCAAACTAATCCCCTATCTCTAACATCTGACTTAAGTATTTCCACCAGGGTATGCCATCATTATCTCATACTCAACACATAAAAAACAAAAAAACTTACTCATCTTTATCAAACCATTCCCTCTTTCAACTTCCTTTGTTTTGTTAACATCAACCCCATTTGTCTGGTGACCAAGACTTAGAATCACAGAAGCAACCATGAACTCCCTAGTAACCTCTACTATTCACATTCAGTTGGTTCATGTGGCAGATGGCGTTTTTCAAAGATGGCTACCACAACATCTCCTATCTGCGTATACTTCTACAATATGATCTTGCCACTTTGCTGTCAAAAGGTAGACTGAATCCAGGCTGGTCCTAAGATGCACTTAAAATCAAAGGAATGTGACTAAAGCAATGCAATGAGACTTCCAAGGCTGGGTCAGAAAAGAGCATACAGCTTCTGGCTGATTCTCTTGGAATACTCTCTCTGGGGGAAGCAAGCTGCCATATAAGAATTTCAACCCCAAGACTACCATGCTGGGGTGAGAGGCTACATGTAGTCCCAACTAGGCCCAGCCTTCTAGCTAGTCCCACCAAGGTGCCATAAATGCGAGTGAAGTTGTCTTAGGTCCCTTGTGACCAGTTCATCTGCCAGCTGAATGCCACCAACTGAACTCAGTAAATACCCTAAGGAAGAATCACCCAGCTGAGCCCTGCCCAAATTGTTGAGATACAAAACCATGAATGTAATAAAATGTGTCCACAGCTTTCCTTCTAAGCATACATCATGTGAGGAGTTGTTACTATCTATGTGGGGACAAAAGTTAACTAAAACCCCATGTTTGTCTCTATTCCCAGAGCCACCACCCAAGAGGAAGCCCTCATCACCTCAGATCTACTTTGTTATAACTGATTGCAGGCTCTCCTTACTATAATCTGTATTACAATCTATCTAACCTAACATTTCCAACCAGAAAACTGCTTTTACATGCCAACCCCACAACCAACATCAATCTCATGTTTTAAATTTGTAGGAAATTCTATAATGCAAAGAGGTCTTCTTAAATATCTATTTTATTTGATTCATACAACAAAAGCCAGAGATCTGTCAATAGGGCAAATACCCTTTTCCTTAAAGATGAAGAGATCAAAGGTTAGGGAGGTTAATTTTTGTACAATCTCATTGCCAATAAATGGAATGAATATACACAGAACTAAGAACCAGAGTCACAGATTACTGGTATTCCTCCATTCTATGATGCCTCCTATGATCTATTTCAGAGCAAAAATGTTTGATGCCTCTCTCCATCCCTGCTACAGTAAATCTATTTCCAAGACACTATAATTTGGCCTCAATCTATCAACTTGCCTGGTTATTTCCTACCAACTCCACCACTACAGGAAGGAGGTTTATTTATTCACCTTGCTGATTCTAGCCTCTGAACATTTACTCACAATGTTTCCTTCTTTCAACTCATGCATTAGCACAAATTCCACCTCTTCCATGAAGCCCTACCAGCCTATCCCCATTGCTTTCTCTCTCTGCTATTCCTATATGTTTTATAAATTTCACCCAAAATTTGGCAGTTTTATCTTGTTCAAGTGTGTCGGTCTTACTTCCAGGCTGGTAATCAGTCCACACACATCCACACACAGAGAGATGCTGGGTGCTGTATACAGCCAGTGTTGGTTCTGACCAGTCAGTGCTCACAACATACCTTTTGTTAAATATTTTGAATTTCATCTCTACTTATTTCTCAAACTAAAACATAAGCTCTTTAATAACAGGAACTTCATCTTATAAAAAAACCATAATATCATCCAAACCAAGCACAGTACTAAGCACACTGCTGGTATTCATACATTCTTGTTAACTGATTTGATAGGAGTGGAGTGTGTTGTGTTTTGAGGGAAAAAAAAGTTCATAAGTCATATCTACACTGGAAACAAAAAGTTGAAAAGATAAAATATTTTCAACATCAGCAGTTTAATGTCAGGGACTTTTTAAAAAGTATCATTTAAAGACATTCTGTGCAGCCCATAACTGCCAAAATGTTTTATAAATGTTTTTACCAGGCATGTGAAAAAAAAAGTTTCAAAAATATTCAAGGAATAGATGTCTTAACAGCCTAAAATAAAATGTTTGCTGAGGCTACAAGGCTGGCAGAACTCTGCTTCATTTCAAAAAGTTTCCAGGCAATGGAAATGTTTTCCTGGAAAATACTACCTTTTATTTAGAGAACACTTGCCATGAACACTTAGTCATTAAGTAATTTAAGGTTTCCCCACAAGCTCTTTGGAGGAAATCTATTATATGAATGAATGAAATTATCTGTAACTATAATGTCAAGAAATACATTTGGTTAAATATATGAAATCTATCTAAGTAGTTTTCCAGGTAAAAGGAAAAAAATATTTTCTACTTTTCAGTCTACTTACTGTTCTTTTAAACTTTTCTATACGATAAAATTATGAAGAAAAAAACCAAAATCCTTAAGTGCTTCTGTAATACAAACCCCAAAAATTGCAAGGCCTGTTTTATTCCAAACACCAAGTAATTTTCAAACAGACAAAACATTTATTTCATTCAATAAAAAAAAAACAGTAATTTCAAAGCTATTTTTAGCAAAATCTTTGAGTTTGCTTCAAATCACCTTTCAATGACAGAATAATAACTCAGTTTGGACGTTTCAATCAGTTATCTGCAGTAAATCATACAATGAAACCTAAGAAAACAATTTCTTCCAAGAGTTTTGTAGTCAACCAGGTCTTATTCTTTTAAACTTCAAAAGACACAACTAAATTCTACTCCAAGCATATGCTTTGTATATTTAGTCTTTTTAAAACGTACACAAAAGGATATTTGTTTTACCTGTTTAGTACTTCAGTGAGTTTCACAAAACCAGTATAAGCCAATTCAAATGCTCCTCTGTGCCTGGACTGCAAAAGGTGTTGTTTAAAGTAATCTCCTATTTCTTTTACCTTTAAAAAAAAAGCAAAAACAAATGTCCGATTTATGTTTACATTCGCAAGTGTATTTATATCAGTAACACTGTTTAGAACCCAGGTCTAGGGGTCCATTCATTTAGCGCTTACCATATGACAGAACATGTTTTAAGCTTTTTTTTTTTTTTTTTTTTTTGAGATGGATTTTTGCTCTGTTGTCCAGGCTGGAGTGCAGTGGCACAGTCTCAGCTCACTGCAACCTCCACCTCCTGGGTTCAAGTGATTCTCCTGCCTCAGCCTCCCAAGTAGCTGGGATTACAGGCACCTGCCACCACGCCTGGCTAATTTTTGTATTTTTAGTAGAGATGGGTTTCACCATGTTGGCCAGGCTGGTCTCTAACTCCTGACCTCAGGTGATCTGCCCACCTTGGTCTCCCAAAGTGCTGGGATTACATGCGTGAGCCACTGTGCCCAGCCATTTTAAGTATTTTTTTTTAACAATAGCTCATCTAATCCTCACAGTAATTCCATGAAATAAGTACGATCATTATCTCTACTTCACAATTGGAAAACTGAGGCCAAGAAAGGCTAAGAAACTTATCCAAGGTCAGACAGCAAGAAAGCAATGGAACCAGAACATGAAGCCAAGCAGTCTGGCTCCAGAGTTGACCATCTTTAACTGCTACACTAGAACTGCCTTCCTATGTCACATTCACAAACCTCAGTATGTTTTCTGTTATAGCTCATGTTATTCAACTCCAACAGAAAATCACACAAAGCGACAACACTCACACACATAGGTCTAGGTGAAATAATTACCTTTTTTCCTTCTTTTAAAATTTTTTTTCTTTTTTATTGTGGTAAAATATACATAATATTTATCATTGTAACCCTTTTTAAATGTACAATTAAGTGGCATAAGTACATTCATACTTTTGTACAACCATCACCATCATGCATTTAGAGAACTTTTCATCTTCCCAAATGGAAACTCCATACCCATTAAAAAATAACCCGTATTACCTTTTAGAGACATAAAATTGTTAATGACAATGCAAGATGTGGTGCAAAGGACCTCCTGAAAAACTACTAGGCTTCACTTCAAGACAGAACCATGGAATTTGCCAGAATGTCACCCAGTGGCTTTCCTACATGCTGTCTTTCTCCACACAAGATTAGACAAATAACAAATATGACTTTTTTTAAAAAAAAAAAAACAGGGTCTGGTCTTGCTTTATCACCCAGGCTGGAGTGCAGTGGCACAATCATAGCTCACTGTAACCTCGAACTCCTAGGCTCAAGGAGTTTGAGGTTACAGTAATACTCCCACCTTAGCCTCCTGAGCAGCTAGGACTGTAAGTGTATGTCACCAAACCCACCTAATTTTTTAATTTTTTGTAGAGACAGGGTCTTGCTATGTTGCCTCGGCTTAAGTACAGTGGCTATTCACAGGTGTGATCACTGTGCACTACAGTCTCCAACTCTTGGGCCCCAAGGAGTCCTTCTGCATCAGCCTCCCGAGTAGCTGTTAACTACAGGCATGAACCACTGTGGCCGGCCAGATTATTTATTTTAAAGAAAACAAAACGGACAATTCATTGTTGACTAAGGTTTTGAATAGAATTAACTTTTAAGCTGATTAGGCTTTTATACCATTAGATTTAGTAACTATTGTCTTTTAAAAATCAAGATTTTGTATAAAACTCAGGACCAAAGCTGTAACCAGCTATCTCTTGATCCAGGTCTCCCCAACAGATCACAGGATGGTAAAAGACAAGTTGTCCCAAGATATCTCAGATATGCTTACCTAGAAACACCTCCTATCTCAGCATAGGGACTAGATTAGTATTCTGCACACATTAGAGATGATAAACAGTAGAATAAGTAGTTAAACATGTCATCATGGGCAAGTATCTCAGTTTCCTCATCCATAAACTAGAGATAATACCAGTATTTAGGACACAGGTTGTTGTATTAAAATAAGTAATAAACTGAAAAGCTCAGAACAGGCCCAGAACCTATAATCCAATTCAGTTCAATATGAGTTCTGACTAGGGTTCTAAATAGAGGAAAACTAAAGACGTAATCCACACTCAAAGTACATCTGATTATAAAGATATAATAAGTGATACACATGGAGAAACAAGAATCAGATAGGAGACTAACAAAGAACCAAAAAAGCAGTATATAATAATTTTTTTAAAAAAAATTCTAACTCTTTAGTATCCCAAAGAGTGACAGGTCATGTTCTTCAGTTAGTTTTCCTGTAAAGATCTGATGATACTCTTGATTTTAGTATCTTTTAAAGACCACATACTACCAGTTGTCAAGAGCCACAGTCAGGTAAGCCTTATTTTGTCTTCAATGTGGTAATTTCAGAGCATTGTTTGAACAGAATTATCAAGGCTTAAATCCGAATTAAACCCCTAAAATAGGGCTGAAGCCCGATAATCCTATAAAATAAGTAACTCATGATAGCCAGCTTAAAAAAATAATACTAATACAAAATAAGGACTAGAAGAACCACCAGTTAGCTTATTTGTAATGACCATCATTTCGATTATTAGAGAAACAAGAGATTTCTAAGAAGGTACTTAAAGACAGAAAATAAAAACAGAAAGTCAATGAGATGAGGTTTCTCTAACTTCCTTAATTTTTTTCCCAAAATGTTGCAGATATTAAAACATACTTCAGGAAAACATAAACTTTGTCATTACTGACAAAGTGCTTCTCTGTGGATTTACAACAGTTCATAATTTACTCCTTAGGCAAACATCAGATTTTCATTGCTTCCTTTATTCAAACTCCCTTCGAAGAGGTCTAAAACAAAAAGCATATAATAAAAATCAAAGACCTCAGAAGTATGACCAGTGGGTGGTCTTCTCAAGGATGGACCTCAACCCTAGGTATTCCTGGGCACAGAAAACAGATTGATGTTCTAAGGACAAAACTGAGATATAGGCAGTTTTTCCTTTCATTTTGCACTTAATAATTTCCGAATAAACCCACATAGCTAATACCTAGGCTTATTATCTTTTTTCCTTTTGAAGATAATGTAAAATTCCTGTTAGATAACAGTCTTTCTTTAGCACCATGTAAAATGCTTCACAGCTTAATGCTGTGGTAGATAGAAAAGATGAAAACAAGATGCCTGTCCTCAGCAGGCTTTTAGTTCACTTTGGCAAAGAAAACCAACATGCTGTCTGGTGTCCATTAGAAGCATAAGTTCCAAAAAATGAAAGATCCTTTTGCACTGGAATAATGAGAAAACACTTCACATCCAGAACTTGAACAGGCTATTACAGTACTTGGGTGGACCAAAATGAAAGAGGGTAATTAACATGAGAAGAGGCTGGGAGACTAGAATGAATAGACCAACACTAAATAAGTGCGTGCCAGCTACCTGCCAGATACTTTGCTAGGTCTTTTCATATCAATGAATGAGCATACACAGACAAGGGTAAGTAAACCTGGCTGAGTGACCTAGAGGTTTCGTGCTAGAAAACAGTAAGGACAAGGCTACAAGGAAGAGAAGAATCCGATTACAAATGACTAGTGGGCTTGGCAGTGTAGTCCATGAGCAGCTGAACAGAGAAGAAACACACCAGGCTGACAGCCTCCCAGTGGATAATCAGACTACATGAAACAGACTTAACTCAAACCACTTACAAAATTAATAACAACAAAATCAGAAACAATTTCAAAATTTGATTTTTAAAATGAAAATCTCTGAATTTTCACTTTAAAATGAAAACCTCTGAAAACTCCAACTCAATTGCCTATTAGATACCACTGAGTTTCTATTTAAGGTTCACAAAATGGATAATGGATGTACAAAATAATTTTTTAGAGGTAACTATTAATTTTTATTGCATTTCTTTCTAGTCTTTTCCTTTTTTTCGACTCATAATTTTTTTAAAAAAACCTCTTAGCAAACTTGGAAGAGACAAAAACTTCCTTAACATCATAAAGAATACCTATAAAAACCCAATAGGCAAACATCACAGACAACAGTGTAGGGTTTTTTTTTTGGTGTGTGTTTTTTTTTAATCCTCTTTAAAATCAGGAACAAGATAAGGGTTCCTACTGTCACAACTTCTACTGAATTCTGTTCTGGAGCCCCTATCCAGCACACTAAAATAAGAAGAAATGAAAAGTGTAAAAAAAATATGAAAGAGGCCAGGCACGGTGGCTCATGCCTGTAATGCCAGCACTTTGGGAGGCTGAGGCTGGTGGATTGCCTGAGCTCAGGAGTTCGAGTCCAGCCTGGACAACACAGTAAAACCCCCGTCTCTACTAAAATACAAAATACTAGCCGGGAGTGGCACCATGCGCCTGTAGTCCCAGCTACTTGGGAGGCTGAGGCAGGAGACCCGTTTGAACCCGGGAGGCAGAGGTTGCAGTGAGCCAAGATTGTGCCACTGCACTCCAGCCTGGTCAACAGAGTGAGACTCCACCTCAAAAAAAAAAAAAAAAAAAAAAGGATGGTTCAACATACACAAATCAATAAACGTGATCCATCACGTAAGCAGAACCAATGACAAAAACCACATGATTATCTCAATAAATGTAGAAAAGGCCTTCGATAAAATTCAATACCCCTTCATGCTAAAAACTCTCAATAAACTAGGTATTGATGGAACATATCTCAAAATAATAAGAGCTATTTATGACAAACCCATAGCCAATATCACACTGAATGGGCAAAAGCTGAAAGCATTCCCTTTGAAAACCGGCACAAGACAAGTATGCCCTCTCTCACCACTCCTATTCAACATAGTATTGGAAGTTTTGGCCAGAGCAATCAGGCAAGAGAAAGAAACAAAACCATAAAAACCCTAGAAGAAAACCTAGGCAATACCATTCACGACATAGGCATGGGCAAAGACTTCTTGACTAAAACACCAAAAGCAACTGCGACAAAAGCCAAAACTGACAAGTAGGATCTAATTAAAGAGCTTCTGCTCAGCAAAAGAAACTATCATCAGAGTGAACAGACAACCTACACAATGGGAGAAAATTTTTGCAATCTATCCATCTGACAAAGGTCTAATATCCAGAATCTGCAAGGAACATAAAAAAATTTACAAGAAAAAAACAAACCACCCCATCAAAAAGTGGGCAAAGGATATAAACAGACACTTCTCAAAAGAAGATATTTATGCAGCTAACAAATATATGAAAAAAGCTCATCATCACTGGTCATTAGAGAAATGCAAATCAAAACCACAATGAGATACCATCTCATGCCAGTTAGAATGGTAATCATTAAAAAGTCTGGAAACAACAGATGCTGGAGAGGATGTGGAGAAATAGAAACACTTTTACACTGTTGGTGGGAGTGTAAATTAGTTCAACAGTTGTGGAAGACAGTGTGGCGATTCCTCAAGGATCTAGAACTAGAAATAACATTTGACCCAGCAATCCCATTACTGGGTATGTACCCAAAGGATTATAAATCATTCTACTATAAAGACACATGCACACATATGTTTACTGCAGCACCATTTACAATAGCAAAGACTTGGAACCAACCCAAATGCCCATCAATGATAGACTGGCTAAAGAAAATGTGGCACATATACACCATGGAATACCATACAGCCACAAAAAAAGAATGAGTTCATGTCCTTTGCAGGGACTTGGATGAAGCTGGAAGCCATCATCCTCAGCAAACTAACACAGGAACAAAAAATCAAACACCACATGTTCTCATTCATAAGTGGGAGTTGAACAATGAGAACACATGGACACAGGGAGGGGAACATCACACATCAGGGCCTGTCGTTGGGTGGAGGGCAAGGGGAGGGAGAGCATTAGGACAAATATCTAATGCATGCGGGGCTTAAAACCTAGATGACAGGTTGATAGGTGCAGCAAACCACCGTGGCACATGTATACCTACGTAACAAACCTCACGTTCAGCACATGTCTCCCAGAACTTAAAGTAAAATAAAAATTTAAAACAAAAAACTCTTGTTTGCAGGTGACATTATGGACATATAATCTACAAATAATCCACAAATGATTAAAATAATAGAGTTTAGTAATATGGATGAATATAAGATAAATATTTAAAAAGCAGTTGTATTTTTATAGCCCAGCAAGATAAAGTTCAAATATGTATTTTTTATAAAGATGGATTTACAATAACATCAAAAATTAAAATGCACCTTGAAATAATAAAGACATGTAAACCCTTTTATGAAGACAGATTTTTTAAAGCATTTTTAAAAATTCTTTTTCATTGACAAATAATTATCCATATTTATGGGGTACACAGTAATGTTTCAATACATATAATAAATAGTGATCAGATCAGAATAATCAGCTTATCCATCATTTCAAACACTTATCATTTCTTTGTGTTAGGAACATTCAACATCCTGCTTCTAGCTATTTGGAATTATTAATATATATATATTATTGCAAACTATAGTCATCCTACTGTGGTAAAGAACACTAGAGCTTATTCTTCCTATGTAGCTGTAATTTGGTATCCTTTCACAACTCTACCTATCTCCACCCTCTCAACTACTCTTCCCAGCCTGTAGTATCCTCTGCTCTAATTTTTACTTCGAGTTCAACTTCCACATGTGTGAGAACATGCAGTGCTTAATTTTCTGTTCCTGGCTTATTTCACTTAACATAATGTCCTCCAGTTCCATCCATGTAGCTGCGAATGACAGTATTTCATTCTTTATTATGGCTGAATAGTATTCCACTCTGTATATATACACCACATTTCTTTACCCATTCATCTGTTGTTGGACACCCAGGTTGATTACGTACCTTGTGTATTTTGAATAGTGCTGCAATAAACATGGGATTGCAACACTATTCAATCAAGGGGTTGCAGCACTCTATCTCTTCAATATACTGATTTCCTTCTCCTTGGATAAATGCCTAGTAGTGGGATTGCTGGATCATACGGTATTTCTATGTGTAGTTTTTAGAGGAATCTCCACACTGTTCTCCACAGTAGCTATACTAGTTTACACTCCCACCAATAGGGTGTAAGAGTTCCCTTTTCTCCACATTCCTGCCATCATTTGTTATTTTTTTGTCTTTTTGGGAACAGCCATCCTAACTGGAATGAAATGATATCTCATTGTGGTTTTGATTTGCATTTCCCTGATTTGTGATGTTGAACATTTTTTCATATATTTGTTCGTCATTTCTGTTTTTGAGAAATGTCTGTTCAGATCATTTGTCCTTTTTTTTTTTTTTTTTTTTTTTTTGCTGTTGAGATGTTTGAGGTCCCTGTACATTTTGGACATTAATCCTGTCAGATGAATAGTTTACAAATTTTTTTCTCCCATTCTGAAGTTTATCTTTTGGCTCTGTTGTTTCCTTTGCTGTGCAGAAGGTTTTTAGTTTGATATAATCCCACTTACTTTTTGTTGTCTATGCTTTTGAGGTCTTATTTATAAAAATGTTTTCCCAGGCCAGGCGGTGGCTCACGCCTGTAATCCTAGCATTTTGGGAGTCCACGTCGGGCAGATCACCTGAGGTCAGGAGTCTGAGACCAGTCTGGCCAACATGGTGAAATCCCATCTCTACTAAAAAAATACAAAAATTAGCCAGGCAGGGTGGCACATGCTTGTAATCGAAGCTACTTGGGAGGCTGAGGCAGGAGAATCGTTTGAAGCCAGGAGGCAGAGGTTCATCTAAACCCGAGACAGCGCCACTGCACTCAAGCCTGGGCGACACAGCGAGACTCAAAAAAAAAAAAAAAAAAAAAAAAAGAAAAAATCTTTTCCCAGATCAATGTCCTGAATAAATACCACTATTCAAGTAGTTTTATAGTAGTCTTTACCATTTATTGTTTTGAAGGTCTTTTATCCATTTTGAGTTAATTTCTGTTTTTTGTTTTTGTTTGTTTTTGAGACTGACACTCGCTCTGTCACCAGGCTGGAGTGCAGTGGTGCGATCTCTGCCTCCTGGGTTCAAGCGATTCTCCTGCCTCAGCCTCTCGAGTGGCTGGGACTACAGGTGCACACCACACGCCCAGCTAATTTTTGTATTTTTAATAGAGACGGGGTTTTACCATGTTGGCTAGGATGGTCTTGGTTTCTTGACCTCTTGATCCGCCCGCCTCAGCCTCCCAAAGTGCTGGGATTACAGGCATGACCCACCGTGCCCAGCCTATTCATTTTGAGTTGATTTTTGTATAGAGTGAGAGGTGGGTCTAGTTTCATCCTTCTGCATATGAAGAAAGCATACTCAGTTTTCCCAGCACCGTTTATTGGACAGTCCTTTACCCAATGAGAGTTCGTGGAGCCTTTATCGAAAATCAGTTGGCGGTAGATACATTAATTTCTGGGTTCTCTATTCTGTTCCACTGGTCTATGTGTCTGTTTGTACACCAGTACCACACTTTTTTGTTGCTACAGGTTTGTAGTATATTTTGAAGTCTGGTAGTATGTTACCTCCAGCAAAATAATTTTTAATAACATACATCTCAGGATTTTTATAAAGGAAATTAAGATCAAAGTGAAAGAAAAATACAGTGATTTCTGTTCTTAAAATTTAAAGAACAGAAATTTAAATTCTAATCACTTGTCTTTTTAAAATTAGCATATCCTGCTCTTAACTTTTCATAAAAAGTATCTCTATAGGGAAATTAACATGTTTTATGGACTCACAGGGTATAAATTTCCACAGGGGAAGAAGCTACATGCCATGTTTCCAGGCAGGTATAATTCACCAACAGACTAATTAGGGGATCTAAATGCTCATCTAAAGCATAAAACCCATTAAAAAAAATATAAATATATTTTAAATCTACCCTTTATCTAGAGAAGGTAAATTCTGAAATGTACTACTAACGCAAAGTAATTAAACACAGTTCTTTTACTTGTGAAATGGAGCTAACACTAGAACCTACTTCACAGGATTATTGTGAGAAATAAATAATAAGATTATGCATTTAAGTGTTTATCAGAGTACCTGGCAAAGAGTAGCAAACAGTAAATGTCCATTTTATTTTTATTTTATACTATAAAGTAGTGAGCCTTAATCCCTAAGCCTTAATTTGAATTCTGACTTTAAGACACAGCCACTTCTAATTTCACTTTGGTTAAACGGGATGTTTTACAAAAGTTTACACTCCAGTAAAACAGTTAATGTTTTAAACTGTACCTTCTCTCCTACAGTGATTTGTTACTAACTTTTGGGATTTCTTCAAAGCTCAAACACTGTTCTCCTACAAAACAACAAAGGTAATAATTTTCTACCACTCAGATATCATCTTACCAGAATGTTTATTCTTTGCTTTCTAGCAAATTCTTAACCATGGGCAATATTAACTGTTGCCCTGTAGTCTGACTTTTTAAAATGAATTTCTGTCTGGTATCCTCTATTGTATTTCTAAGCCCTTTGACGTCACAGAACCACATACTATGTACTTCTTTATTTTCCCACGATATCCTTGTAGTAAGGCAGTCAATAAATAGGATGTGGTTACATGCACAACTTCATTTCAAAGCTTAAAAATGGGAACTTGCATTGAGTGCAATTCAATGAAATTATTTGTAATTTCTAAAAAATAAACTTTGGCAAAAGAAAATACAAAAAGCAATTTAAGACTTGTGAATAAACATATATCCCATTTGTAGTTCATTACAGAAAATCTAAAGTAATAACAAAAGACACTACTGAGGGAATACATCAATGTAGTTAACTCTGGGCATCATAAAAGTTACAACAGAATCTAACATACAATTTTTAGACCGGGCATGGTAGCTCATGCCTGTAATCTTAGCCCTTTGGGAGGCTGAGGTGGGAGGATCGCTTTAGTCCAGGAATTCAAAACCAGCCTGGCAACATGGTGAGATCCCGTCTCTACAAAAATTAGCCAGGAGTGGTAGCACACACCTATAGTCCCAAATATTTGGGAGGCTTAAGCCCAGGAGGTTGAGGCTGAAGTGAGTCAAAATGGAACCACAGCACTCTAGCTTGGGCGCCAGAATGGGACCCAGACTCAAAAAAAAAAAAAAAAACTAAACTAAAAAAGAATGTTTTAAAATAGCAATTTCTAATAGTTGGCAATCTTACTCGTGTGATTTCTGTGGCGATAATTACTGCAGAGGGAAAGCATGAATGAAAAATCTACCTAGTAGTTTCTTTTTAAGAATATTAGGGAAATACATATAAACTTAAGTTCATATAGTACTCCAGGTGGAGGAAGCTGTTTTAAAAAATCAGTAGGCACTGGGTATCAGATAGCCCATGAAAAGAGAACCAACAAAATATAACAAGCAAAAGCTCTACATCAGCAAAACATCAAGTTTGAAAACTCCACACACATCAACTAGTCAGGAAGTTGTGAGATAAGGTTGTGTGTACTGCTTACTCTTGAAGGGTCTCCACTTACATCCCTCAAAGTTGGTTTTATCTCTGCCTCTTGTACAGGAACACTATGAAAGAACCTTTCATTATGTGATTACAGTGAAGGAGGAAAGTCAGACATGCCTCTGAATGAACACATTTTCCTCCTGGAGAAACTGGTGACAGCACACTGCTTCACAGGAAGTGCTCTAGGGAATCAATCATTTAAGAAAAAGTTCAGTAGCAAGTCATCTTACTGTCCTGTTGCTTGCGAAAATTTACCTGGATATGGGAAATACAGAAAATTAAACTTAAAGAAAAATTAAATGAGCAGCTCACAAAGGCAGCACTGTGCCATGTCAGAACACAGGCTGGCAAGGAGAAGAACTGGGTTCCTGTTCCAGAGCTGCCACAAACTAGCTTTGCAATCTTGGGCAAACCAGGTAACATCCAGGGTTCAGCTTCCTCTTGTCCAAGAGAGCTGGATAATATCATCTCTATGATCCTTCCAGCTCTAATGGTTTGTGAATATATCACTGAAAACTCAGAATTATAAACAAGCCCCATTTCTTCTCCCCACACAGCAACAAAAAACCCCAAACTGTAATCTCCCTACCTTTTATACTCCTATATGGGGGATTTAAGTGGCCACCGGTTTAAACAAGGAGCTGTAAAATCAGGATGATTTTAAACGGACTGTCATCTACATTCAAGTCATCAAATTTCAAAATAGAATAGAATTGTATTTTAGACTGTATGGAATGGCTTTCTTCATCCATTGAGAGAAAAGTAGATCACAGTTACTACTCTGAAGAATAAGAAATGCAAGTTCCACATTCTCCCCTCTAACTAGGGTTGCATTCTGCCTGCAAGTCACTTCACTGCCTCCGTGTATTCAGACGGCAGTCACATTCACCTAAGGCTTGACTCTTAAACTCATAGTTTTACCACTAGGCACAGATCTAGCTTTGCCAGGGCAACTATGCTCTTGGAAGGGTGTACCTCAGGTGTGGCCCAGCCATTCCAATGTAAATGATGTTCTTCTCTGTCATTTATATTTTTAACTCTTAAAGGTTTTAAGCACATGTAAGTATATTTAATTATTATTAATTTAAAGGAAGTTCATGGGGCAAAAGGTTATGTTTAAAAGCAGGAATTCTCCAGTAATGTAAATAACACTAATTTCTTGATGACTTTGGATTTTTATTGACTCCTAAACTGAGACATTTCTTTAGCTAAAGTCAGCAATACGAAGAATCAAGTTTTTCATAGGGGACGGGGTTCCAGTGTTAGAACACTGCTATTACATATACAGTTCATCGCTCATTCAGTCATCAGTTTCTTCTCACGCCTATGTATGTGAGGTTACCATGTGAATGGCAACATAGAAAAATGACTGGACCTCATTACAACGGAAACTAATGTTTTACAGAAAAACAGTCAGGATCTTATTTTTTATTTAAGCAGTCACTGGAAGAATTCTTTGGTTTATAAGAACCTGTCTTTTTGTGATAATTGTTTTTTTTTTTAACAAACATCTCTTATTTTACATTAATTCCCAATTTTAACACGGCTGTCGCACACAAATTAAATACATAAGATTTGGGTGCTATGTGAAAAGTGTCAAGGCAAAATAATGTTCATAGGAAGCTTTCACGTCTTAGTTACAGTAAAAGCAAAATACACTTCCCTTAATTTGTTTTTTAAACACTACCCAACAAACCCAAAAAACTAAATGTTTTAACTTGTCCTTGGAAAGAGAAGTTGGGAAATCAAAGGCCTCTAGCACATGTTTACTTCTTAGCAAGATGGTGAACATCAGTGAAGTAATCATTAATCATAGCTGGATTCCTCAGCAAAGATGTTGGCATTGGCACTACAGCCAGTCACCAGCAATGACTGCAAGTAACTCTAGGACACTGACGCCTATTTGATTTGGAAGAGAATAAGGAACATAATGATGCCTGAAATGTCCTGTGCGCCTTTGCCTTTCTTCATCTCAAGGCCTTGCAACATCACAAGCGCAGCTGTTAACCAGATGCATGCAACATAAGCCACAGAGTGTGAGAAAAAAAGTATTAGCATTATTTCCATGGAACTAGTCATGTGGTTATTATAGAAATAATCAGCATTAGCATACTACAATATTTGTTTTGTTCTTGAATTGTAACACCCTAGGGAAAAAGTTGCCTTTATTTTTAAAAAGTTAAAAATGAAAGTACATGTTATATATCTTTGCTGAAAAATGGTGGGAAATGGATTTGTCAAAACCATATGGAAAGGAAGAGGGAATCAATTAAAAACAGAAATCTAATAAATCTAAAATATTTCCAAATGAAATGCTTGTGGTAAGCTAACTTCTTGTAAACACCGCACTCAAGTCACTTGAACAGTCCCAGATGGTGAACTAACTTTGTGGTCTTAAAACAAAAGTCAGCCAAAAAAACCAAGACTACAACTTTATTATCAATGCAGTGGGAAACATGAGATCCATAATCAACCAACATGTTACTTTTTTTCTTTCCAAAATTTAAGAGATTTGTGGAGTTTTACTAAATAAGACAATTTTAAGCTAAAGTTTAAGTCTGTGTATGTGAAATGGAGAAATAAAAATTAGAGATAAAACTACAGTTAAAAGTGAGGTAAAATCTACAGTTATTTATATACCTTAGAAAAAATTTCTAAAAATGCCACAGTTTTGAAATGTATTATAAAGTCTAACATTCTAAATTACCATGAACTTTCTTCAGTTAACATTTGTATGATTTTATTCAAGAAAAATTTTAAACCTTTTTTTAGAGTTGGGTTATAAAAAAAAAAGTGATTTATGCGTTGACCAGAAATTATACATGGTGGAATAAACATGTGCCTTACCTGCTCCACCGTCAATAATCCATCAGAAGATTCTGGCACAGGCTGCATGGGCAGAAGCTGGCACAACATGCCTAAAAGTAAAGCAACTTCCTTCATACTTCTCCAACAACATACCAGCACCATCTGCGCAGTTACATCACATGTTTTTACTTCTTTACCTTAAACAAAAAAAAACACAACGATTGCAACCTTGATTACTCATATCCCAGGTTTCTAAAAACAAGCTTATTCATAATTTCCCCAAGAATAATCTGCTTGAACAAACCCGATTTGTCATGTTATATTTACTCAGAAGGAAAGAAGCTAACATTTGTCGAGCATGTGTTATGAGAAGAAATCATGCTAAGTTTTTTTTTTTTTCTTTTTTGGAGACAGGGTCTCGCTCTGTCACCCAGGCTGGGGTGCAGTAGCATGCTCATGGCTCACTGCAGCCTTGACCTCCCAGGCTCATGCAATCCTTCTACTTCAGCCTCCCTAGTAGCTGGGACTACAGGTATGCGCCACCACACCCAGTTAATTTTTGTATTTTTTTGTAAAGACAGGGTTTCACCACATCACCTCCTGGACTAAAGCAATTCTCTCGCTTGGGCCTCCCAAAGTGCTGGGATTATAGACATGAGCCACCATGCCAGGCCCAGTATTTTAATTTATTATTTTCAAATTAAATTTTAAAATAAAACACAATATTGTTCCAAAACTTGTTTAATCTTTAATTTCCAAAGATTAAACAAACTCTGCCTCTCTGTCATAAAGTATGATATGGATGACTATAATAAATACACTCCTTATTTATTTTGGTGAGCATGACTGTTGCATTAGTAAAGGAGTAGAATATAACTTTTAAAATCAAAGGAAAATACAAATTATCTTTCAAAATATATTTAATTCCCATGGCCAATAAGCTATAATTAGCCTTACTTACTCTCTTATTCTAGTTTTAGGAGTATTTTTGGTACTGATATTTTTTTAAAATCCAAGATGAACTATTATATTAAATAAAAGAGCACGCTGACAAAATGGTACTTATAGGGTAACCTCATTTGTGTTTTTATTTAAAAAGCCCAATGCATTAAATGGGTAAGTGTACATACACATAAACATATAAAATAAGTACAAAATAATATATTGCACTAAAGAAGGAAGACATGGAATTGGAGAGGAAACCTTGGAGGAATTTAATTTGTTTTTAATTCATATGTACCTCTGTTGTTTGAAACTATTACAATAGGCTATAATTACATTTATACATTATTTTGTGTAATTTAAAAATTTAAGTGTGGAGATAATTTTTTGCAAGACAATATCCCCACCTAGTGGAGAATGTAGAATATGTAATACATCACTAAGAAATTGCTGCTTCTGATGACGTTTTACAGCACTGCAGAAAATTCAGTAACAACTAATGATCAAACAAGATGTAAGAACTCGAATTCTGGAAGCTTGACACAACAAAGCAGCTCCCATTTTACTAATAAGGTTTGTTTCCTTTAAAAGCCTGCTTGACTTTAAGAACTCTCACAGCAGACAATGAACCACATTGCTGGGAGAAGTTGATTGCTGCCCAAACCCAGGTTCATTATATAGCACTGCTCTTATATCACCTGGGCTGTCAAGGCAGGTTTTATCACTCCAAGGCTTTCTGTTCTAACAGCTTGTTCGCTGCACAACAGCACCTAATAGGCTGGTGAAAGTCTTCTTTAATTTAATTTAATTTTATTATTATTATACTTTAAGTTTTAGGGTACATGTGCACAATGTGCAGGTTAGTTACATATGTATACATGTGCCATGCTGGTGTGCTGCACCCATTAACTACTCATTTAGCATTAGGTATATCTCCTAAAGCTATCCCTCCCTCCTCCCCCCTCCCCCCACCCCACAACAGTCCCCAGAGTGTGATGTTCCCCTTCCTGTGCCCATGTGTTCTCATTGTTCAATTCCCACCTATGAGTGAGAATATGTGGTGTTTCGTTTTTTGTTCTTGCGATAGTTTACTGAGAATGATGATTTCCAATTTCATCCATGTCCCTACAAAGGACATGAACTCATCATTTTTTATGGCTGCATAGTATTCCATGGTGTATATATGCCACATTTTCTTAATCCAGTCTATCATTGTTGGACATTTGGGTTGCTTCCAAGTCTTTGCTATTGTGAATAGTGCCGCAATAAACATACATGTGCATGTGTCTTTATAGCAGCATGATTTATAGTCCTTTGGGTATATACCCAGTAATGGGATGGCTGGCTCAAATGGTATTTCTAGTTCTAGATCCCTGAGGAATCGCCACACTGACTTCCACAATGGTTGAACTAGTTTACAGTCCCACCAACAGTGTAAAAGTGTTCCTATTTCTCCACATCCTCTCCAGCACCTGTTGTTTCCTGACTTTTTAATGATTGCCATTCTACCTGGTGTGAGATGGTATCTCATTGTGGTTTTGATTTGCATTTCTCTGATGGCCAGTGATGGTGAGCATTTTTTCATGTGTTTTCTGGCTGCATAAATGTCTTCTTTTGAGAAGTTCTGTTCATGTCCTTTGCCCACTTTTTGATGGGGTTGTTTTTTTCTTGTAAATTTGTTTTGAGTTCATTGTAGATTCTGCATATTAGCCCTTTGTCAGATGAGTAGGTTGCGAAAATTTTCTCCCATTTTGTAGGTTGCCTGTTCACTCTGATGGTAGTTTCTTTTGCTGTGCAGAAGCTCTTTAGTTTAATTAGATCCCATTTGTCAATTTTGGCTTTTGTTGCCATTGCTTTTGGTGTTTTAGACATGAAGTCCTTGCCCATGCCTATGTCCTGAATGGTAATGCCTAGGTTTTCTTCTAGGGTTTTTATGGTTTTAGGTCTAAAGTTTAAGTCTTTAATCCGTCTTGAATTAATTTTTGTATAAGGTGTAAGGAAGGGATCCAGTTTCAGCTTTCTACATATGGCTAGCCTGTTTTCCCAGCACCATTTATTAAATAGGGAATCCTCTCCCCCATTGCTTGTTTTTCTCAGGTTTGTCAAAGATCAGGTAGTTGTAGATAAGAGTGGCGTTATTTCTGAGGGCTCTGTTCTGTTCCATTGATCTATATCTCTGTTTTGGTACCAGTACCACGCTGTTTTGGTTACTGTAGCCTTATAGCATAGTTTGAAGTCAGGTAGCATGATGCCTCCAGCTTTGTTCTTTTGGCTTAGGATTGACTTGGCAATGCGGGCTCTTTTTTGGTGCCATATGAACTGTAAAGTAGTTTTTTCCAATTCTGTGAAGAAAGGCATTGGTAGCTTGATGGGGATGGCATTGAATCTATAAATTACCTTGGGCAGTATGGCCACTTTCATGATATTGATTCTTCCTACCCATGAGCATGGAATGTTCTTCCATTTCCTTGTATCCTCTTTTATTTCATTGAGCAGTGGTTTGTAGTTCTCCTTGAAGAGGTCCTTCACGTCCCTTGTAAGTTGGATTCCTAGGTATTTTATTCTCTTTGAAGCAATTGTGAATGGGAGTTCACTCATGATTTGGCTCTCTGTTTGTCTGTTATTGGTGTATAAGAATGCTTGTGATTTTTGTACATTGATTTTGTATCCTGAGACTTTGCTGAAGTTGCTTATCAGCTTAAGGAGATTTTGGGCTGAGAAAATGGGGTTTTCTAGATATACAATCATGTCATCTGCAAACAGGGACAATTTGACTTCCTCTTTTCCTAACTGAATACCCTTTATTTCCTTCTCCTGCCTAATTGCCCTGGCCAGAACTTCCAACACTATGTTGAATAGGAGTGGTGAGAGAGGGCATCCCTGTCTTGTGCCAGTTTTCAAAGGGAATGCTTCCAGTTTTCGCCCATTCAGTATGACATTCGCTGTGGGTTTGTCACAGATAGCTCTTATTATTTTGAGATACGTCCCATCAATATCTAATTTATTGAGTTTTTAGCATGAAGCGTTGTTGAATTTTGTCAAAGGCCTTTTCTGCATCTATTGAGATAATCATGTGGTTTTTGTCTTTCGTTCTGTTTATATCCTGGATTACATTTATTGATTTGCATATATTGAACCAGCCTTGCATCCCAGGGATGAAGCCCACTTGATCATGGTGGATAAGCTTTTTAATGTGCTGCTGGATTCGGTTTGCCAGTATTTTATTGAGGATTTTTGCATCAATGTTCATCAAGGATATTGGTCTATAATTCTCTTTTTTGGTTGTGTCTCTGCCTGGCTTTGGTATCAGGATGATGCTGGCCTCATAAAATGAGTTAGGGAGGATTCCCTCTTTTTCTATTGATTGGAATAGTTTCAGAAGGAATGGTACCAGTTCCTCCTTGTACCTCTGGTAGAATTCGGCTGTGAATCCATCTGGTCCTGGACTCTTTTTGTTGGTAAGCTATTGATTATTGCCACAATTTCAGAGCCTGCTATTGGTCTATTCAGAGATTCAAGTTCTTCCTGGTTTAGTCGTGGGAGGGTGTATGTGTCGAGGAATTTATCCATTTCTTCTAGATTTTCTAGTTTATTTGCGTAGAAGTGTTTGTAGTATTCTCTGATGGTAGTTTGTATTTCTGTGGGATCGGTGGTGATATCCCCTTTATCATTTTTTATTGCGTCTATTTGATTCTTCTCTCTTTTCTTCTTTATTAGTCTTGCTAGTGGTCTATCAATTTTGTTGATCCTTTCAAAAAACCAGCTCCTGGATTCATTAATTTTTTGAAGGGTTTTTTGTGTCTGTATTTCCTTCAGTTCTGCTCTGACTTTAGTTATTTCTTGCCTTCTGCTAGCTTTTGAATGTGTTTGCTCTTGCTTTTCTAGTTCTTTTAATTGTGATGTTAGGGTGTCAATTTTGGATCTTTCCTGCTTTCTCTTGTGGGCATTTAGTGCTACAAATTTCCCTCTACACACTGCTTTGAATGTGTCCGAGAGATTCTGGTATGTTGTGTCTTTGTTCTCGTTGGTTTCAAAGAACATCTTTATTTCTGCCTTCATTTCGTTATGTACCCAGTAGTCATTCAGGAGCAGGTTGTTCAGTTTCCATGTAGTTGAGTGGTTTTGAGTTTCTTAATCCTGAGTTCTAGTTTGATTGCACTGTGGTCTGAGAGACAGTTTGTTATAATGTCTGATCTTTTACATTTGCTGAGGAGAGCTTTACTTCCCACTACGTGGTCAATTTTGGAATAGGTGTGGTGTGGTGCTGAAAAAAATGTATATTCTGTTGATTTGGGGTGGAGAGTTCTGTAGATGTCTATTAGGTCCGCTTGGTGCAGAACTGAGTTCAATTCCTGGATATCCTTGTTAACTTTCTGTCTCGTTGATCTGTCTAATGTTGACGGTGGGGTGTTAAAGTCTCCCATTATTATTGTGTGGGAGTCTAAGTCTCTTTGTAGGTCACTCAGGACTTGCTTTATGAATCTGGGTGCTCCTGCATTGGGTGCATACATATTTAGGATAGTGAGCTCTTCTTGTTGAATTGATCCCTTTACCATTATGTAATGGCCTTCTTTGTCTCTTTTGATCTTTGTTGGTTTAAAGTCTGTTTTATCCGAGACTAGGATTGCAACCCCTGCCTTTTTTTGGTTTCCATTTGCTTGGTAGATCTTCCTCCATCCTTTTATTTTGAGCCTATGTGTGTCTCTGCACATGAGATGGGTTTCCTGAATACAGCACACTGATGGGTCTTGACTCTTTTATCCAATTTGCCAGCCTGTGTCTTTCAATTGGAGCATTTAGTCCATTTACATTTAAAGTTAATATTGTTATGTGTGAATTTGATCCTGTCATTATGATGTTAGCTGGTTATTTTGCTCGTTAGTTGATGCAGTTTCTTCCTAGCCTCAATGGTCTTTACAATTTGGCATGATTTTGCAGTGGCTGGTACCGGTTGTTCCTTTCCATGTTTAGTGCTTCCTTCAGGAGCTCTTTTAGGGCAGGCCTGGTGGTGACAAAATCTCTCAGCATTTGCTTGTCTGTAAAGTATTTTATTTCTCCTTCACTTATGAAGCTTAGTTTGGCTGGATATGAAATTCTGGGTTGAAAATTCTTTTCTTTAAGAATGTTGAATATTGGCCCCCACTCTCTTCTGGCTTATAGAGTTTCTGCCGAGAGATCCGCTGTTAGTCGGGCTTCCCTTTGTGGGTAACCCGACCTTTCTCTCTGGCTGCCCTTAACATTTTTTCCTTCATTTCAACTTTGGTGAATCTGACAATTATCTGTCTTGGAGTTGCTCTTCTCAAGGATTATCTTTGTGGCGTTCTCTGTATTTCCTGAATCTGAATGTTGGCCTGCCTTGCTAGATTGGGGAAGTTCTCCTGGATAATATCCTGCAGTGTTTTCCAACTTGGTTCCATTCTCCCTGTCACTTTCAGGTACACCAATCAGACATAGATTTGGTCTTTTCACATAGTCCCATATTTCTTGGAGGCTTTGTTCATTTCTTTTTATTCTTTTTTCTCTAAACCTCCCTTCTCGCTTCATTTCATTCATTTCATCTTCCATCACTGATACCCTTTCTTCCAGTGGATTGCATCGGCTCCTGAGGCTTCTGCATTCTTCACGTAGTTCTCGAGCCTTGGCTTTCAGCTCCATCAGCTCCTTTAAGCACTTCTCTGTATTGGTTATTCTAGTTATACATTTGTCTAAATTTTTTCAAAGTTTTCAACTTCTTTGCCTTTGGTTTTAATTTCCTCCTGTAGCTTGGAGTAGTTTGATCATCTGAAGCCTTCTTCTCTCAACAAGTCAAAGTCATTCTGCGTCCAGCTTTGTTCCGTTGCTGGTGAGGAGCTGCATTCCTTTGGAGGAGGAAAGGCACCCTGCTTTTTAGAGTTTCCAGTTTTTCTGCTCTGTTTTTTCCCCATCTTTGTGGTTTTATCTACTTTTGGTCTTTGATGATGGTGATGTACAGATGGGTTTTTGGTGTGGATGTCCTTTCTGTTTGTTAGTTTTCCTTCTAACAGACAGGACCCTCAGCTGCAGGTCTGTTGGAGTTTGCTAGAGGTCCACTCCAGACCCTGTTTGCCTGGGTACCAGCAGCGGTGGCTGCAGAACAGCGGATTTTTGTGAACCGCGAATGCTGCTGTCTGATCGTTCCTCTGGAAGTTTTGTCTCAGAGGGGTACCCGGCCATGTGAGGTGTCAGTCTGCCCCTACTGGGGGGTGCCTCCCAGTTAGGCTGCTCAGGGTTCAGGGGTCAGGGACCCACTTGAGGAGGCAGTCTGCCCGTTCTCAGATCTCCAGCTGTGTGCTGGGAGAACCGCTGCTCTCTTCAAAGCTGTCAGACAGGGACATTTAAGTCTGCAGAGGTTACTGCTGTCTTTTTGTTTGTTTGTGCCCTGCCCCCAGAGGTGGAGCCTACAGAGGCAGGCAGGCCTCCTTGAGCTGTGGTGGGCTCCACCCAGTTCGAGCTTCCTGCCTGCTTTGTTTACCTAAGCAAGCCTGGGCAACGGTGGGCGCCCCTCCCCCAGCCTCGATGCTGCCTTGCAGTTTGATCTCAGACTGCTGTGCTAGCAATCAGCGAGACTCCGTGGGCGTAGGACCCTCTGAGCCAGGTGCGGGATATAATCTCCTGGTGCGCTGTTTTTTAAGCCCGTCGGAAAAGTGCAGTATTAGGATGGCAGTGACCCGATTTTCCAGGTACCGTCTGTCACCCCTTTCTTTGACTAGGAAAGGGAACTCCCTGACCCCTTGCGCTTCCCAAGTGAGGCAATGCCTCGCCCTGCTTCGGCTCGCGCATGGTGCGCTGCACCCACTGTCCTGCGCCCACTGTCTGGCACTCCCTAGTGAGATGAACCCGGTACCTCAGATGGAAATGCAGAAATCACCCGTCTTCTGCGTCACTCCCGCTGGGAGCTGTAGACTGGAGCTGTTCCTATTCGGCCATCTTGGCTCCACCCCCCTGGTAAAAGTCTTATAAATCCATTCCTAAACCCAAATCTTTCCCAAAACAAAATTTTTAAAAAACTTTATTTTCTAGAAATGTTCTGCACAGATTTGCAACCTCTAATTTACCATATAAAAAGGGCATTCTGTACATTTTACTGGTTACTTAAACATGAATTACAGTATCCATTTTATACAAGTTACCTTTGATTTCTGTAGAAGTATCAATATTCACCACACTAGCATTCAAGTCCTTCATATCAAAGCTATCATGTTCTTTCAATATTTTGGCTTGGTTAAAATAATCATTAGTATCTCGAGGCTGAATCTCATTCAGAATCATCTGTAAGCGGCTTGCTGACTCTGAGGGAAAGAAATGAGCGTACATGAAACCCAGTAACACATCACATGCCAGATTTCCCTTGGGGATGCTTACTCAAAAAATCTATAATTTTCAATACTTAATAATCAGCTTTATTAGAAGGGACTCACAAGGTGGATAATATGAAAATTATTTATACAGTTTTCATGATGCTTGAGTGCATTTTTAAAATATGGCAATTTAGACTGAAATATAACAACAAAAAAAACTCACTGAAACTGTCCACAGGACAAAGGCCACCATGTCATCTACACTGCTTTTCTTAGTGTTGTCTAAATATCTCAAATATGGTGCTAATCATGTCAAAGAAGTGCAATAAACTTCAATAAATTTAGTTTTAAGAGGCTATTTCTCTATGAAAGAAAAATGAAGCAGGCAACAGAAAAGTAGAAAAAAATCAATATTTGATTTAAAATATAAATAAATATAAAAAATAGAAAATAGATTATTTCCCCATCATAATACAAGGTATCAAAGTTTAAAGATAGAAAGGTAAAAAGACATTTTTAAAAACCCATCAACAGCAAAAACAATCTTTTATAGGACAGGAATATCGTAACGACTCCACAACTTTGAAACACATTATGTAATATACTGCTTTCTAATTATGATTTACAGTCTTCATATTACATTAAGTTTCATTTTTATTCCCTAAGCACTCACTGGATTAGGAAATGTAAGCTCCATGAATGCAACACTTTGTTCATTACTGAGTGACGAGTGCCTATAACAGAAACTGGCTCACAGCAGAGGTTCAGGAACATGAGTTGAAGGAATGAATGGATGTAGGTAGTAAGGAGTTAGCCAGGCTCAGATTTTCAAAACTAGCCATTGGTAATCATCTGAAATCAATTAACAAATCGAAGAACCGGTATTTATTGTACATCTATTATTTTGACTTATATTTAGGTACTATGGGAAATACAAACACGCAAATTACTATCATGATGATTCAATCAACATCTTATGTTCCTTCCTGGAATTTTGTCAAAAATAAATTTCAACAGCCATGAAAAACTAACAATGACCCCAAAAGAAACCACGCAAAGACCAAGAAAAGATCAGAGAATAAATTTTTAAGAATCCTATCCATTCAATTTTACAGCTTTCAGGGGAGACTTTCCTCATGCAATTCAGAATGTATGGCAGATAACACAGGGAAGAAGCAGCAAAAATGAAGACAACCAGAGGTAAAAAGACAGGCAGAATGAAGGAAAAGTCTGTGGGGCAAAGACAGTTTTTGAGACCAACTGATACCTTAAAACTCTTCACTAATAAAGATAATGTTAGCATCCTCTGTAGGATCTACCCACAGTAGGTAACAGAAATATTCAAGATTTCTCATCCAGAATATATGGGTACTTTGCTGACCCAAATATTAGCTATAAGATTGCATGTTCCTTATTCTTATGCACTGCTCAAGTAGAAAATCTAAAGCGACAAAATTTAGTATTTAAGGCCAGCACAGTGGCTAAGGCCTGTAATCCCAATGCTTTAAGAGGCCAAGGCAGAAGGATTGCTTGACAAGAGCAGCCTGCACAACACAGGAAGATCCCATCTCTACCAAAAAAAAATTAATTAAATAAAATAATTTGGTATTTAGACTAACAACAGGCTAAATAAATGTGTCTTACTATCGTGAACCATCACCAATCTTCTAACTCATTTTTAGGAAAGAACAAAACCTAATATTCTCTGTGCAAAACACATAACTCCACATTACCTTAATTATCAGCCCAAGGTATTTCAGCATATGGTTCAGTGAGTGTTTATGATACAGTCAGTTTTTCTAATACAAGCCTCTCTTTGCACTCTAAAATACATTTACAAACTTTATTTCAACACCAAACATAAATATATTTCATGATTTTTCTGTGTATTAAAAGGAACACTCAATTTTAGCACAGGTTAAGCATCCCTTATCTGAAATGCCTGGGACCAAAAACGTTCTCAATTTATTTTTTTGAATATTGGAATATCTGCATTGTACTTAATGGCTGAGGAGCCCTAATCTGAAAATCCAAAATACAGATGCTCCAATAAGCATTTCTTTTGAGCATCCCATTGGTGTTCAAAAAGTTTCAAAATCTGGAGCATTTTGTATTTCCAATTTTCAGATTTGGGATGTTCAACTTATACAGTATTATATAACTCAAGTTACCCTGGGGTAGAAGGTACCGTGCTCATCCTCTGGTTTGGGAATTTTTTTTTTTTTTTTTTTGCTACTTTTTAATAGTTAAAACTATTGCTAAAAGGCAGAAATACCACAAATAATAATAATTATTTTCTCCTCAACTTAGCTTTTATATCTCCCCAAAGAAATACTTGGGGAAAAAAAAAAAGAGGTAAAGACATAATAATCAAACCACAGCACTCTAGCCGGCCTTCTTCATTTGCTAACCTGAATCAGTGTCCATTGGGATGAGGCCTTCAGGGGATGAGCTCTGAATGACTGGAGACACCACAGTGGAAAGCCTGTAGGACATCAAAAGGAGCTTCTCTACCACAGGTCTCCACTCGCTCACCAACTGCAGGCTGCTGCAACAAGGACATTAGGGAAATTTATACTAAAAGCAAAAATCACATTTTAAAAATGAAAATTAGATAAAAGGATTGACTTTGTGTTTCAAAATTGTTCAATACATAAAACATGTGAGACATAAAAATATACACAGATACGTATGTTTTTAAATCTGATTTTCAATTTTATTCAAAGCAATAGACTGCATTCCTTTCCCAGGACACATTCCAACCAGAGGTTAAAGCTCAGAAATGAATGGATTTCTGAGACAGGAGGCAGCTGTGGAAATCCTTACTTTAGAGATAACTTCTGCAAAGCTCCTGTTATACAGTGGACTCGCCCATACATTGGAAATGCTGCTGCTGCCTGAAGCAGAGAATTTTCAGCCTGAGATACTTCTTCCTCAAGATTTTCCATCAAGCATTTGATAACTAGAAAAAGCAAACAGAAAATCAAAGTAATGTCAATCTTAAAACATTTGTAAATGTACGAACAGCAAAATAGTTCCCATTAATATGGCCAACTCAAATGAACTTTACACTAGAGTTTTTTAATCAAAAAGAGATCTTTCAGGGTTATCCAACAGGGTGGCTCATTTCTAGGCAGAACTGAGTGTCTTTCCCTAAACTGCCTGTATCCATTACAGCATTCACTCTTAGTCCTTCCTCCTAAACATCCTCTCACTAGGGTATCAAACCCCAGGCTGATGTGGCATGTGCTAATTGGACAGCAGATGGCTTTCAAATTAAAAAAGAAAAAAAAGAACAGCTTTTCTGAGATGTAATTCATATGCCACAAAATTCATACATTTGAAGTATACAATAGTTTTTATTAGTCACATATGTACAACCATCACCATAATTAATTTTAGAACATTTTCACTGCCCTCCTGCCACCAAACGAAAAAAAAAAAAGAAAACTTACCCGTTAGCAGTCACTGCTCTCCTTGCACCTCTACCCTTCTCCAGCCCTAGAGGATCACATATTGTATGATTCCATTTATGATACGTCCAGAGTAGGCAAATCTATAGACAGAAAATAAACTAGTTGCCTGGACGTCTCATATAAATAGAATCATACAATATGCGATCTTTTGAAACTGGCTTTTCACTTAGCATAATGTTTGCAAAGTTCATCCATGCTGCAGCATGTATCAATACTTCATTCCTTCCTATAGATGAATAATAGCTCACTGTATAGCCATACCACATGGATATACCACATTTTATTTATCCATTCATCTGTTGACAGACGTAGATTGTTCCCACTTTTTGGCTATTACAAATAATGTTGCTATAAACATTCTTGTACAAGTTTTTGTTTAGATGTATGTTTTCATTTCTCTTAGGTATATCCTTGTTATGGACTACATGTTTGTGCTTCCTCCCCCACCCCAATATTGGTATTTTGAAGTCCTAATCCCTAATGTGATAATCGAAGATGGAGACCTTGGAAGGTAATTAGGTTTAGATTAAGTCATGAGGTTAGGACCCTCATAATGGGATTAGTGTCCTTAAAAGAACAAAGGCCAGAGCTTGCTCTCTCTTCCTGCCATGTGAGCACACAGCAACATGGCCATCTGAGAGTCAAAAAGAGGCCCCTTATCAGGAGCTGGAAACTTGATATTGGAATTCTCTGCCTCTAAAATTATGAGAATAAAGGTCTGTGTTTAAGCCACTTAGTCTATGGCATTTTGTTATAGCAGCTCGAGCTAAGACAATGCCTAAGAGTGGAACTGCAGGGTCACATGGTAACTCTATGTTTAGCCTTTTGAGGAACTGCCAGACTATTTTCCAAAGCAGATACAGCATTTTACAATCCCACCAACAGTCTATGCGGGTTCCACTTTCTCTACATCCTCATCAATGCTTGTTATCATCTCTTTTTTAAATTATAGTCATCCTATGGGATGTGAAGTGCTTCCTCACTGTGATTTTGATTTGCATTTCTGTAAAGGCTTTTGATGTTGAGCACTTTTTAATGTGCTCATTGTTCATGTGTATATCTTCTTTGGAAAAATGTCTATTCAGATTCTTTGTCCAATTGTAAAATGTGGTTATGTCCTTTTATTAGTGAGTTGTACAAGTTCTTTATATATACTAGACAAAAGTCCCTTATCAGACATAGGATTTGCAAATACCCCATTTTTCAGGCTTTTTCAATTTCTTAATGGCATCCTTTCACATACAATAGTTTTAAATTTTGATGAAGTCCAATTTATCTTTTGTTTCCCTTTGTGGCTTGTACTTTGGAAGTCATAACTAACCATTGGTTAACCCAAGATCACAATGACTGACATCTATGTTTTCTTCCAAGAATTTTATAGTTTTAGCTCTTATATTTAAGTCTTTTATTTATTTTGAGCTAGCTTTTGTATATGGCATAAGGTAGTGAATCTAATTTCATTCTCTTGCATGTACATGTCCAGTTATACCAGTATAACAGACATCTCCCCTCAACGCCTTGGAAGGAGAAGGTTATATTCTAAATATTAGATTTGGTAAAAACAGTAAATTATTATTCAGAACATATAAAAGAACTCCTAAAAATCAATAAGAAAAAGACAAACAACCCTACAGAAAAACTGGACAAAGGACATCGACAGGCATTGCACTGAAGGGGAAAAGTAAATGGCTTGTAAACATGGGAAAAAATAATTGTATTAGTAATCAGAAAAATGTAAGATGAAACCACAATGAGATATCGTTTTATATTATATAAATTTTTAAAATCTGACAATAGCAAATTATGGTGATGATGTGATGCAATACAAGTCTCGGAATTTGTTGGTGAGAGTGTAATTTAAAAGCCTACTTGGCATCATCTCATAAAGTTCAAGATGCACATACTTTGTGACCAGGTTATTCCATTTGTTTACCATAAACTCTTAGACATGTGCATTAGAAGATATTAATATACAGGCTAAGTACTCCTTATCTGAAATGCTTGGGACCATAAGCGTTTCAGATTTTATATTTTTTCAGATTTTGGAATATCTGCATCATACTTTGAACACCCCAAATGTGAAAATCCAAAATCCAAAATGCTCCAATGTGCATTTCCTTTGAGTGTCATGTTGGTACTCAAAAAGCTTTGGATTTTGGACCATTTCAGGTGTTGGATTACGGATGCTCAACCTATATGTAAAAGATCTACATAAGAATGTTTACACTGGCATTATTTATTTAGGAGAAAAAGTCCATCAACAGGAGAACGGATTCATAAATTGTGGTAAATCTGTACAATATATACAGTAAGTACTACTGAGAAAATTCAGTATCATGTAAAACTGAATAATATATAATAATATATACACCAGAGGCAATATTATTAAAAAAAAGAAGATAAAAATTAATATAAAATACAGCCAGGATAAAGGAAAGGCTTCAAAGATATGAGTGTTATTGTATGACTTAAGGTAAGTGTGATCACCTAGCTTGTGAATAAAACTTGTGAACTTTTTACATATTATTTATATATATTACATGTATATATATATATATGTTTTTTAAGCCGTCTATATTTAAACATTCTTTGTATGTTTGAAATATCTCATAAAGTCCTAAAATGTCTTGAATTGAAAGCCTTTATGTGAAGCATGCATTCCCTATTCACCTCAATTGCAGTCCTCTTCCCACTGTCTCAATAGGGTCTCCTTTGAAATCCAGCTATGAAGCAATTCAAGTAGGCAAGCATCATCCTCCATGGTACTGTCACCTCTCTATCTCCAGATCTCTGGCCATATTCCCACCAGAACTACCCATGGCCTCCTCTTTTTCTCCCATTACTAGTTCTCTTTTTCATGGCTGTTTCTACCATCCTGGAAATAATAATTTTTAACTCTCTTTCTATATCTGATCTCCCTTTTCCTATTAAAAAAAAATCCTTATCTGTCCTTATTTCTAGTACAATTCTAAAATGAAGACTGACTAGCATAAAATTAAGTACATGAATCCCCAATAAATATTTGTTGAAAATCACTAGATCTGAATAATCTCAGACCCTAGGTTTTGGAACTGGCTATTTGGGAAGAGTAAAAGGCAGGGGTATGACAGTTAATTAAAACATAAACCCTGACAGAAAAAGGAACTCCACCTATATAGAAACAATAAAGATGGTCTGTCTCTAGTCACAGTATAATTTATGTAGGGAAAAAAGCACACTTTTGGTGGAGAAAGAGGTCATTCTCATTTCAAAAGAGCTTTATTAATAAATATTTGTATATGTACTTATTCAACATAAATCCACTGTTTAGAAAAAAGTATTATAGCTGACTAAAATGTTCATTTGCATAATGAGAACCCATGGTGCTCTTATATGCTGATAAACTTTTAAATAAAAAACCACAAAATATATGTTTAACCATTAGATATTCTAACCAAATGAATACTGAGACTAAGCTATTCGTTTTGATAAGAGCAAACATCAATACAAACCCATTAATGTGTTCCTTTCCACCACAGCAGCAGGCCTATCTCCATTATCACATGCAACTTGCTGAGTTAAGTAGGCAGACAAGGATGACGGTAGAGCATCCTGCCAGATTAAGAAGTTCAGCAGGTAGGAAGCTGTCACACAGTCGTATGGTTTGGTGCTTGTGCTGAGCTCCAATGCTGCCTGAAATAAGCCTTGCAGTTTCCCCGAATCCTAGAATAAAGCGCAGACTCAGTAACTGTCAAATTAAAGATCTCTTTAATTTAAAAAAATAGTAAATTTTTTAAAACACAGCCTGGAGCTGAGTACAGTGGGCTCGAGCCTAGAGTCCCAGCTACTCAAGAGGCTGATGGAGGAGGATTACTTGAGGCCAGGAGCTCAAGATCAGCCAAGACAACATAGTGAGACCCCATCTCAAAAAAACAACAACAAAAAACACAGGCTTGGTGCAGTGGCTCATATCTGTAACCCCATCACTTTGGAAGGCCAAGATGGGAGGATCACTTGAGGTTAGGAGTCTTGAGACCAGCCTGGGCAACACGGTGAGACAAAAAACTTACTCTACAAAAACTCTACGAAAAACCTTAAAAATTAGCTGGGTGTAATGGTGCACACCTGTAGTCCCAGCCATTCAAGAGGCTGAGAGGTGAGGATCACTCGAGCTCAGGAGTTCATGGCTGCAGTGAGCAGTGATTGCACCACTGTGCTCCAGCCTAGGCAATAGAGTGAGACCCTGTCTCTATTAAAAGAAAAAAAACAAAACAAAACAAAACAACACAGCCTGGCATATAATTGTAAGTCAATATAAACATTAGTTTCCTCTCTCCCTGAATATAGGTGAGTTTTTTATTACAGTAATTAATGATTATTAATCAGCTGGAAATAATTTCAATTGGGAAATTCAACACTGATAAAACCTTTTTTTAAAACTGCTTCTTTCTTCAGCAAAAGTGTACTTTGTCCTGTAGAATTTTGCTATGACTACAGCCAGACTATCTTTACTATTTCTAGACAGGGCAGTTCATAGTCTCTCAGGGCTTATGTTTCACCTGGGCATCATATGGCTGCCCTTCTCCCTTCCTCCTTCCTATACAGGTAGTTCACTGGAGAAAACTGCAAATCCCCTGGGAGGCTGTACCTGGTGAAACTTTGTGTGTGTGGAAAACAAAGTGATCAATTCAGCCTCAGAAATTATGCATCAGAGCTCCCACACCTATATCTCACAGAAACATCCACTCACATCGCCTGTCCTAAAGAAGACAGAACAAAGGACAGTTTGCTGTTGTAGTCATGGAAAGGCACTGGGCTGACAACAGAAGACATAAGTCCTAGTCCCAACTTCAACAACTGGCAAGCTGTGTGTTCATAAGTCTGGAAGTCAGGGTTTGGCTGCTCAATAATATTCTGATTCTACTAGGATTATTCCCTATCTTGTGTTAGGAAAAAATAATTATACACTCAATTTTGAAGTTGATTATAGGTCTACAAATATTTGATGATGTTTTATAATTTCACAACAGTGGATATCAAATGTGCTGATTTAAATATCTGTTTATTTCAATTTAAATTCTTTACCATTTGATAAGTTTATTTTCTATGACCTAAATAAAAAACTTAAAAGTAGTGGCCAAAGTTCAAGTTTAAATAAGTATTAGAAAGAACCAATTAAGCATCTAAACCATTTTTTAACTGACAGTTAAGTCCCAGAACTGTTTTATTAATCATTAGTAAGAAAGATAATAAATAGCCTTTGAAGTCTAAAATGTCTTTGTTCCGTCATCTTAGGTCAATCGAAGTATAATATGACAAAAGACCTAGGATATGCAGCTCCAAAGAAGGAGAGTAACCTAGGTGAGTAGGATAGTCAAGCTATTTATGAGAAAAATATGCCGTCAACAATACGTATGTACACGTCCTTAGAGAGATCAGGTTAGCATTCAAAAACTGCTGTACACTTAACTGTATTAAAAATTAATTATATATTATATAAGGGACACCCAAAGAAAGACTTTGGAAATATAATATTGTGATGGTTAATACTGAGTGTCAGCTTGATTGGATTGAAGGATGCAAAGTATTGTTCCTGTGTGTGTCTGTGAGGGTGTTGCCAAAGGAGATTAATATTTCAATCAGTGGACTGGGAAAGGCAGATCCATCCTCCACCTGGGTAAACACAATCTAATCAGATGCCAGTGCAGCAAGAATAAAAGCAGGAAGAAGAACATGGAAAGATTAGACTGGTTTAGTCTTCTGGCCTACTTCTCCCATGCTGGATGCTTCCTGCGCTGGAACATCAGACTCTTGCAAGTTCTTCAGCTTTAGCTTCCTTGCTCCTCAGCTTGCAGAGGGCTATTGTGGGGCCTCAGCTTGTGATCGTGTGAGTCAATACTCCTTAATAAACTCTCCTTTATATATACATCTATCCTATTAGTTCTGTCCCTCTAGAAAACCCTAATACAAATATATAATTAATATTTTTAAATCTTGAATGCCTATTCCTTTAACTATTTTACTAATCTGCAAGCCAGAGAGTATAATCAAAATCCTATAGCAAACCACATGTGGTACTAAATTTCTTGAATTCTATGGCTAGTGTCAATATACCAAGCACGGGTTTATCAAATTTAGAGATGCAGAGGTCCCCTGAGCCCCTTAGTGATGTAAGGGCCAGGTCTTTCACATTTATGCCATAATATGCCTTCTCCATCCAGGTACTCTCAAAATATTTGCCAAGAATGGGGCATCGCTATTGACACAATATGAGGTGACATGTGATGAATGATAAGGTGAGGAGTGGCAGACAGAGGAAGAGAAAATCTCCTCTTTAAAAACTGTGTATGGTAACAAAAGTTAGCAGCCTGAGCACCAGGGAACTTTCTGCTCACAAGGGCACCTGAAAAATCATAGGCATCGGTAGATGCTGTACAGCAACTTCCAATATGGACCCAAGTCAAAAAAGATTGATGTTCTGAGAGATACAGATAGATAGATGTTCTACATAGCCATCTAGAAGCCACAGAAACAGACACTATCCTCTCTGGCATGTGATCCTACAGAATCCACTGCATCTACAAGCTACCATGCCCTAAACACAGCTGAACAACCACAGCCTAGACCATGGCTCAGCTGCAGCAGAAACCCTCGGCCTTTATAGAGCTCTAATAGAAAGCCATAGCTAAGCTCCAGAACCAGTACTCTGCTGGTGACCCAACAGCCCTAGGAGAAGCCTCAAGGGCAGAGCTAAGAGCCAGGGTCTGGAAGTCCCCTGCAGACTCATCCCCACACAATGTGTTCACTTCCAACCCCACCTTTAATTCCTACCCCAAAGTGGGAAGAGCAATGTGTCAGGAAGAATGGAGGGGCTGGGGATGAGGTAGAGCACTAGGAACTGTTGTTAACCTCAAGTACTCGGTAAGTTTCAGTCTCAGTTTAGCTATTGCTGGTTCAAAAACCAGAAACATCCTCTCTACCTCATTTACACTCAGTTTCTCAAGTGTATGAAAAAGGGAGATTATCTCGAAAAATGCAAGTTACTGTAAGTGATGTGTTCTGATCGAATATTACATGTCCAAGGGAACAGGGGAAACCACAGTTAACTAAAATCTACCAATAATCTTGTAAACAATAAAACCTACCACCTCCTACACCTCCCTTTTTATCAAAGCAATAAAAACAGCAAAGCTCACTGATTTGTGCCTTATTTACTTTTTGATATTTCCTCCTTTCCCACTAACCCCAAAATAGTAGAGAGGTGTTAATGATAACTGAAAGAAACAGTCCAAAAACATGAGCAGGCAGATGCAAAGCACATGAATAATCCTCAGATTGCTTTATCTGCTGATAGAAAGTTTCCATGCATATACCACATTTATACTAGAAAAGTCCTGATACCTGAAAATGTACAGCTGTTTTTGATAACTTCATCAGAAGATCAAATGCTAAAATTTTCACGTCTTCAAAAGTGCTGGTAAAACATTCCATTAGTGTTTGGAAACGACCAACATCAATATCATGACTCAGCTGATATACTGTATAAATTCTGCCTAAAAATATTTTAAAAACAAAAAGATTTAAAAGTGAACAAAAAGAAATCAGTCTTCTGAAGTTATTTGACCAAATTTATAGAAAATAAGTACCAAAAAACCACACTTCATACTTTACCCATGATAGCTAAAACAGTAACTTTTCCATTAATTTATTTCTTAAAATGACAAAATAAGTACTACAGTTCTCCAAATTAAAAAAGATTTTTAAACCATTCCATTATCTTTTGAAAGATACTATATAAAAGATTTCTAAGTTATTGTTAAAAATAAACAAAAACAAGTAAATTTAGAAACACATCTTTTTAAAAATCCTAATAAAACTTCTTGACCTAGAATACAAAGTTCTGGCCAGGCTCAGCGGCTCACACCTGTAATCCCAGCACTTTGGGAGGCTGAGGTGGGTGGATCACCTGAGGTCAAGAGTTTGAGACCAGTCTGGCCAACAAAGTAAAACCCCTTCTCTACTAAAAACACAAAAATTAGCCAGGCATAGTGGCACACGACTGTAATCCCAGCTACTTGGGAGGCTGAGGCAGCAGAATCGCTCGAGGCCAGGAGACGGAGATTGCAGTGAGCTGAGCTCATGTCAGTGCACTCCAGCCTGCGCAACAGAGTGAGACTTGGTCTCAAAAAAAAAAAAAAAAAAAAAAGCAAAGTCCTACCATATCTTAGAGTGAACTGACATAGAATGATCAGTATGATGACATATCCTGATAGACTTACTGGGAGTCAAAGATAAAGAAGGAATCTTTTGGCCCTTCAGGGAAAAGCTCAATTCATCTACAAAATGGAAAAAATTAGACTGGCTTCACTCATCCCTATAACAACATGTAGTGCTAAAAGATAATGGAGCAATGCTTACAAAATCCTCAGGGAATGAAGGTGTGAAGAACTTTGCCTATCAAACTCTTATTCAAGTGTAAGAACAATAGAAACATTTTATAATATGCAAGAAATTAAGAACTACTTATCTCCAGAAACTCTTAGAGAAAAAGGAATTTCAGCCAACCAAGGGATGAAAAGAAAAATTATCCCAAAGAATGATGGTAATCACTGACTCCACTTAACTCTAGGATGAAAACTCAAGAACTGTGGAAAAACAGGTTTCATGGCAAAATGTGAAGAACATTTAAAAACATTTCACAAGTGAACTCCTAATGAAAACTGAAAACATTATTATGCTTAGTTAATTTGAGGAATATAAATTGGGATACAAACTTCTCATTTAATTTTAATTTACAAGTTAGAACAACCCTATGAAATTCCTAGAGCCGACACCTGAGGTTTTTGTTACTTCCTTAACAACTCTGCTCAGATTTGCTTCTTGTTTTCCAATCTCACTGCTTTTTATTTTTTTCTTGTATAATTGCTCTGGCTAGAACTTTCAGTACAATGGTGAACAGCAGTGATGACAGTGGGCATCTGTGTCTTCTTCCTGATCTTAGGACAAAAGCTTTCAGTTTCTCACCAGTGAGTGTGATGTTACCTGTGGTTGTGTTACAAATGTCCTTCATCATCTTGTCCTTCCTATTTCTAGTTTTGCTGTGCTCATTTTTTTAATCATAAAAGGGTACTGAATTCTGTCAAATGCCTTTTCTGCAAAAATTGAGACGATCACATGGTATTTCCATTTTCATTTTAATGTGGTGTATTACATTGACTATTATTCTTAAATTGACCCACCCTTACATTCCTGGGATAAATTCCACTTACTAATGGTATATAACACTTTTAATATGCTGTTGGATTTGGTTTGCTAGTATTCTATTGAGGGTTTTTGCCTCTATATCCATAAAGGATATTGGTCTTTGGTTTTTTCTTTCCTTTTCTTTCTTCTTTTCCTTCTCTTCTCCTCTGTTTTCTTCTCTTTTCTTTGATGAAGTCTTGCTCTTGTCGCCCAGGCTGGAGTACAATGGCGCAATCTCAGCCCATTGAAACCTCAGCCTCCTGGGTTCAGGCAATTCTCCTGCCTCAGCCTCCTGAGTAGCTGGGATTACAGGTACCTGCCACCACGCCCGGCTAATTTTTTGTATTTTTAGTAGCGACGGGGTTTCACCATGTTGGCCAGTCTGGTCTTAAACTCCTGATCTCAGGTGATCCACCTGACTCGGCCTCCCAAAGTGGTGGGATTACAGGCATGAGCCACCACACCCGGCTGGTTTTCTTTTAAGTGTCTTTGGTTTTGGTATCGGGGTAATCATGGCCTTATAAAATGAGGTAGGAGGTGTTCCCTTCTCTCCAATTTTTTGAAAGAGTCTCAGAAGGACTGGTGTAATTCTTCTTTAAATGCTTTGTAGATTTCACCAGAGAAGTCACTTGCCCTGAACCTTCTCTTCCTCTGTGAGCCTTTTGAATACTGATTCAATCTCTTATAGGTCTGCTCACATTTTCTATTTCTTCTCAAGTCACTAATTGTCATGTTTCTAGAAACTTGTCCATTTCATGTAGGTTATCTAACTTGTTGGTGTTACAATTGTTCACTGTACTGTCTTATAATCATTTTTATTTCTGCAAACTTAATAGAAATGTTCCTACTTTCATTTCTGATTTTAGTTGTTTATACTGTCTTTCTTTTATCTTAGTCAGTTTAGCAAACTTTGTCTATTTGTTAATCTTTAAAAAACACAACTTCTGGTTTCGTAGATTATTCGTGTTGTTTTTCTGTTTTCTATTTCATTTATCTCTGTTCTAATCTTTTTGTTTCCTTCCTTTTAAGTTTGTTCTTCTCTTCTAATTGCTTGAGGTGGAAAGTTAACTTGGTTATTAATTCAAGATCTTTTAATGTAGGCATTTACAGCTATAACTTTCCCTATAAGCACAGCTTTTGCTGCAATGCATAAGTTTTCGTACGTTGTATTTTTGCTTTCATTCATCTCAAAATATTTTCTAACTTCCTTCATGATTTATTCTTTTATCCATCAGTTGTTTAAGAGCTTTTTTCAAATGTGAAGCCCTTTATGACACCACTGTATGAAGCCACTAACACTCTCCAGCCTCCTAGGTCTTCTATATATCCCCCTTATCTTCTTGAAATACTTTTCACAGAACTTATCTACATCTTGTACATAAATAATCTACATAATCTTGTATCTACATAATGTACTAATATACACAAATTCTATGTATTACTTGTTCATTACTATCTCCCTTCACTGAAACATAAGCTCCAAAGGAAGAAGCACCTTGTTTGGGACTGTGAATATCCTCGGCTGCTTGACATATAATAAGCACGAAATTAATATTTGCTGAACAAATCCTTTTAATCTAATTGTAGATTTTTTTTTACCATCAATATTGTGGCATTTGATTCCACATAAGAAAGATGCATGCAACTTATTCTTCCTGGTCTAGGAAAGGCAGAAACCATTTGACTAATCTCAAATCAGTCCTACCACTGAAGTTCTTGAGATGATAATGAAGGATGAATTTACATCTCCCATCCTGTACTTCATAGTCAAGGTTCTTAAGCCTCCTTTAAAAGTAATGCCTGCAGTATGGCTTGCTCCATTTGCATTACCTCCCAGTTGTCTAACATAATTACGATGGCATTAAGTCACTGCCCAATTACATGCAACTCATTCATTAGAAAGATGACTCAGGGTTTTCATTTTTAAAGTACATTTAAATGTATTAAATTACTCTCTTGACTGAAAAATTATAGGTACGCTTCAGCCTAGTTTTATTTCCCACACACTTAGATGCAGCTACAACTGCTTTAAATGTGCAGAAAACTTTTTGTTATATGGTTGAAGTAATCAATCACTCTAAGGTAAAAACTTATTTTCTAAATTAAGTTGAAGTACTATTGAAATTCTATGAACTGATGGGAGACTCCCGCATTCACTGGATGCTGTAACAAATTACCACATACTTGGTGCTTAAAACCACAGAAACCTATTCTCTCATAGTTCTGGAAGCCAGAAGTTCAAAATCAAGGTGTCAGTAGGGCCATGCACTCCAGAGGCTCTAAAATCTGTTCCTTGCCTCTTCCAGCTTCTAGCAGCTGCAGGCATTCCATGGCCTGTAGCCATCTCATGCCAATCTCTACCTACGCTGTCGCACTGCCTCCTCTTTCTTTTGTTTGTCAAATCTCTCTCTGCCTCTGTCTTGTAAGGATACTTGTGATGACATTTTTGATCCATCAAGATAATCTAGAATTATCTCACCTCAAGATCCTAAACTTAAGAATATCTGCAAGGACCCTTCTTCCATGTAAGGTTTGCATTCACAGCTTCTAAAGATTTGATGTGGATGTGTTTTAGAGACCATTTTTCAGCCTGCCATCCCCACGTGAATAAGGTGATCATATTTCCTATTATAAAAACTGGAACAAGCCAGTATCATCAATACTCTAATAGGATGCCCTGTGAAGAACACCATTATCACCTATGCAACATTCCTGCAAAAATGTACAGCATGAATCAAATCATCAGGAAACAATGAGACAAACCCTGAGACATATTCTTCCAAAATGTTAATATCATAAAATTAGAAACTTTCCAGATTAAAGGAAGCTAAAAAGAGGCATAATAACAAAACGCAATGCGTGATCTAGGATTGCTTCCCAGATTGTAGGAAGCTTTTTGTTCTATAATATAAAAGGCCATTTGTTGGGACAATTGGCAAAATTTAAATATGGATTGCGTATTCAATTAAAGCATTGTATCAACATTCAATTTCCTGAATTTGATCATTGTGTTATGGTTATAGAATTAATAAAGGACACAGATATAGCAAATATTGCAAAATATTAATAACTGATGAATTGGCCAGGTGCGGTGGCTCACACCTGTAATCCCAGCACTTTGGGAGACTAAGCAAGGCGGACAACCTGAGGTCAGGAGTTCGAGACCAGCCTGACCAACATGGTGAAACCCCGTCTCTACTAAAAATACAAAAATTAACCTGGGCGTGGTGGCACGTGCCTGTAATCCCAGCTACTCAGGAGGCTGAGACAGGAGAACTGCTTGAACCCAGGAGGCAGAGGTCACGGTGATCATGCCACTGTACCCCAGCCTGGGCAACAGAGCGAGACTCCGTCTCAAAAAAAAAAAAAAAAAAGATGAATCTAGGTAGAGCATAAATAGCTATTCATTGAACCAGTCTTGAAACTTTGCTGCTGATTTAAATTTTTTCAGAATAAAAACTTTTAAAAACTGATTTTCCCCAAATGAAGCAAGCCTCTTTTACATTAGCTAACTGTCCTCCTGTCAAAAAATTACACTTTGCCCAATAATTTAAAATAAAAAAGAATCCAATGATAGTGTAAAGCTCCCTCATGCTTTGGCCATTCCCTGTGAAGGAGCAGCTGAGCAGGATATTTTCCTGTTTGACCACAGTCAACGAAGACAGCACAAGCAAGAAATCCCACATTCTAACACATATACACACATATACAGGGAAAAAAGAATCATTTCAGCAGGACACGGTGGCTCACGCCTGTAATCTCACCACTTTGGGAGGCCGAGGCGGGCAGATCACGAGGTCAGGAGATCGAGACCATCCTGACTTAACATGGTGAAACCCCATCTCTACTAAAAATACAAAAAATTAGCCAGGTGTAGCGGCATGCGCCTGAAGTCCCAGCTACTCGGGAGGCTGAGGCAGGAGAATCGCTTGAACCCAGCAGGCGGAGGTTGCAGTGAGCCGAGATCACGCCACCACACTCCAGCCTGGGCAACAGAGCTAGACTCTGTCTCAAAATAAAAAAAAAGGAATCATTTCTTGTCAAAAAGGAAAAAATGAAACAAAAAAAAAAGATTCAAAGAGGGAACTGAAATTTGACCCTCTTGAGAACCACACAGAAGGAAAAACAAAGGGTATTATTAAATCAGAATACTTGGAAATTACATCCTCATATTGTCTTTCCGAAACCAGACTGAGGCACATGAAACAGACGGCATGTAAAGGAAACCACATTTTAACCACAGAGACTCACTGAGAAATATTAAATATAATAGAAGCTATTATTATTTCAAATTTTAAAACTTAAAGAACAGATTGGATACTATCTTAAAACAGCAACAAACAAATTAGTGAGGTAATAGCTGGAACTCTTTCCATAATAAGCATAATCCATGAAAATTATACTTTGGGGTTGGCAAATAATGATCAATGAAAAGGGAGATAGTTTCTTCCTCTTCTGTCCTTTACTAGCAAATTTCATTATGTACAAGCAAGAATTATAAGGTAAGAATGAAACCTCAAAGAAAGGCAACAAAACTGAAACTTCAAATAAAGCAAAATGTAGAATAAGTATGTTTTGAAAGAAAACAAAAATTACTTCCCCTAACATTATTAAACACTTACCTTCTGGGACATGAAAAACTTCAGCTATTGAACCTAAAATGGTTAAAGCTGAAAATCTAGTCGAGTAGGAAGATCCAGGAAACAATGCTTCAAAAAGACTGTTACAAATGGATGACATGAAATTCTTAAAAAAAAAAAAAAAATTACAGTAAGTATAATTACGTCACAATAGGTTATATTCAGAGTATTAAACACCCTTTAAGAGTGGGTGTTTTTGTTTTCAATTTAAAAATAAAACATTTCAAAAAATGATACTGGTTGTTCACTTTGCTTAATAATTCAGGTTAGCACCCTTGACCATAAGCTATATTATGACTTTAATAAACCCTATATTTGCAGAGTCAACAAGAAGTACAATTTCTATTGTAGCCCAGACAGATACGTACACTTTTTTTTTTTTTTTAAGACAGAGTCTCGCTGGGTTCAACAGCCCTAGTCTTAACTGACTCTACCAAAGATCCCTGCATTCATTTCTCAGGTGAAGGACATGCAACCCTGGGGAATTATCCTTTAGGTCCCACAAGCCCTAAGAGTTTATTAGGTTATTAATTCTATTCGGTTTCAAAGAAATAGGGCCATTACTGAAAAATATCCTAGTTAAGCTACTTTTAATTATAAGTAAAACAGGATTCACATTAAAACACAACAAGGGCCAGGCGTGGTGGCTCATGCCTGTAATCCCAGCACTTTGGGAGGCCGAGGTGGGCAGATCACCTGAGGTCAGAAGTTCGAGACCAGCATGTCCAACATGAAACCCTGTCTCTACTAAAAATACAAAAATTAGCCAGGTGTGGTGGCAGAGGCCTGTAGTCCCAGCTACTCGGGAGGCTGAGGCAGGAGAATTGCTTGAACCCAGGAGGCAGAGGTTGCAGTGAGCCAAGATCACGCCACTGCAGTCTGGCCTGGGCGAAAGAGCGAAACTCCCTCTGAAAAAAAACAAGATCATCCACTAAGAAGTATCATTCAAACCGTATTGTCATTTATATGGTTTAATATAGTTCTTGTTTCCTGCAATCAGACTGTAGCCACAATATATGCAGGGACCACATTTCTATGGTTGGATCCCTAGTGCTGAGCACACTATCCTACATACATAGTAATGCTCAGTATATGCTCTAATCACTTTTAATGGTTCCCAGTGAAGCTTCCAAATCCGTTGGCCTATCACTGAAAGCTATCCATTTTCAACTTGATTCTTTGGATTCACTTCCCATTACTCAAGTCCTCCATTCCCCAAGGTATTTTATGTCATTCACATCAGTGAATTCACCATTCCCTGAGTTCTCCCTGTACTTTCTTATCTCCAAGCCTTCATTAAGCTACTACTGGGGGTGGGGGGGAGAAAATACTGAGATTTTGGAGTCAAGAGCAGGTCTGGATTGGAGTTCTGACTCTACCACTTACTAGCTGAGGAACCTTACACAGGTTATTGAACTTCACTGAGCTTCAGCTTTCTCACTTGTTAAGTGGGGATAAGAATGTTATCTCACAGCCTTTTTATTAAAGGTTAAATGAGAACATGGACATCTAATATTTTATAAATTTAAAAGTACTCTAGTTACTAATATCAGTTATTTAGGTATAAAATAATCTCCACTAGCCTAGAAGATGTCTTTTTCAACTAATAGCCTCCTCTTCTCCCCCAGCACTTAGTCTATTGATTGTGAGCCTACCACACCCTGTGCATGGCACCCACTCTTATGATGGTGTGACGATTATAACAATATAGTGCCAAGGTCACAACCTCTAAAAGCCACAGGTGTACCAGTAGGGAAAAAGTACCACAACCATGAGACTGACTCAGATTAAGACTCAAAGGACTAGTTTTCAAAACATGCATACCTATAACACAGACCAAGAAACCATGCATACATGAAAATTCACAATCTCAATCCAAAAAACAGCTTTTGTGTTTCCAAGTACCTGAGTTTTCACAAATGTCATTTTACCCCTTGCAAAAAGAAAGCAAACGAGATATGCATTGTTAAATCTACCAATGATCTAAGAGAAACTACAAAATAACTAGGCTGGGCATAATATCCACAATGATCCATAATAATGTTTAGAATAGGTAGTATGTCATGCCTGTAATCCCAGCACTTTGGGAGGTGGAGTGGGGGGAATCATTTGAGGCCAGGATTTTGAAACCAGCCTGGGTAACACAGCAAGAACCTACATCTACAAAGAATTAATTAATTAAAAAAAATTTTTTTAACTATCCTACACACACACTGGGGGCTTCAATATATATTCTAGTCACTTTTAAAATTTTTATTTATTAATTTTTTTGAAGCAGGGTCTCGCTGCTCTGTTGCTCAGGATGGAGTGCAGTGCTACAATTAAGGCTCACCACAGCCCTCACCTCCCAGACTCCAGCAACCTTCAACCCTAAGCCTCCAGAGTATCTGGGAACACAGGTGCACACCACCACGCCCGTCTCAGGGTTGCCTTTTTCTTTTAATAGAGATGGGGTCTTGCTATGTTGCCCAGGCTAGTCTTGAAGTCCTGGACTCAAGTGATCCTCCTGCCTCAACCTCCCAAAGTGCTGAGATTATAGGCATGAGCCACCACTAGTCGCTTTTAATGACTCCCAGCAAGGCTTTGTAGAGAGATATATAGTTTACATCACTTCTCGGCCTTTTAGCTAAGATCAAGTGGAGAGATATATAGTCTACAAAGAGCTTTTTCATTTAATCCTCAAATCAATCTTTGAGAAAGGTTACTAATTCTGCTTATAGTTGACGAGACTCAAGTCAGCCAACTAATAAGTGGCAGAATCAGGAGTAAACCCATGTCTTTAAAGTTCAGGTTGTGACGTCCCAATCTTCGTCATTGAGATTTTAAAAGGTCGAAGCTAATTTTACCCTTTGTATATAAATACTCTTTGTTTGATGGCTTTTTATCTTTTAAATACAAAATTGAAAACCAAGGGCATCCATAATAATGTTTAGAGTAAGTAGTGAGCATGTCATAGTTCAAACGTATCATTAATCTATTAATCTACCTCTTTCTTAAAATAAATAGGTAAGCTGTCTTCTGTCTGGGCCTGAGGAGCAAAAAAGGGTCTGCTTCTCAAAGGCTAGATTTGGGGGAAGAACAGTGAAAAGCTCAATCTGTTCTGCTGAAAAGAAATTCAAGATTGTCAAGCTAAGCCCTGGCCCAGACTGGAGCTGCTGCACCCAGGTTTCCATCCATTTCATTAACACAATGCCCTAAAATCCAGCCCTACTCTTCAAGCTCACTCCAATGTGACACAGACAGCAAGCTCCCTCCACAGCTGGACCATGGGCCAAGAGTCATTAATATCAAGCCTCTGTAAGTCATCTCAAACTAAAGAGAAAACAGGCCCAGCAACAGCAGTCTTCTGCCCTGGAGAGGGACAGAGTTCAGTACTGTCAATTACCCTTCTGTTAAAAGTACTAAATTCATCTCGCCCACATAAGCTGAAAGTGATTGAGGTTAGCCCACTAACGTCATTCTGTAACAGTCCTCCGGTACAGCACTGGTTCCATAACCCAGGCTACATCAAGTAGAGTACCAAAGCACCAGAAATAGGTAATACTCAGCTTGAAGGAAAAAAACACAGAAACACAATTTACCAAGAGACTTCCATTTATTTCCCTTTAATGCTTATTCATAATACTTTTTAATTTAAAAAAAAACTCTCATGTTTAGAAATATATCACCTACCTTATACTGCTGTAAAGAAACAGAAGGGTGCTGTTTGGTTAACTCATTCTCTGGTTCACGTTTGGATTTACTCTGCTCCAATTTATAAAGTACCTGAGAACTTTCCTGTATCCTACAAAACAACTTTTGAAACAAAGGAAATGAAGCACAGGTGAGCCACACATTAAATTTAAATGTCAGCCTGAGAGGCAAATTATTTAGAATAAAACTTCAGGCAAGAAGAGTACAGATTTTTAAGCTCTTAATATTTTATAATGTTTCTTTTTGACAGAAAATAATTTTTATACCAAAAACAAACTATTACTGCAAAGCAGAATACTGTCATTAAACCACAATTCTGTTTCCTTTAAGTTGGCACAAACCTGAAGATGATTTAGTCATTTCCCTACTTTACCAATTCTTCACCCCATAAATGTGTGTGCAATTAATTCAAGTTAGATTATTTGATAATGATCTTTTGAGGTGCTTAAACTATAAAAATGCTGTTACCAAGTTTTCTTAAAACTACCTTAACTCCAGCATTAGACTTTTTCTTTACAAAAAAGAGCCCAAGGTTGATTTACTACACCAAAATGAAAGGCCTTTTGGCCATGTGTGGTGGCTCATGCCTGTAACCACAACACTTTGGGAGGCTGAGGTGGCAGGACCACTAGAGTCCAGGAGTTTAAGACCAGCCTGGGTAACAGAGCAAGACACTATCTCTAAAAAAAAATTAAATATTAGTCAGGCATGGTGGTGTGCCCCTGTCATCCCAGCTACTTCAGAGGCTGGGGAGGAAGAATCGCTTGAGCCTGGGAGGTTGAGGGTACAGTGAGCTATGATCACACCACTGCACTCCAGCCTGGCTGACAGAGCAAGACTATTTTTTTTTTTTTTTTTTTGGAGACCGAGTCTCACTCTGTTGCCCAGGCTGGAGTGCAGTGGTACAATCTCGGCTCACTGCAACCTCCGCTCCTAGGTTCAAGCAATTCTCCTGCTTCAGCCTCCCAAATAGCTAGGACTACAGGCACACACTGCCACAACCGGCTAATTTTTTTGTATTTTAGTAGAGATGGGGTTTGACTGTGTTGCCCAGGCTGATTCTGAACTCCTGAAAAAAAATGGTGGGGGGAGGGGTGCGTGCTTTTCACTCTGGATTTTAATCCCAAATGTAAGCTTTATGGAATGAGAGAACAGGTCACAGAACGGCCGTCATGAACAGATGTGGTAGCCCAATTCCATGACCATTCCCACACGCTCCCAAAATCTGGGCTCTTTTTAAAAACGATTTCCCAAACAAAGTTCACCACTTCCCTATGCCTTCTGATGGGAAATTCTACCTTTTTAAGAAGAGAACAGATCTGTTGCCGCACTCCTGGAGACTGGCTGTTAAGATTGTATGTAATAAAGAACTGAATCCACTGCATTTCTTCCATGGAAACAATTTCTGTGCTCCGATTACTTTCACAAAGCAAGCCTAATGTATCTATCCTTACCTAAAAAACATCAAGCAATAAAATGTTAATTTTCCAAGAAATAAGCAAAGCCTAAATCACTTGAATTGCTTACTTACATAGGCTACAAAAGGAAAAAAGTAAACTTCAGTTCACCAATAGGTACCTCAGAAAGGTTTCCTAATCTCAAAGATCCTAGGGTTATTTCCTATACAATTCTTTTATTAAACATGTAAATTGGGGATTTATAAAATGCAACAATCTTAAAGATTTTTATTCCGTGGTAATGCTCAGCTTCATTCCTTTTTCTTTTTTTCCAGTGACCCCTTTTACCCCATCACCTCACTCTTAAATTACTGCCAGACACTTCTAACTGGTTTCCTGGTTTCTTTCTGCTCCCACTCTGGAAACTCACGTTTCCACTAATGTAACTCCTTGCTGAAAACAGAGTAGCTTTGGTTTAGCTTAGTAAAACCAGCTGGTGCCTGGGAACCAACTAAGTCTTTAGCCTAGCATTAGGCCTTTCCAAAAAATGTCCAAAACACTCCACCCCTGATAAGCAATGTTCTTAATCATCCTCCAGACCTTGCTCATTTGGGTCCCTCCATTTTGTATGCTGCTCCAAGGCTTCCTCTTTTCTAATCATATCTATCACTTTCCTAATCAAGCACCACCTGCTCTGATCAGTCTCTTCTGAGCCTTCCAAGCGAGTCCTTATGTATTTAAGGGCACATGATGGCATGCTTGTATCTGTATTGTCAGTTCTAAGAGTTTCCAGTTGTTTTATGTAAGTTTTCTTACATCCTCAACTAAACTTTCAGTAGCTTGAAGAAAGGGCCTACTGAAAGTTTAGTTGGGAGACTAGGGTTTCTACTCATTCTCTTTATGAACTCCCTAAAACAGTTCAGGATACAATGTAGGGGCCTCTATATTGAACTGCTACATGAAAGGGATCTACTGCATGTACAAATCCAGGTAATTTTCTTTACTTACTTGGCAATGCTGATGAATTAAGCCTTGCTTTATTCTTGCATCAGACACGAGGTTCTCCCAGGTATCAGTTGCAGACTGAAGATGTCCATGAGCTCTAGCTATTCGCAGACATGCCATCAAAGCTCCCAGAGCCCCCCTGCTATTACAAGACCCTAAGGATGGGAAAGATTGCTCTTGTCCTGAAAGCACAATAACAAAGACCATTACTGTATTATGCAATGACTACTATAATTATCAGCTGCTAATTTTCATGTTTCCAATTAACATTTTATTTCAATAAATAAAAATCACATTTTAAACTCATTTCTAACACAAATTAAAGTTCCTATTCTAAAATAATCATTATTTAATATGATTTGCCCTTTTGTCAATCATTTCAAGTAAGCATAATTCTCTTATCGTTAACATAAACAAATCATTATTTACCTGCTAACATTTTTGCTTTTTCCCTAACACCTAGAAAGGGAATCAGGCAGCAAATCAGGAAATAAAATCAGGTGGAGAAATAAGCACATCAGTGGCTACAGACTATTACTTCTCTAAAAGTAAACACTGAACCTCTCTGCATATTTTAGAGTGGCTGTTTCTCACTAGTAAAGATTAAAAAAGGAACACAAAGAGCCTGCTGGTTTCAGAGGCTAGGACGTCAGCCATTACCAAGAAGACAGGGCAGCTTGATATAAAAATAAAGACAACCTTACTTCAGAACAGATTCTTGAATCCTGAATTTCAGATGGCTTTTCAAAAACTCAAGAACAAGTGTTGTCAAAAATTACAAATAATGGCTTATTTTTGCATACAGGAATCAAATTTTCCTGCTACCTCATGGTTACTCTTTGAAGTACTGAACGTTTTTAACAATTTTAGTTGAAAATATTTCTTAAAATTATGCTGTACGATACTACATTCTTGCTTTGTTAAACAGAATGTAATAATTTTAAGATTTATATGATGTGTCATGATCATCACTTTACACATCCTGAATTATGCTTGAATGCAGTGATTCCTGTAGGGTTTGTGAGTTTCAATGGGATGTTTACCCCTATTCTAAATAACTATAGATGGCTATTTCTTGAGATCATGCCTCTGAATTTTGTCACTTCCCCAGAGAAAAAAACTTGCTACTGCCAAGTTACCTGTCTTTAACCTTGCCTAACACAATTTTTAATTATTGTCTCAATGACTTGAATAAGCACATTATATAAGACACACAAACTTTTATTTCAGTGATACAATAAAATAAATTCAGAACTTGAAAAAATGAATTAAAACCTTGTAATACAGGAAAGTTTATCATTTTAAGTGGAATTATTCTTTAGCTTGTAGAAATGACTTCAGCCAAAAAACTCCATTCAGCTATATATAGGAACATTCGTTTCAAACTGAAACATCTATCATTAATCTCTTCCTTTACTATTTATAGAAGTGATATTTAAATTTGAATATGATTAGTATCTGCATAGCTACCTACATTTAAGCATCATAATTAGAAACTACTAAAACAAAAATGCATTTTTCTTACCAGTTTTAGCATCAATAGAAGTCTGAAGAATCTTTACCATGTACTGTAAGCTTTCAGGGCTGTAACTTAATAATTTTGGCAAGTAATAATCAATCACGTAAGATTTTTGATCCAAGTTTCCTTCACACAATATAAAAAGGAGAGGAGAAACCCAAGTCTCATGCCACTGGTCAATCCAAGAACTCTCAGCAGTCTGGGATTTCAAATGACTCTTATGATTTCTAAACATGGTTTCCAAGAGGTCACTTGCATAAGGTACCAATGACTGGTCTCCCATCACCTCTAAGATTTGAGATGGAATAGTTTTATCTATAGCCAAAATATGTTCAACTCCTATGCACTCTACCAAACAACCAAGGCACGTGTACTTTCCTTTAATATGCCATTCCAATCGTAAAAGACTCTCAGTCAATTCCACAAAGAAAGGATCAGGGACGAAATCTGCACCTTCCACAGTGAGCCGGTGCATTTGGAGAAGGTTTTTGAACATGATTTTGGTTTGGTGTCTCAGAGCATCCAATGGATGTTCCCAATGGGTATAGACATATTCCAAAAGTCTCCCAACTATACTTGAATTCCCATTCAGGCTGTCCGTTAGGCTCGGGGAACTTGATTCAAGGACTTGTATGGCTGAATTAGTCCAGGATGCTAAGATTCTAGACAGAAACATTTCCAGCGTTGGCTCTTTAATCCTGAAGAAAAATGAGCCATGAGCCATTATTGTAAACTGATTAGTAAAAGAAATTTCATTTTATAACAATTTAGACTTTAAAAATATTAAATACACAGAATGACCACAAATTTCAATTATTAAATTTACAAGAACAAAAAACTACAAGTAAAGCCAAAACAGATCTCAAATTTGTATATGATTCTTTTTACCTTGTAAAAAATAATCCAGAAAGCAGTTCAAGATCAGCCTAGGCAATATAGTGAAACCCCATCTCTATAAAAAATTTAAAAATTTAGCTGGGTGTGGTGACACACACCTACAGTCCCAGCTACTTGGGAAGCTGAGGTGGGAGGATTGCTTGAGCTCAGGAGTGAGACTGCAATGAGCTGTGCTCATGCCACTACACTCCAGCCTGGGTGACAAAGCGAGACTTTGTCTCAAAAATAATAATAGTCCAGGAAGGGACATAGGGAAATTTGGGGGATGATGGAAATATTCACTACCTTGACTGTGATGATTACACAAGTTATTTATTTATTTATTTATTTGAGACAGGGTCTTGCTGTCACCCAGGCTGGAGTGCAGTGGTGCGATCTCGGCTCACTGCAACCCCTGCCTCCCAGGTTCAAGCGATTCTCCTGCCTCAGCCGCCTCAGTAGCTGGGATTACAGGCGCATGCCCCCATGCCTAGATAATTTTTTGTATTTTTAGTAGAGACAGGGTTTCACCATGTTGACCAGGCTGGTCTTGAACTCCTGACCTCAAGTGATCCACCTGCCTGAGATCTGCAAGCCTGGGATTACAGGCTTGAGCCACCATGCCCGGCCTACACATGTAATTTAAAAGATAAGGAAAGCCAAGTGTTGGAGATGGTTGGGGGAATGGGGCTTCTCTGTGATAAAAATATTCTAAAGTTGTTTGAATTAACTTTTAAGATGTTAAAACTTCATTTCAGAAATGTTGATAAGGATCACTTTAGATTACCTATGTTAAAGTGCTTCATAAATTCTAAAGCACTACACATGTAGAAACTTTTATAGTTTTAAAAAATGATGCTAAAAACAAATTTCAGGAAAAAAATTTTTAAAGAAAAAATATAGCAAAGAGAATATTAAAAATTAATTTTAGAAATGCTGGTGGTTGTACAACTCTGTGAATAAACTAATAAACTGAATTGTACACTTCAAATTTATGAATTGCATAATATAGCTCAAATATGTAAAAAATTATTTTAGTTTTCCTCCTTTATTCATATGTTCAGTATTATCAAGCTGTATATATGTTTCGACATTTCATATACATGATCACTTTCAGCCATTATGGCAAAAACACCACAAAAATACAAAATACAGCCCCATGAAGTCAGAAGACCTTCTAAGATTGCTGTTTCAGGTTCTTATTAGCAATATGGTCTCAGGTAAGCATTTACTTTTCTAAGCCTCCCTTTGCCCATTCAACAAATTAGATTTCTTATCCTATATAGTAGCCATTTGAGGATCACATTAGATTACCTATGTTGAAGTTCTTTATAAATTCTAAAACACTATACATATAAAAATTTTTATAGTTTTTAAAAACGATAACATTGAAAATGTTAAAAATTAATTTTAGAAATGTTCTTTACAGGCTAACCTGCAGCAATAATTTTATTTATTTATTTTTTTAAGACAGGATCTCACTCTGTCGCCCAGGCTTGAGTGCAGTGGCACAATCATATCTCACTGCATCCTCGGCCTCCTGGGCTCAAGCAATGTTCTCACCTCAGCCTCCCACGTAGCTGAGACTACAGGCGCATGCCACCACACCCAGCTAAGTTTTAAAAGTTTTGTACAGACACAGTCTCACTATGTCACCAAGGCTGGTTTTGAACTCCTGGCCTCAAGTGATCCTCTTGCCTCAGCCTACTGGGAGGGTAGCTGGGATTAGAGGCACAAGCCACTCCAGCTTTTGGACTGCATCTTCTAAATGTCTTACAAGTGAAACAAAATATGAGACGATAGCATCAAAACTCACTGTGAACTCAAGGTGAACAAAACATGTGCAGTATCCAAGAGCAGGGCCTCCCCACTCCGACCCATGCTTCCGTTCTGCCAGTCCAACATGGCAAGTGTCCCCTGACAGAGGAATAAGACAGCTGACTGAGAGATGTCACCACAACAGAGGCTCCTGCAGCTGCTCATAAACCACTCGGGGACACTGGTGCAGTCCACTGAACGAAGCAGCACACTGCTAATCTGGAAAAATATAGCAGAGCTAACACACATAAAGCTTTTAAAACTTTTCAGAGATATTTCAAAATACAAACCCAAACATCTCTTTCCCCTGAAAAATCCTAGGAAAAATGACTAAATCCAAAGATAAAATACCCACAAATGTCATGATTATTGTATTAGTATTAAAGGAAAAAAATTACATCAAGTACGAGAATGATTTTGCTGGTTGGAATGTACTGGCAGAGCACAACACATCGCCACCTGCAGGTGGATAAGCTTAACAACTGCTTTTTTTTTTTGGTATGTATTTTTTTTTTAAACAAATGCTTTTAGAGGTGATTTGAGAAATAAACATCTTCGACTTATCCAAAGATAATTACTTTGTGTGATCTCATAATATATTTTTCTAAGGTCAGGTAAAAAGATAAAATAAGTTTCCATACAATATAGCAAGCAAAAAAAGAAATCTACTAGTAAAAAATACAAGGATTGTGGCCTAAATTATCAAATTATACTTTCTGTAAGAAGCAAATTTACTGAACAATTGACTCTATCTAGCATGCTTCCTGTCTAAAGCACATGATTTGGGTTATTCTCAATAAAGAATACATTTATCAGAAAAGTTATTACTGTGTATATATCTATACATTGATATGCATAATTTTAACATTAAAAATATCTTTTAAGATACTAATGAGAGATGACACTGAACAAACAGCACTAAAAAGAAACTAAAAGAATGTACATCAAAAATGTTTATAGTGATTATCTTTGTGAGATGGACTTACAGGTGACTGTTATTGTCTTTTTGTTATTGTTGCTTTATCTGAATTTTTGGAATTGTCTCTTATTATAACAGAAAAAGGTCATCAGAAGGAACCAGACAATGCAAAAAAAAATTATTTTAATTCACTTCTTTAAAAATATTTTTAATTTTTTTTTTTTTTAAGAGACAAGGTCTCACTCTGTTGCCCAGACTGGTGCAATCTTATCTCACTGCAGCCTTAAACTCCTAGGCTCAAGCGATCCTCCTACCTCAACCTCTCAAAGAGCTGGGACTACAGCTGTGCACCACCATACCCAGCAAATTTTCTTTTTTTTTTTTTGTAGAGACAAGGTCTAGCTAAACTCCCCAGGCTAATCTCAAACTCCTGGCCTCAAGTGACCCTCCTGCCCTGGCCTCCCAAAGTGTTGGGATTATAAGTGTGAGCCACTGCACCAAGCCAAAATTATTTTTTAAACATACCCTAACTCTCAATAAAGTACAATTCTAAAAAGGAGATGCACTTACCAAATGAGGAATCTTTTCAGACGGGTGAAACATAGTCTTAATAAAAAGAATAATAGCTAATCCAGATGTGCTCTGTACAGTCTGTAACAGATCATCTATTTGGCAAAAAAGGAGAGAAGCTTGTGTTAAATAATGAATATTCTGGTAGAGTGGAAAGAGCAGATGCTGAGCAGCCAGATAGGCCTGGGTACAATTTCTAGTCTGACCACTTCCTGGGTGAATAGGTCTTACCTAAGTTATTTAACATCCCACAGACTCTCTTTTCTCTTGGGTAAAATGGGATAACTCTTAACTGAGGCAGTGTCAGGTTTAGATGAATAATGAACATAAACGCTTTTTAGAAGGAGTCTCACTCTGTTGACAGGCTGGAGTGTAGTAGCGTGACCTCAGCTCACTGCAACCTCTACTTCCTGGGTTCAGGCGATTCTCCTGCCTCAGCCTCCCAAGTAGCTGGGACTACAGGCGCGTGCCACCACACCCAGCTAATTTTTGTATCTTTAGTAGAGATGGGGTTTCACCACGTTGGCCATGATGGTCTCGATCTCTTGACCTTGTGATCCGCCTGCCTCGGCCTCCCAAAGTGTTGGGATTACAGGCATGAGCCACTGTGCCCGGCTGAATATAAAGGCTTTTAAGCCCAGCATATAGATACTCAATAAACGTGATTCCTTCCTCTCTCCTCTAACATACACTTTCTTCCTCGCCAACTATTGCTTCCCAAAACACCTAACAGCAACACCACCTGTCCCCTCCCCTCCACCAATGCCTCTGTATCCCAATCACCATATACACAGACTTTTTCAAAAAGAGATTTCAGGGCTTGTATAAAGAATGTAGGTAAGTGCTAATTACAAACTTTGCTAGCACTGACACTGTACCCATAGCAACCAAACAGTTTTGACTTGGTATCTTCTTTTTGTTTTATCTCTATTAGCCTCTAATACCATGGTGAGTTGTTCAACCTGGGGAAAGAAGTAACACTTCTTTATGACATCATAAACTACGTACTAAATATCCACTCTGCCCTTCATCACTGATAAGAAAACTGTGACTTTGATTGGGGAAGCCACATGCCCAGCCAAAAGCAGGATACTTGCTTCTTCAATCTTCTTTGCAACTAAAGGTAGGCATATAAGAGGGTTCAGGCCAGTTGGATTTAAGCCAGTCACTTGAGTATCCTGATCAAAAGTAAAGACGCAACTGGCCTTCCTTCTTCCTGCCTTGAATAAAGACACATCTGGAGCTACAGCAGTCATATGGCAACCACGAGGCAACAAACGTGGGTGAAAACCAACCTGCTGAAGATGGCACAGCAGAAAAGCAGAAAATGTGTGGGTCGTACACTGCCTATACCAGTTCTGGATGACCTGCCTCTGAACTTGTTATGTGGGAAAGGAGGTTTGGTTTTCAGTTACTTGCAGCTAAACACTTTACTGATTATGAAGCTTTAAAATGCTGGAAAAGAATAGTACTGATTAGGTGCCATCAACTTTTCGGAAAAAAAGCTACTTCTTTTTTTTTTTTTTTTTTTGAGACGGAGGCTTGCTCTGTTGCCAGGCTGGAGTGCAGTGGCATGATCTTGGCTCACTGCAACCTCTGTCTCCCGGGTTCAACTGATTCCCCTGCCTCAGCCTCCCGAGTAGCTGGAACTACAGGTGCACGCCACCACGCCCAGCTAATGTTTTTTTTTGTATTTTAGTTTTTTAGTATTTTAGACAGGATTTCATCATGTTGGCCAGAATGGTCTCAATCTCCTGACCTCGTGATCTGCCCGCCTTGGCCTCCCAAAGTGCTGGGATTACAGGCATGAGCCACCACACCCGGCCGAAGTTACCTCATATTAAAATCATGTATTCTCTACATTTCATTAGTTAGAGAATCTTTTTTTTAGACTAACACAGTCCTCTTTTAAAAAGTAAATAACCTCTGAAAAGTTTTCTGTAAGTTATGTCTTAATAAAAGTAACTTTAACTACTTTCCTTTCCTTTTAATACCTGAGAACCCAGGCAAAAAGAGAAATAGAAATACTAATTGGACAAAATATAGCTAAGACTTTCATTACCAGGGTTAAAAACACAAACAATGAGGCCAGGCGCGGTGGCTCACACCTGAGCCACTTTGGGAGGCCAAGGCGGGCAGATCACCTGAGGTCAGGAGTTCCAGACCAGCCTGGCCAACATGGTGAAAGCCCGTCTATATTAAAAATACAAAAAAAAAATTAGCCAGGCGTGGTGGTGCATGCCTGTAATCCCAGCTACTCGGGAGGCTGAGGCAAGAAAATCGCTTGAATCTGGGAGGCAGAGGTTGCAGTGAGCCAAGATCACGCCACTGCACTCCAGTGTGGGCGACAAAGAGAGACTCCATCTCAGACAAAAAAAAAAACCAAAAAACACAAACAATGAGATGCTATTGTCTTCCAATCAGCCTAGCAAAACCAGAGTCAGTTATTGTTTTTCACTAACAAGAGCTCTAAAGAGATCCCATTAGCATGTTTTTAATTAAGTTACATTCAAACATATATTACCATATAGAATGGGAGGTGAAGAGAGAAAGGATAATTCAACTTTTTATATAAATACTTGTGTTAGGTGTCACTTTTTCGTTAATCTTATTATAATAATAAACCACAGATTCCAAAAAAGTGACAGAAAACAAATTTACAGCTTAATAAATTATTAAAAAGTGATCACCCTTGAACCTATCTTCCAAGGCAAGAAATAGAACTCAGTCACCCAGGCTGGGCACAGTGGCTCACACCTGTAATCCCAGCACCTTGGGAGGCCACGGTAAGCAGGTTACTTGAGGCCAGGAGTTCCAGAACAGCCTGGCCAACATGGCAAAACCCTTTCTCTATTAAAAATACAAAAAATTAGTCAGGTGTGGTGGTACCCTCCTATAATCCCAGCTACTCAGAAGCGGAGGCACGAGAATCGCTTGAACCTGGGATGTGAAACCCAACATGCAGAGGTTGCAGTGAATAAACATCACGCCACTACACTCCAGCCTGGGCAGCACAGTGAGATTCGGTCTCAAAAAAAAAAAAAAAGAAAAGAAAAAAAAAAAAAACCATGTAGTCCAGGGCCTCCCTCCATTTTTGAGAGGCTGAGTAAGGACACATTCCACATCTCAGTTAAGTATCACATTTCACACTATTAGTAGGAAAAGCTGATTGACACTCAATTTTAACTGTCAATTATATATCATTTGTATATAATTTGTTACACTTACCATCGCTTAAAACCTTGGTAAAAATACTCAGCAATCCACACATATTTTGCCATATGGGAGAATCGGAAGTCTTCCAAAGATTTCCCTGGAAATCTTGTACTTTCTGTACTAACATCATTGAAACTCTAATGCCTACCAGTAAGTCATTCATCAACTGTGTTTGAATAATATGATTTCCAGCACATTTTCTATAAAGAAGAAAAGACATTATTACAAAAGGAAATTCAAACAAAAGTGTGAACATTTCTAATTATCAGCAAAATAAATACATTCCTCAAAGGCCCAAAATCAATTTTAAATTATGATAATTTATTCCTCTCTCTTCCATTCCTATAAACATTCCAATTATGTAGACATTAATTGCAAACTTTCAACACTGTTAACTTAATCTACATGTCCCTCTTTCTCAGCCAATAACTAACTTCACTTCTTTTAGGGCAAAGATAAGAAATCAAGAATGAATGACAGAACTCAGTCTGGGCGAAGTGGCTCACACTTGTAATCCCAGCACTTTGGTAGGCCGAGACAGGTAGATCATTTGAGGTCTGGAGTTTGGGACCAGCTTGGCCAACATGGCGAAACCATGTCTCTAGTAAAAATACAAAAATTAGCCAGGTGTGGTGGCACATGCCCGTAATCCCAGCTACTCAGGGGGCTGAGGCAGGAGAATCGCTTGAACCCCAGAGGTGGAGGCTGCAGTGAGCCGAGATGGCACTACTGCACTCCAGCCTGGGTGAGAGAGCAAGACACCATCTTAAAAAAAAAAAAAAATGACATAACTTACAAACTTGAACACTCTCTCAACATTGATATATTTTCCCTCCCTGGCTTTTTTTTTTTTTTTTGAGACAGAGTCTCCCCCTCTGTCACCCAGGCTGGAGTGCAGTGGTGCAATCTGGGCTCACTGCAACCTCCACCTCCCGGGTTCAAGCGATTCTCCTGCCTCATCCTCCCAAGTAGCTGGGATTACAAGCAAGCCATCATGCCCAGCTGATTTTTATATTTTTAGTAGAGACAGGGGTTTCACCATGTTGGCCAGGCTGGTCTCAAACTCCTGACCTCAAGTGATCCACCTGCCTCGCCCTCCCAAAGTGCTGAGATTACAGGCGTGAACAACCATGCCCAGCCTCTCCCTGACTTCTAAAATGCCAGGCTCTCGCAGATTTTCCCCTACTTCACCAGCACTCCTTCTCGGATACCTTCACTAATTCATCCTCTTCTCCCTGATCTTTTTATGTTAGGAATGTCCAGGACTCAGTCTTTATTCCTCTTCTTTTCTCCATCTAATTCTCTCCTTTGCTGATCTCTTTTAGCTCATCAGCTTTAAATTATAATCTACATGCTGATAATTCCCAAATTTTTATCTCTAACCCAGACCTCTCTGTCTAATTCCTTTCTGGTATATCTAACTTCCTGATATTTTTACTTGGATGTCTAACAGACATCTCTAAATGAGTGAACTTATCTTCAACTCCAAATCTGCTGTACCTGCTGCATCTTTATCCTACAAAAACATTGTAATCATCCTTGCCACCTCTCCTCTCCATCTCATCTATAAGAAAATCCTGTTGGTTCTACCTTCAAAATACATCTAGAATCAGACCAACTCCACTGCTACATCTTGGCCTGAGCCACTCTCATCTCTCCCTTGGGTTATTGCCATAGCCTCCTAACTGGTCTCTCGCAGCTTCTGTCCTTACCTCTCAGTTCTCAACACAGCAAAACACAGAATAATCCTATTAAGGCAAAAGTTAGGAAAAACAACTTGGTAGTTCCTCAAAAAGTTAAATATAGAATTATCTTATGATTCCACTCCTACGTATATACCCAAAAGAGCTAAAAGCAGAGACTCAAAGATATACTTGTATATCAATGTTTATAGCAGCATTATTCACAATAGCCTAAAGGTAGAAACAGATCAAATTGTCCATCGACAGATTGATTAACATGTGGTCTAAACATACAATGGGATATTATTCGGCCACAAAAAGGAATGAAATTCTGATATATGCTACAAACGTGGAAGACCCTCGAAAACACGCCTGTAATCCCAGCACTTTGGGGGACTGGGGCAGGGGGACTGCTTGCGCTTAAGAGTTTGAAACCAGCCAGGGCAACACGGTAAAACCATATTTCTACCAAAAATATAAAAAACAGGGCATAGTGGCGGACGTCTGTGGGCCCAGCTACTCCAGAGGCTGAGGTGGAAGGATCACTTGGGCTTGGGAGGCAGAGATTGCAGTGAGCCAAAATCCTGCACTCCAGCTTGGGTGACAGAGCCAGAGCTTGTCTCAATTAAAAAAAAAAAAAAAAAAAAAAGGAAAAATAAATGAAATAAGCCTGACACAAAAGGACAAATCCTACATGATTCATAAGAATCACCTAGAATAGGCAAATTCAAAAAGACAGGAAGTAGAATAGAGGTTACCTGGGGCTACAGGAAAAGACTTTTTTAAAAAAATAAATTTTCCTTTCTTTTGGACGCCCTGAATTTGAGGTACCTGTAAAACATCCAAGCTGAGATGTCCACAAGTTAACTGTCAACTGATGTCCATCAGTCTACCACTCAGGAAAGAGATCTAACTTGGAGTAATAAATTTGGGAATCCTGAGTACATAGGTGGTGGCTGACACCAAAGTGGACATTATTAAGCAGTTCAAACGAACAAAATAAAAAGGACAGAACCCACCTTTACACGATGAGCATAAAAAGAAGAGCCAAAAAGGAGAAAAAGAGACAAAGAGCTCCTGCTGTGGAAAAAGGCTACCCTGAGTGAAAGAAGATGTACAGGTATTATTTCTCCTCTCTCCCAGAACCTCCTCAAACCAACAGCCATGGGATTGAAAACGTAAAAAGATAAATTCTTAAAGGCAACCAATATGCAACAAGACAATAACAATAGTATTTCAGAAGCTGCAAAGCAGATGGATGAGTGATAACTGACAGCAGAATCAAGAAAAGTGGATACTAAGCCAGGGAACAAGCCCAGAAGCCATTTGATTTGTAGTCCCAAATGGCTCAGAAACTGTTGGCACTAGGTACTCCTTGATGTGGAGGTAAATAAAGGATTGAAGACAGGAAGACTGAATACCTCCGAGCCAGCAGACAACTTGTTTATCTTTAGAAAAGGTAAAACAGGTGTTTGGAAAGGAAGATAGCACACACAGATAAGGCAGCAACATATTACAAAAAGGAGAATTAGGTAAATACATGCACAGTGCACGCCAAATACTGAGACCTCAGCCTTCTTCCCTCACTCAGCAACCAGAATATTAAGACAATGGTTTGGAAGAGTCTTCCGTGGCAAATCCAGTACCTAAGCAAAAAGATTTAAACGTACTGACATCTTTAGGTTTCCCCAAGGAAGAGTTACCCCAAGAAAGAGCTCAGCTAGACTAGCCTACAATAAAACCTGCAGTCAACTCCACTCAATAGGCGCAGACATTCAAATCAATCCTTGGTGTCCCGTTATTAAACATGACTACCCTGGCTGGGCACAGTGGCTCACACCTATAATCCTAGCACTTTGGGAGCCAAGGAGGGAGGATCACTTGAGCCAATGAGTTCAAGACTAGCCTGGGCATTATAGTGAGACCTCATTCCTACAAAAAAAAAAAAAAAAAAAAAATTAGCCAAGCATGGTGGCGGGCACCTGTAGTCCCAGCTACTTGGGAGACTGAGGTGGGAGTATCACTTGAACCCAGGGAGGTAGAGGTGCAGTGAGCCAAGATTGTACCACTGTACTCAAGCCTGGGTAACAGAATGAGACCCTGTCACAAAGAAAAAAAAATGTAGATAGATAGATAGATAGATAGATAGATAGATAGATAGATAGATAGAAAGAAATACATAATTGCCCAGCCAAGGATCACCAGACTTCTGAGGAAAGCTTCTAATAAGAAATATACTGAACAAAACCAGCAAACAGAAAAAAGCAACTTGGAAGAAACAAAGACTATGTAAAGATGATAAAAAACAAAAAAACTATCATGAATATATCCTCAGAGAAGTAACAGAGGATATTTCACTCACAAAATAAAACAGGATGCTATGAAAAAGGAACACACTCAGGTGAGGAAAAGAGTTCTTTCACTTATTCTCATAACAATTTATTAAATTTTTAATTTTTCATTTAAATATTTTAATAAAGTTCAAATATAAAAACTTTGAATTTATTAAAATTAAATATCAAACCTCTAAAAAAAATTTTAAATAATTGGGTCTAATATTAATGGAGAAAGGGGCTGGGCATAGTGACTAACGCCTGTAATCTCAACACTTCGGGAGGCTAAAGCGGGCACATTACTTCAGTCCAGTAGTTTAAGACCAGCCTGGGCAACATAGTGAGACTCTGTCTCCAAAAAAATAAAAAAAACTATCTGGGTGTGGTGGTGCATGCCTGTAGTCCCAGCTACGTGGGAAGCTGAGGTGATACAAACACTTGAGCCCAGGAGGTTGAGGCTGCAGCGAGCTATGATCACACCACTGCACTACAGCCTGGGTGACACAGCAAGACCCCATCTCAAAAAAAATATAAAAGTGATAATATTAATGAAAAGGGATGAAAAGATCACATTCTGAGACTTTTAAATTTTTCTTTGTACAAAGATAATGTACAACTGCAAGTGTGCACACACAAATGCCAACATATAGCACTTGCCTATTTTCTTCCAGGATTTCAATTAAACTCTTCTGCAGAAAATGAAGCACTGAAACAAAAAGAATATGACAAATAAGAATTTAAAACTGTGAAGCTCAATTTCAATAAAATAAAATATTTTATATCACTGTTATCCAAAATGATATCATGATATGGAAACAAAAATTTAAAAGGAAGGGTCATGATGTACCTAAGTTATCTACAATGCTCTACCTATTACCAAGAAACTTAAAAGAGCCAGTTCCAAAATGACTCATACAAGCCATCAACTCATGGAACAAAATAAAATAATAGGACTTACCATTTTTAAGCAGATTATTAACACTTGCTCTACCTGTAGAGGAAAAAATGAACACTGGTAAGGAGTTTCACGACCAAAATCAATGTCATTTAAAAACTATGATGTGATGAGAGGGGTTAGCCAGAAAAAGGACTAGAAAAGTGCAGCCTTACCCAAGTTAAAGTTCTCCATACAGGAAGAAATATTGTCAGTAACTTTCCTGTAAGAGTATAAGTCAGTAGTATTCAATTCTTCCTGAAGACGAGAAGTAAAACGGTGCATAGCCTCAGGTAGAAAAAAATCAGGCAGGCTATTTAGTGAGCTAGAAAAAGAAACAAATATTAAAAATCTGACAATCTAATAGCCCCAGAATATGTGGAGAGGGAAGAGAATCATACAAATGTGGGAATACTGAACTAAATCTTCAAAATACAGCCAGAAAACTACAACTACACACTACCATCACTCGAATTTCCTGGCTTGTCAGCACATCTGGTCTCCCTGCTTCCACCTTGCTTCTCTCCCATCTCCCAGATTATTCTCAACAGAACAGGCAGAGTGACACCGTTAAAACACCATGTCACTTCTCTTACTAAAACCTCCAACAATATCCTTCTCGGTTAAAGTACTAGTTGAAGTGTTTACAGTGACCTACAAGGTCCTCCCGATACAATCTGGCACTACCATTAGCTCCTGACCTCATCTTTATTTATTTTTTTTCTTTTCTTGATTTTTAAAATGGCATCTATCACAATCCTGACCTCATCTTGATCTTTGTTCACTTAGCTCTAGCTACATGGCCTTGCTCTGTTCTGACATACCAGTCTTTGCTTCTGCTGTTTCCTCCATCCAAAATACTCTTCCTTCAAATATACCCAGCAATCACTGCCTCATCCCTTTCAGGTCAATCTCAATTACCTTATCATGTCTGAGCAAAGCTATATGAAGTGACCATAATATTTTAAATTGTAACCCTCACCCCATCCTTTATGTCCCCTTTCCTTCCTTCCCGCTTTTAGATAGCACTCATGCCATCTAATATCCTATAAATGTTACTTATTTATTTTGTCTATTTTCTATCTTCCCCTTAGAATGTAACCTCCATTCTGGACTGTTTCATTCATTCTACCCCCAGTTCCTAGAAGAGTGCTGAAACACAGTAGGCAGTCAATAAAAATTTATCAAATGAGTAAATTAAACATATCAATTTTGCCTCAATTTATATACATCAAAACTGATTGGCTTTGTTTTAAATATAACTGGACAGTTCAAAGTTTTTCTGGAAGAAAATAATTCAAAAATGGGAATATTCAGAATAAGAAGAGTCACTAGAGGGATGACTTAACACTGACATATAATTAAAACACTTTATCAAACTATAGTAAATAAAAGTGTGGTGTTGGTGTATGAATAATTGGACCTAACTCAGAAATCAAACCCATGTATATATGTGAACATATAACACAATAAGGTGGCATTCCAAATATGTGGGCAAAGATGGACGATTCAACAGTTTGGGTAAGTGGTTCCCCATATAAAAAAGAAAACTAAATTGAATCCCTACCTCACACTACATTCAAAGCTTAATTCCAGATGGACATAAAAGTTGAGCAAAAAAAAAAAAAATAGTATAAGGCCTGCAAATAATGTTTTAAATAATCTTGTATTACAGAAAGCACATATAGCAAGGTATAAAACTCAGAAATCTACATACACAAAAATTAGCTGAATTGATAACCAAAATAATATTTTAATTTTTGTAAAGACAAGACACCATGAGAAAGTTAAAGACAAGTAACAAAGGAATGTATTTGGCATATGATCTATAGAGAAGTCTTATAAATCAAGAAAACATTCTAACAAGAAAATGTACAAAGAATATGTAATAAAAAAAGTCAAATTCCACACATTAAAAAATGTTCAATTACACTAGTAATCTGGGATACACAAATTATAATGATAGCATTTTCCTTCATTAGATTTTAAAAGATTTAAAGATTGATAGTATCCAATGTTGGAAATATATGAAGAAGAAACAAGCATTCTAATTCAATGGGTAGTCTGGGGGAGTACAATTTAACAATATCTACCAAGAATTTCAATAGGCCTAATTTTTGGTCCAGAAATTCCACTTCTTGGAATTTATCTCAGAGAAATACACATATATAATTATATACATAAGAATATCACTGCAATGGGGAAGTGATTAAATTACTTTATACCATGTAATATAAATCATGTAATATGTACCATATATAGATACATACATGTCATATATATGGTACATTTAAATTTTGGTATATTCATATTACAGAATATTTATAGCTGAAAAAGTAAGGACTGCTGGTGGGAATGTAAAATGTTGCATATGGAAAACAGTATGACAGTTGCTCAAAAAATTACAAATAGTATTACCATATGGTCCAGCAATCCCACTTCTGGGTATATATCCAAAGAACTGAAAGCAGGATCTCAAATAGATATTTGCACACCCATGTTCATAGCAGCATTATTCACAACAGGCAAGCAGTGGAAGCAACCCAAATGTCCATTGAAAGATGCATGGATGAAAAAAATGCAGTATATGCATACAACAGAATATTAAGCCTTATAAGAGAAGAAAATCCTGTCATATGCTATAACAGGGATGAACCTTAAGGACATTATGTTAAGTGAAATAAGTCAGTCACAAAAATATAAATACAAATATTACACTAATATGAGGTATCTAAAGTAATCAAATTTATGAACGGAAAGTGGCTGCCAAGGGCTGAGCAGGAAATGGAGAGTTGTTACTTAATGTATACAGTTTCAGAGCTTAGCAGATGACAAGGTTCTAGAGATCATTGCACTGCAATATGAATACACTTAACAATAGCGAACTATGTACACTTAAAAATGGTTAAGACTCAAACATCATATGTTCTCACTCATAAGTGGAAGCTTATCTATGAGGATGCAAAGGCATAAGAATGATACAATGGCCTTTGGAGACTCAGGGGAAAGGGTGGGAAGGGGGTGAGAAATAAAAGACTACAAATTGTTGGGTACAGTATACACTGCTCAGGTGATGTGTGCACCAAAATCTCAGAAACCACCACTTATTCATGTAACCAAGTACCACCTGTTGCCCAAAAACCTATCGAAATGAAAATTAAAATTTAAAAAAAAAGAATTCATAAAAAAAAAAGGTTAAGACTGAGTTTTTATGTTATATGTCTTTTACTACAATTAGGATTTTATGACATGGAAATATCTCTAAGACATTCTTTAGTGAAAAAACAAGCTACAGAGCATTCTGTAGAGTATAATCTCGTTTACAGATATATATAAAAAAAGTAGAATGTAACACACATATGCTGACCTCAAAGAGAAGGTCTAGAAAGATAAATACCAAAACGGTAAGTGACAATCTTTACTAAGAAAAGTAAGATAAGCCCTAAACAATGAAATGGAAGCCTTAGTTTTTATTTTGTATAGTTCTATATCATTTGAAATTTTTATACCAAGCCTATATTCCTGTGTTATCTGTGTAAATATATATTTAAACCAAGAACAGATAGGACAAAAAGAGGAAAAAACAGCAAGATGACATTTAAACATAACCAATAAATGTAAATGGATTGAGGCAGGAGTAAGCAAACTACAGCCCACAGCCTGTTTATTAAGCATGTGACCTAAGAAGGCTTTTTATACTTTTAAAAAGTTGTAACTAGGCTGGGCGCAGTGGCTCACACCTGTAATCCCATCACTTTGGGAGGCTGAGAAGGCGGATCACAAGGTCAGGAGATCAAGACCATCCTGGCTATCATGGTGAAACCACATCTCTACTAAAAACACAAAAAATTAGCCGGGTGTGGTGGCTGAGGCAGGAGAATGGCGTGAACCCGGGAGGCAGAGCTGACAGTGAGCCAAGATCGCACCACTGCACTCCAGCCTGGGCGACAGAGCTAGACTCCGTCTCAAAAAAAAAAAAAAAAAAAAAATAGTTGTAACTAATCAATGAAACAGAGAACAAACCATATGAATGAACTTTTTGTGATCTGTATCAGTTCAGTTTTATCAAACCAAGGAAGGAACTTCAGTTACTTTTGGTCAAATTCAACATTTATAACACCCAACTTCCCTTCCTTTTTTTCTTACCTTGCCAATACTTTCTTCAAGGGATTCTTTAGACTCAAAGAAAGATAAATGCCTGCTAAGATATCCAAACAACTTTGAATAGTGGGATCACACATGCCATTTTTATCTGCTTTCTCCAGCAGAGGCACAATCTATAATACAAAACATTGAAGTAATTTTTATAATATCAAATATAGCAAAGTAACATGGTTACAGATACTCTTTGAAGTCTCAATTGCTGGGTACAGTGGCTCACCCCTGTAATCCCAACACTTTGGGAGGCTGAGGTGGGCAGATCGCTTGAGCCCAGGAGAGTTCGAGACAAGCTCGGGCAACATGGTGAAACCCTGTCTCTACAAAAAAATACAAAAATTAGCCAGGCATGGTGGCACATGCCTGTAGTCCCAGCTACTCAGGGGGCTGAGGCAGGAGGATTGCTTGAGCCCAGGAGGTTGAGGCTGTGGTTGAGCCAAGATCACACCAGTGCACTCCAGCCTGGGTAAGAGAGTGAGACCCTATCTCAAAAAAATAAATAAAACAAAGTGTCAATTACGTGAAATGTTTTCCATACTCCACTGTCAAGGATACTGATTTAAACACCTATTTCACTATTTATTAACTTTTTAAACTCATGTCCCCACCTCCCTCTTTACCCTCCAGACCCACCTCCACAGAGAATCACAGACCTGTTAATGGCTTACAGTAAAGAACAGCTGTAGCACTATTAAAAAACCAGTAATACATTTACTTGCTTTCCAAAAAAAAAAACTATGTGTGCTCAAATGGTAAATCCTAATACTGAAATACTAATAAGTATAATCTTTATATTTTAAATTAACTTTTAAATGTGTCTGCTAAAAAGTTTTGAAGATTCATATATTTTAAAATTTATCTCCACAAAAGAGGTATGCACATTATCTTCTACCTTATCTGTTTACAGTTCAATTATGATAGAAGTCTGAATATGGCTTCTATTGCTGCTTTGAATACAAGGATATTATACAATAAACAGAAAAAAAAAAATACTTATTTGCTAATGATAAACTGATATGCAATAATTAGGGACCAAAAACTGTCAGTGATTTTTTTTAAATCCTTAATAGCATGATACTCTTAAAGATGCATCCATGAATATCAATTCAGACTTACCTGTTTAATATAATGGATTTGTGACACTCCATCCGTGAGTTGCACACAATGTAACAGCAAAGAAGCTAGATTTTTCCCTTCCACATCAGCAAAAGCTATATAACATATACAAAAAAAAATTTTCAATGATTTAACAGTGAGTTAACTTTGCCTTTGTTGTGCATTCTACAAAATTTTTTAATTATAAACCATAGCAATAGGTGGAACATAGTCTGAAGACAGAATTTTAAGAAAATTGTTTTACATCCAAAACATAAGGAAAAATATAAAGAATTTGAATATTATATGCTAGGGGTCCCAGTCATTAAAATACTCTGCTTGCAAACTAGAAAAAAATATAATAAGGGAAACCAGAAGTCACCTACATTTCAAAGTTTCAAGGTCCTGATGGCAAATGGTCAGCGCAGCAACTTGCATTTCTTTCTTCTTCTTTACACCCATTTTAAATAGAATTAATAGTAGTCACTGCAAGAAAGAAGACTTTAAGGCATTAATGTAAGGTTTCTCAACCTCAGCACTATGATTTTTGGCTGGGTTCATTCTTTGTTGAACAGTATCATCCTATGCATTATGTTTCATGCATCCCCATCTCTACCCACTAGATGCCAGTGGCACCCTCCTCCCTCCCAAGTTCTGACAACCAAAATATGTCTCCAAACACTGTGAAGTGTCCCCTGGGGAGCAAAACTGCTCCAGAATGAGAATCACTGTCTAAGAATTTCTGATTTGAAGAAGAAAAATGTTTTAAGCTGAAGCTTATTACTGACTGAAGTTATTTTACCTACTATGACTCAGTCTTTGTATTTTAAAATACAGCAAACTTTCCTTTTAGTGAACATACACACAAAAAAACTGGGATAGTTTTTCCAAAGATAAAATACTTCAAACTAACCTCAGTGACTCATTAGACTAAGAGGAGGTACTACCGTGTCCTGATTTCTGCAAAAATGAAAAAAAATATTTTTTTAATGCTATTCTCTTGAGTTTGCTTTTATCGATACTTAACAAATCAACGGGTTCATAACAGGCTAAACAACCCAACTCAGAGACTACACAACTACACACTAATAGTACCATGCCATCTGGAAAGAAGTTGCTAGGGAAATGTCATAGGGCTCTTCTCTTGATGCAGTTAGCATCTTTAGCAGTATTTATGATGCAAATATTAGAGACTATAATGTAGTACATGTATAAAATAAATCTGGAAGGACATGTTGAATGATGGAATCAGGAATAAAAACAGGTCAATAAACTGGAATAACGAGCAATATGAAATTTACCAAGATGAAACAGAAATAAATACAAAGGGCTGCATTTAGTTTAGGGGAAAAAAACACAGAAAGAGAGGCTGGAGAGGCAAAACGTGGTTTGAAACAGCTCAACAGCCCAAGATGACTGCCAAAAACCACAGAAGTCAGCCATATCAGAGTGCATGATTTTATTCAAACAGGCCAGGTGACATGTAGAGCATTAGGTACAGCGCTGGCGGCCATACTCTAAGGAGCCATAACAAACAATGGAACTATTTCTGAAGGACCTAGAGAGCACCTCCTTCAGAGAACAGCTCAGTTAACCAAAGGTGTTTGGCCTGGAGAAAAAGTCAACAGAACAAGAGCCTTAAAACAGCTGCTAGACTGTTTTGGAGAAAAAGGGAATAGATTTATTTGTCTACTACAGACTTTTTTTTTTTTTTTTTTTTTGAGACGGAGTCTTGCTCCTTCGCCCATGCTGGAGTGCAGTGGCGCGATCTGCGCTCACTGCAAGCTCAGCCTCCTGGGTTCAGGCCATTCTCCTGCCTCAGCCTCCCGAGTAGCTGGGACTACAGGCGCCCGCCACCACGCCCGGCTAATTTTTTCTATTTTTAGTAGAGACGGGGTTTCATCATGTTAGCCAGGATGGTCTCGATCTCCTGACCTCGTGATCCACCCACCTCGGCCCCCCAAAGTGCTGGGATTACAGGCGTGAGCCACCGCGCCCAGCCTTAGACTTCTTGTCTTGCTATTAGATTAGTAAAAGTCAGTACAAGCTACAGGGAAACAGATTCCAGATCAATACAAAGGAAAAGCTCTATGGTCCCACTAAGGACTGGGCTACCTTTTAAACAAAGAAATTTTCCAACACCAGGAATATTCAAAGAGAAGATGACTGAATATTTTCTCTTGGACTCCTGAAACAGCTCCCTAACTGGTCTCCTGACTTCTACACTTACCTCCAAAGAGCCCATTCTGTTTACAATCATCAAAGCAATCTCTTTAAAAAAAACTCTCATCAAATTGAATTACTTACTCTCTTCCTTAAAACTTTCCAAGGGTTTCTAAATACACTTAGAATAAAATTCAAACTTGAGGCCAGGAGTGGGGGCTCGTGCCTGTAATCCCAGCACTTTGGGAGGCCGAGGCGGGTGGATCTCCTGAAGTCAGGAGTTCAAGACCAGCCTGGCCAACATGGTGAAACCCCGTCTGCACTAACTAAAAATACAAAAATTAGCCGGGTGTGGTGGCAGGCGCCTATAACCCCAGCTACTCCGGAGGCTGAGGCAGGAGAATGGCTTGAACCCAGGAGGCAGAGGTTGCAGTGAGCCGAGATCGTGCCACTGCACTCCAGCCTGGGAGACAAGAGCGAAACTCCATCTCAAATAAATAAATAAATAAATAAATAAATAAATACTTGAGATTTTGCCCTTCAAGGCCCTAAATAATCTGACCCTGCCTTCCTCCACTCTTCATCTCAAACCAATCTCCTCTTCACCATCTCAAGAGCTTTGTACTTCCTGATGCTCTTATTCCCACCTAAGAGGCTTTACACTTCTCAGTATCTCTGCCCCTTAATGTTCATTCCACATCTTTGCAAGACTGACTCCTTCTCACCATTCATGTTTCTGCTGCAACATTACCTTCTAAAAGCCTTCCATGACCACTCTATCTAAAATCTCACCAATACAACACACGTAGACACCATTTCCGTTAATTTTCTTCATAGCACTTACTAGTACCAGAAATTACCCTAACTTGTAAATTTGTATATTGTCTGTCTCACCTAGTAGCAAACTGAATGAAGGCAGCAACTTTAATCTATTTTGTTCATGTTTCAAGTCTCAATTTCCAAACCAGTGCCTGGCACATAGTAGGTGTTTAACAAACACTTCACGAATAAACAAATTAATTAACAAACATTTGTCAGAGATGTTCTAGAAGGGATATATGTCTTTAAGGGCAGGAAGGTGGACTATCTGGTACCTAAAATGCATTCTACATCTAAGTGACATTCTACATCTTAAGAACCTATGGTCTGTTTGGGAAGTAAGAAATCCATACAGTAATGGCAGGTGAGCAACCACTTAACCAAAAATGGACGCAGCTAGGAAAGTGTCGACAACAGAATAATTTGTAAAGGGATAGTCAGATCTAGAGGAATAGAGGCACGCTTCCTAAGAAAGTGACCATCGTACAAAGCCAGAAGAGACTGGGAAACCTAACTAGGGAGACTATTCTCTGGTGAAAGGTAAGCAAGTTTGCAGGAGGATTTGCTCTTGCAATTCTGAGGGCTACACAAAAGCAGACTCGGTAATTATGCCTGCTCAAATGATGCCTAAACGTGTGTCCTGAAGAACCAGGGTCCCCAAGGGGGTAAATCCCGTGTCTACCGCAAGGCCAGAAGGTGCCCAGTAAATTACACTCCTCCTAGGTCCCACTTACTGCTTCCCTTTAGAACGCTGCTTCACTCTACACCTTCCTGGCTGACTCCCACAAACATTCTCTGGGCGATTTCTGAACCACGTGGAGTCGAGGAATGACAGTGGGAGAAAGTGGTTAAAGTGCTGTCTCCATGGAGACCTTAGCGACCGGAAATCAGTTTCACAGCCGCCGAATCCTGGCGATACCAAAGGATGGGAATTGGTGTGGCTCGCCAGGCAGCCCTAGCAAAACTGGCCGAGCCGAGCTACCGCGGGTCTGGCAGGCAGGACACCTGGGAGCCAAACCTCGTGCACGTCGGCGTCTGAGAAGAGTCGCAGGCGCCTGGTCCAGTCCCGGAAGCAGGTCTCCTTCTACGGCGTCTCCGAGGCTCGCAGCGCGGTCCACGGTCGACTACCGGGTCAGGGCAAAGGGAGGGAGAGAGGGGTAACCTGGAGGAGTCATCGCGAGAATTGACCAAACGCAGCTCCTCCAATCAGGAGTTCGAGGAGGTCGTGACGTCACCGGGGTGGCCGGTAGCAATCCGGTTTAGTTAACCAGCCACTGTACCGTCAGCGCCGCGCGTTCCTCATGGCGTTAGGGCTGACGGGCCTTGTTGCTGAGGGGCCTTCATTCAACGGTCTCTTGTTGAATGAAAAGACCTCATTCTCTTCACATGCTTGGACGCCTGGGAAGCGCTTTTCTCCCAATCCAGACCTTCCACCTTTCTCCCACTCTGTTGGCCCAGTGCAGAGTCTAGGAGAAAACTACGTCTGGGACTCGGGAACGAGTCCAGGGAGTTTAGAGCCTGCGAGATGGGGCAGGGGTTTGGGCGGCGACTGAACGGAAGCCACGAGAAGGATTCGGACTAAAATGAGTAGTGCTGAACCAACGTGTGCCAAAGCGCATATATTCATTCAATAGATAATGAACTCTACTGTCAGAGCGTCGCCAAGCGCTAGCCTTGAAAGCTATCCCCTACTGAGGATACATGTATTACGCAGCACATACAAATTGTCAGATGGTTCAGTCCTTGAAAAATAAATACAATAACGGGGTGTCACTGGGAGCTGCGACAGTGGGCAAGATCAGGAAAGACCTGATGCTATTATCAGGAGTATTAATTTGGAAAATAGAGACATTTCAGTTCTCTAAACGTTAATGACTTAAGTTTTTAATAATTATTTTCTGAATTTTTTATATCAGCTTGCCTTGGTTTTCTTTATAGCTTTACCACATAATGTATGTATCACTATCTTGTTTCGTTCAATTTTGAAGCTTTTGGAATTGCGTATGTATTCTCCAGCAATTTGCTTCTTTCAGCATTGCTTTTCATATTCACCTACAGGTGGCTGTAGTGCTCTTCGCCCAGGCTGGAGTGCAGTGGCGCGATCTCGGCTCACTGCAAACTCTGCCTCCCGGGTTCAAGTGATTCTCCTGCCTCAGCCTCCTAAGTAACCGGGATTACAGGCGCGCGCCACCACGCTCAGCTAATTTTTGTATTTTTTAGTGGAGACGGGGTTTCACCATGTTGCTCATGCTGGTCTTGAACTCCTGACCTCGTGATTCGCCCGCCTCGGTCTCCAAAAGTGCTGGGATTACAGGCGTGAGCCATGGCGCCCGGACCGTAATTTTCCATTGTTTAATATACTTCATTATGTATCCATCCTGCTGCCTCTTAACATGTGCATTATTTCCAGTTTTTGTTCTAAACATTGCTGCTGTGAACTATGTTGTGCATGTCAGCTGGTGAGTGTGTGCAGACGGTTCTCCACCATAATTTTTTCTGGTATTTTTGACCCTGACATAGTAAGAAATACATTGCAGACTTTGAAACTGTGGACGTAGAAGTACTCACACATAACTGAAGTAAAAATTTCTTGAAATGCTACTTTACAGGAGCTGTGAGATTTTATTTCCTTTTTTTCTAAATTATGGTAAAATACACAGCAAAATTTACCATTTTAACCATTTTTAAGTTTTATGTTTTTTAAAATATGTATATTGTTTCAGACCTACTAATTATATAACTCAGTGGGTCCGAACCCCTTTTTTGTTGGCAGACACTGCAACTCTTCACCCTGCACAGCGAGAGGTGGGCTAGGGAGCAAACATAATAAACATATGTTGAAAGGTGAAGCTACTGTTAAAACTTCAGACAAATTAAACTTAACAGGGTTTAATTGAGCAAGGGGAAAAATGATTCTCAAATCGGGCAGTCTCCAGAATCATAGCAGATTCAGAGAGACTCCAGGGATGCCTCGTGGTCAGAGCACATTTACAGACAAAGAAAGGAAAGTGATGTACAAAAAGCAAGTGAGGTACGGAAGCAGCTGGATGGGTTACAGCTTGGCATTTGCCTTACCTGAACACAGTTTGAACAGTAAGCATTGTATGAATAGTTGAAGTATGGCTGCTGGGATTGGCTGAAACTCAGCTATTGTTACAGAAGCACACTCCTAAATTAGGCTTTCAGTCTTGTCTACCTACTAAGTTAGGTTATGGTTCATCCACAAGGACTCAAATATGGAAGTGCAGAGGCTTTCTCAGGCGGTATTTAGTTCAATTTAACACCGCCATGGAAAAAATAGGGGAATGGAAAGTGAGAGTATAGGGGAGGTACATTGCAACTTTAAATAGGGTAATCAGGGTAGGCCTCACTGAGTAAAGATTTCCAAGAGACATAGACACTTGGTGAAGGGGAAACCTTCCATACAGAGGGAACAGCCAGTACAAAGTTTCCAGGGCAGGGCTTGCCTGCTGGGAGAATAGCAAGGAGGCAAGAGTGGCCGGAGCCAAGCAAGGTAAATACTAAGGAGTGGGACAAGGGGCTTTGGATTATATAAGGCTTTCACATTATTTCATGGACTCTTTCATGAAATGAGGAGTGATTTTGAGCAAAAGAATAATAACATCTAATGTACATTTCAAAATAATCACTGGAGCTACTTTGTTAAGAAGAGACTGTAGGTCGGACGCGGTGGCTCACGCCTGTAATCCCAACGCTTTGGGAGGCTGAGGCGGGTGGATCACCTGAGCTCAGAAGTTCAAGACCACCCTGGGGAACATGGTGAAACCTCGTCTCTACAAAAATGCAAAAAAAAAATTAGCTGGGCATGATGTTGTGTGCCTGTAGTCGCAGCTACTCGGGAGGCTGAGGCACGAGAATTGCTTGAGCCCCAGAGGCAGAGGTTGCAGTGAGCTAGCATTGCGCCACTGCACTCCAGCTTGAGCTGCAGAGTGAGACTCCGTCACAAAACAGAAAAAAAAATAAAAGACTGTAGAGCCTGCAGGAAGCCCAGTGAGGCTGTTGTGGTAAACTAGGCAGGCAGGATGCTGGTGGCACTGACCAGGGTGGTAGCAGTGGAGAGCGGGAAGTGGACAGGTTTTGGATATAATTTGAAAGCAGAGCTAACAGGATTTTTTTCTGAAGGATAGAATATGGGTATGAAGAAATGAAGAGTCAAAGATGAGTCCAAAGTTTCTGGCCTGAGCACCTAGAAGGATGAAGTTGCCAAAGTTTACTTGGAGCAGATTTGAATGGGTTTAAAAGAGACTGGGAAGAGAGGAATTGGCAAGATCAAGCAGAGGCAACTCCTTCTAGTCCTTCTAGTACGCAAGGGGCAGATAAATGGAATGGTAACACCTAGAGGAAGTATACTGCCAAAAGCAATCTACAAATCCAATGCAATCCCCATCGAAATACCACCATTATTCCTCACAGAATTAGAAAAAACAATGCTAAAATTCATATGGAACAAAAAAAGAGCCCGCATAGCCAAAGCAAGACTAAGCAGAAATAACAAATCTGGAGGCATCACACTACCTGATTTCAAACTATGCTATAAGGCCATAGTCACCGAAACAGCATAGTACTGGTATAAAAATAGGCACATAGACCAATGGAACAGAATAGAGAACCCAGAAATAAACCCAAATACTTATGGCCAACTGAGCTTCGACAAAGCAAACAAAAACCTAAAGTTGGGAAAGGACACCCTTTTCAACAAAAGATGCTGAGATAATTGGCTAGTCACACATAGGAGAATGAAACTGAATCCTCATCTCTCACCTTATACAAAAATCAACTCAAGATGGGTTAAGGATTTAAATCTAAGACCTGACACTCTAAAAACTCTAGAAGATAACATTGGAAAAACCCTGACGTTGGCTTAGGCAAGGATTTCATGACCAAGAACTCAAAAGCAAATACAATAAAAACAGAGATAAATAGTTGGGACTTAGTTAAAGTAAAGAGCTTTTGCACGGCAAAGAACAGTCAGCAGAGTAAACAGGTAACCCACAGAGTGGGAGAAAATCTTCACAATCTATAAATCTGACAAAGGACTAATATCCGGAATCTACAATGAACTCAAACAAATCAGTAAGAAAAAAACAAACAATTCCATCAAAAAGGGCTAAGGATATGAATGGGCAATTCTCAAAAGAAGGGCCAGGCACAGTGGCTCACACCTGTAATCTCAGCACTTTGGGAGGCCAAGGCGGGCAGATCACCTGAGGTCAGGAGTTTGAGACCAGCCTGACCAATATGGAGAAACCCTGTCTCTACTAAAAAATACAAAATTAGCCAGGCATGGTGGTGCATGCCTGTAATCCCAGCTACTTGGGAGGCTGAAGCAGGAGAATCACTTGAACCCGGGAGGTGGAGGTTGCGGTGAGCCGAGATCTCACCATTACACTCCAGCCTGGGCAACAAGAGCGAAACTCCATCTAAAAAAAGAAGAAGAAGAAGAAGAAGAAGATACACAAATGGCCAACAAACATATGAAAAATGCTCAACATCACTAATGATCAGGAAAATGCAAATCAAAATCACGATGCAATACCACCTTACTCCTGCAAGAATGGCCATAATCAAAAAAATCAAAAAACAGTAGATGTTGGCATGAATGTGGTGATCAGGGAACACTTCTACACTGCTAGTGGGAATGTAAACTAGTACAGCCACTATGGAAAACAGTGTAGAGATTCCTTAAAGAACTGAAAGTAGAACTACCATTTGATCCAGCAATCCCCCTACTGGGTATCTACCCAGAGGAAATGTTATTATACAAAAAATATACTTGCACATGCATGTTTATAGCAGCACAATTCACAGTTGCAAAATCTTGGAACCAACCCAAATGCCCATCAATCAACGAGTGGGTAAAGAAACTGTGGTATATGTATACAATGGAATACTGCTTGGCCATAAAAAGGAATGAATTAACAGCATTTGCAGTGACCTGGATGAGATTGGAGACTATTATTCTAAGTGAAGTAACTCAGAAATTGAAAATCAAACATCATATGTTCTCACTGATCATTAGGAGCTAAGCTATGAGGACACAAAGGCATAAGAATGATACAATGGACTTTGGAGACTTGGGAAGAGTGGGAGGGGAGCGAGGGATAAAAGACGACAAATATGGTGTAGTGTATACTGCTTGGGTGATGGGTGCACCAAAATCTTACAAACTAACACTAAAGAACTTACTCATGCAAGCAAATACCACCTGTGCCCCAATAACTTATGGGAAAAAAATAAAAAATAAAGTGAATCAATAAATCAATAAATAAAATTCTCAAAAACAACAACAACAACAACAACAACAAAAAACCCCTACGTTCTCGTAGAGAATCATCTGTTACTTTCCAAACGTACAAACCCCAATTATTTCCAGGCAACAAAGGTTTTGTTTTAAAGGTTGAAATAGTGACATCTTTGAAGAAGATATCCTCTTTTTTGCTAGGCATCTGGTGGCACTACCAACTTGAGACCACTTTAAATACACTGCTTGAGGTTTTTCAGGACACAATAGCATGAATTTGAACTACAAACTTTTATAAAGTAACTATGTATTTTATTTGTGAACATGTGTTCCAAGGAAATTTTTAAAGGATCCTTAGTATATAAAAGTGTAAATGAAAACACTTGACAAGGCCTGGTGCGGTGGCTCATGCCTGTAATCCCAACATTTTGGGAGGCCAAGGCAGGTGGGTCACTTGAGGTCAGGAGATTGAGGCCAGTCTGGCCAATATGGTGAAACCCCATCTCTACTAAAAATACAAAAATTAGCCGGGCATGGTGGCGGGCGCCTGTCATCCCAACTATTCAGGATGCTGAGGCAGGAGAATCGCTTGAACCCCGGCAGGTGGAGGTTGCAGTGAGCCAGATCACACCACTGCACTCCAGCCTGGGTGACAAAGGGAGATTCCATCTTGAAAAAGAAAATACTTGACATAGTAACAGTGGACTAGATAAAAATCATAAAAAGTAATCCTTGTGTCGACATTTTCTTTAATGTAGTTTAGCATTGCAAATATGTACCTGTAAAAATAATATTTTCCACTCAATTAGAAAAGGGAATTTTAAAAATAATTATTTAGAGTTGGGCGCAGTGACTTCTGACTGTAATCCCAGCTACTTGGGAGGCTGAGGCAAGAGGATTGTTTGAGCCCAGGAGTTCGAGGCTGCAGCATGCTATGATCACAACTGTGAACAGCCACTGCACTCCAGTCTGGGCAACAGAGAGAGACCGTCTCTACAAAAAAATTATTATTATTTAATGACATGATTTTATATGTAATTATTAAGATTCTTTTACATTTGAATGGACATTTGAATAAGTAAAATTTGACCTTTTAAGGCCACAAAAGAAAGGCTTTAATTGCCTACATAATTACTACCTGTTCATGAAGGTCAATAACAGCCAAAACTTCAGAAGCAGTGTGACTGACCAGTCAAAAGTAAGGTTCTCTTGCAAGTAATCTTTTCTGTACAGAAAAACATGATAGTGTCTCCCAGTTTCATAGTCATTTTTACATCTCCCAAAATTATCACGTATGGTACTCTGCGAACAATGCATGGTGCCATGTATAATTCAGCAATCCCCCATATTAAATAGTTTGAGGTTTTTGTTTGTTTATTTGTTTGTTTTAGATGGAGTTTCGCTCTTGTTGCCCAGGCTGGAGTGCAGTGGCACGATCTCGGCTCACCGCAACCTCCACCTCCCGGGTTCAAGCGATTCTCCTGCCTCAGCCTCCCAAGTAGCTGGGATTACTGGCATGCGCCACCATGCCCGGCTAATTTTGTATTTTTAGTAGAGAGGGGGGTTTCTCCATGTTGTTCAGGCTGGTCTCGAACTCCCGACCTCAGGTGATCCACCCACCTCAGCCTCCCAAAATGCTGGGATTACAGGCGTGAGCCACCGCGCCCGGCCTGAATAGTTTTATATCTAAAATGAAGCCCAAAACTGTATACTAGACCTATGAATATAAATATTGTGTTATTTAATATGTTTGGCCCCAAGTCAGTGAAAGAAAGCAAAGTACTGTACTATTACTTATATATCTATTTATCTGTCTTAAAACAATAAACATGTATTATCTCTTAGTTTCTGTGGGTTAGAAATTCAATTTGGCTGAATGTGTCTGGCTAGGAGTCTCTCATGAGGTTTCAGTGAAGATGTTGGCTGGGGCTACAGTCACCTGACAGCTTGGCTGAGGCTGGAGAATCAGCTCCCAAGATGATTGACTGACTTCTTGGTGCTGGTTGCTGACACAAGCCTCCAGCTCCTCTCTACATGGACCTCTTCCCAGCTGCTTGGGCCATCTTACAACATGGCAGCTGGCCTTCCCAAAAATAAGCAAGAGAGTACAAGGTGGAAGATTCAGTGACTTTAATGGCTGAGCCACAAAGCAACACAGCATCATTTTGACAGTATCCTATTGGTTACAAAGGTCAGCTCTATTCAGTGAGGGAGGCTCTACACAAAGGTGTGCATACCAGGAAGCCGGTATCATTGGAGGGCCGATTTAGAGGCTGCCAACCATAGTGTATTAGGCCATCCTTGCATTGCTATAAAGAAATACCAGAGACTGGGTGCAGTGGCTCATGCCAGTAGTCCCAGCACTTTGGGAGGCTGAGGCAGGTGGATCACCTGAGGTCAGGAGTTCAAGACCAGCCTGGACAACATGGTGAAACCCTGTCTCTACTAAAAATACAAAAATTAGCTGGGCATGGTGGCACGCACCTGTAGTCCCAGCTACTCAGGAGGCTGAGGCAGGAGAATCACTTGAACCAGGAGGCAGAGGTTGCAGTGAGCCGACATTGGGCCATTGGACTCCAGACTGGGTGACAAGAGCAAGACTCCATCTTAAAAAAACAAAAAAACAAAAAAAAAAAAACCAAGAAAGAAAAAAAGAAATACCTGAGGATGGGCAATTTAGAAAAAAAAAAAAAAAAAAAAAAGGCTGGGCAATTTAGGAAAAAAAAAATGTTTAATGGGCTCATAGTTCTGTAGGCCATCCAGAAAGCATTGCACCAGCATCTGCTTCTAGGGAGACCTCAGGAAGCTTACAATCATGACGGAAGACAGAGGGAACGGCCACATCACATGGTAAAAGCAGGAGCAAGAGAGAGTGGAGTGGGAGGTAGGTGCCACTTTTACAAAACCAGATCTTACGAGAACTGACTCACTTATCACCGAAGGGATAGGCGAAGCCATTCATGAGGGATATGCCCCCATGATCCAAACACCTCCTACCAGGCCCCACCTCCAACACAGGGGATTACATTTCAACATAAGATTTGGTGGTGACACAGATCCAAACCATTTCATATAGTAATGATAACACCTTTGCAGATTTCCCTTGCTGCCTAAAATGCACTAAGGGATCATAACTAAGGAAAGACTTATTTATGATTTATTTGAATATAATTTCCATAGAGTATCTTAAGGAAACAATAATTTTCATGTCTTCTTACAAAGTTATTTACCTTTAATGACATACATTTTCATGTAAGTCAGCATAGAACATAAACATAAAACTAGGTTGATTTTAAGAAACCTTTTAGATATTCTTCAAACTTTCTCTTCCTAAGCAATCCCTTCCTGAGGGGCTGGGCGCTATGGCTCACACTTGTAATCCCAACACTTTGGGAGGCTGAGGCGGGCAGATTACTTGAGGTCAGGAGTTAGAGACCAGCCTGGCCAACATGGTGAAACCCAATCTCTACTAAAAATACAAAAATTAGCCTGGCGTGGTGGCAGGAGCCTGTAACCCCAGCTACTTGGGAGGCTGAAGCAGGGGAATCACTTGAACCTAGGAGGCAGAGGTTGCAGTGAGCTGAGATCGTGCCACTGCACTCCAACCTGGGCGACAGAACTAGATTCCATCTCAAAAAAAAAAAAAAGAAAACCCCAAAAAACAAAAAACAAAACCACAATTCCTTCCCACGTAAGAATATGTAGTGACTGTTGTCTGTGTGACACCACCCTCTTCCTTCCACACACACCAAGTTCCCACTTGAGTGACCTCAATATTCCCTGAAAGCATTGTCCTTTCATCGACTGTGCTCTCTGCTAGGCTTCATCTCACATTTTACCTCCTCAGTGAAACCTGACAAGAAATTCCTATTCTCCATCATACTTAGATTTCTGTCTCAGTGACAGCATTATCAGTTTGTTAGTTGATAGTAATTATTCTTATGCTTGTCAGTCTTCCTACTGATTTATAAACTTTTCCATGTTGGACACCATCTTTAGATTCCTAGTGCCCAGCACAGTGGCCAGCATGAGTAGCTCTGCAAATTGTTGAGTTAGGATAACCAGGCCAGCAAGTCCTCTGCAGTGGCAGCGTGCAATGGTGCTTACTTTACCACTGTGTGGCAGCAAACTACAGAAGTATTTCCACCGTTTAAAATAAGGAGGAGAGCTGAGATGAGTATTCACAAACTATAGTATAACTTGCCAGCTCAGTTGAAATAATATACTAAATTTATTATGAAATACAACTATCCAATGGAAAATTACTTTGTTCATAACATTGCTCAATACTGTTTTTAAATTTATCCACATTGTTGTTTGTACTTTTTATATCAAATAAACAAATATTTAAACTTTAAAAGAAAATGTAATAATAAGTAAAAATAGTTGTAAAATAATATGATCTAAAAATATTAGAACAGAAAATTATATACACATTGTGTTTTCAACTTTGTAAAATAATGGGTACTATGAACAGGGTTTGGAAGAGAATGGGTTTGGAGAAGCAGTTTGTCAGGCGAGTAAGATTGTGAGTGAGTTTTTTTCTTAAATTTTCTTTAGTGTTCTAACATGGGCTTAATAAACCTTTAAGGCCTGTTTTTATAGGTTGTAGAGTTGCTAATTGGAACATGCCCAAATTACCACAAAGCTGCCATTTTTTACCATTTGGATTATAATACTGTCATCTTAAAGAAAGCCCATGGTTGCGTTGGGCACAGATAGAAAGCCGTATTCTTAAATTGAGTTTAGCCTCCGTACATATTTTAAGTTTGGCCTACTGTTTTCTCCATACTTAGTTGGTTGTAACCTAACTTGATGTTAAACAGACTGTAACCTGATCTCTTAAGTAGCAGAGGCTCAGCCAGTCACAAGCAGCCAGCTGTTCAAACCAGGTTCAAATAAAGCAAATGCCCAGCTGTAACCAATCCAGTTGTTTCTGTGCATCACTTCTACAGGTCACTTTCCTTTTTCTGTCCATAAATGTTATCCAACCATGCCAAAGCCCAGGGGTCACCCTGAACCTATTACGATTCTGGGGGCTGCCCAATTTGAGAACCGTTCATTACTCAAACTCTGTTAAAGTTAATTTGTCTAAAGTTTTTCCTCTAAGTATATAAAAATTTAAAATGCATAGCACCATCTTTGATTAAAATGCTTTTGAAAAGAAAGTTTTTTTCTCATTCTTGTTGCACAAAGCATTCTTGTATCCCCTCATTATTCCCCCATTCAAAAACATCTGTCCATATGGCAATCCCAATTCTTAGCCCTATCCATAGGAGACGGGACTAGTAGCTCACTACTATGGTTTTTGGGGGACATCTGAAGAAGGAATCCCTGGGACAGGAAGAGATGGAAAAGTTTGATGTCCATTTTTGACAGTAGGATTCCACTCTACCAGGGTTCTGCAAAGGGAGAAGACACTGTATAAAACATAGTTCCAATCTTTTGAAAAAGGTAAATATTGTGTTGGGGTTTGTTGTTGTTGTTGAGACAGGGTCTCACTCTGTCACTCAGGCTGGAGAGCAGTGGTTGTGATCACGACTCACTGCAACCTCGACCTCACTGGGCTCAAGTGATCCTCTCACCTCAGCCTCCTGAGTAGCTAGTACTACAGGCAGGTGCCACCATACCCAGATTTTTTTTTTTTAATGTGTAGAGATGGGGTTTCACCATTTTGCCCAGGCTGGTCTTGAACTCCTGAGCTCAGGCGATCTGCCGGCCTCGGCCTCCCAAAGTGCAAGGATTATAGATGTGAGCCACCACACTCGGCATTGAGTTAAGTTTTTAATATCCATATTAACTAATATTATCCTGTATCCACACGTAAGGTTTCTGGAGCAGAGCGGATTACTGTTATTTACTTACAGCCAAAAACAATCCCATGGATCCCCTGTACCCAAATTCTTATCCCTTAATGATACAACGAGAGGTGGCTGAACAAACTCTACATGTAAGTAATATGTATTATAAGTGAGGAACCCCCACTCCCCCAATTTAATCTAGGTGTTGATGTAGAAGGGAGAGGCAGCTGTACTTCTTCCTTCTTCCAAGAGTTTCTCTGGAAACACGATGGGAAGATTCCTGGGTTTTTACTTTAACCCTTTGGAATATGAATAAACTTCTGGGGAAAGGTAAGTCCAGTGTCACCACTTTACCACCCTGGGATGTCTCCACAATCCAGGTCTCATCCCCCGGTGTTAGTCCCTTTTCATTGCTATAAAGGAGTACCCAGGGCTGGGCAATTTATAAAGAAGAGAGGTTTATCTGGGCTCACGGTTCTGCAGGCTGTATAAGCAGCATGGCCCTGGCATCTGCTTCTGGCGAGGCCTTGGGAAACACAATCATGGCAGGAGGTGAAGGGGAAGCCAGCGTGTCACATAGCAAGACAGGGAGCAAGAGAGAGCGAGGTGGGAGGTGTCAGGCTTTTGCATAAACTAACTGAGCAAGAACTCATGCATTACCATGCAGAGGGCAATAAGCCATTCATGATGAATCTGCCCCCATAATCCAAATACCTCCACCAGGCCCCACCTCCAACTTTGGGATTATGTTTTAACATGAGATTTGGAAGGGACAAAACATCCAAACCATATCACTCGTGCCTCTTGAAAAGTAAACGCATACCTCCAGGTTTACCAGGAGGTAAATCTCTCTCCAGAAGATAAATCTCCAGTGGAGATGTGTGTGTTATGAAGGTCTCATGTCTATGTCTAGTAAATCTCTCTTGTGCGTGTTTCAGGTTTCTCTCACTATCTGATCCATAAATTACTGTCCAGGTCCCCAGTAAAATTTGCTTAGAAAGCCCTAACTTGCAGAAGCATAAAAGTATTTGCTACCCCCAAATTTGCATGTTCAAATTAGTGTGACCTTTCACACTTCTTTTAATTTTCTTGTAATTACTTTGAGTATATAAAACTCTTTTTTTTTTTTTTTTCTGGCTGGGTGCGGTGGCTCACATCTGTAATCCCAGCCCTTTGGGAGGCTGAGGTGGGCGCATCATGAGGTTAGGAGTTCAAGACCAGCCTGACCAATATGGTGAGACCCCGTCTGTACTAAAAAATACAAAAAAATTTGCCGGGCGTGGTGGCACATGCTTCTAATCCCAGCTACTCGGGAGGCTGAGGCAGGAGAATCGCTTGAACCCAGGAGGCGGAGGTTGCAGTGAGCCAAGATCACACCACTGCACTCCAGCCTGGGTGACAGAGTGAGACTCCATCTTAAAAAAACAAAAACAAAAACAAACAAATAAGAACACTATTTTTTTTGCCATTGTTTTGTGTATTTTGATTACATAAAAAAATCAGTCTTGCTATTTATGGCCTAGCCTTGCTTTTGTCTATTTGGTGAAATGATCACCACCACCCCCTCTTAATCATACCTGCCAAATCTTAAAATTACTGCTGGTGGTTTCTAAAAATGAAATCCATTTCCAAAGAATAAAGATGTCTATGCCATTGAGGAAGCTGAAGAGAATGTTTAAAAAGCAACATCCAAAAGGATTTCCAAAAATATCAGAAACTATACTAATTTTTGAAGAAACAAATATATGGCCCCAAAGGTGATTTCTTTAAAGGGGACTAATCTCATTTGAATGTGTAAACTCTGGGATGTTCTGGTTTTTTTAAAAAAAAAATCATAAAGCTTTATATAAGAAACAAGTAGATAAAGATGTGTCCTAGTCCTGACCTGATGTCACCAGCACTAACACTCAATTTAGTTAGGTGACCTATAAAGTTCACCCTAGTTCTACTGTCCTTCCCACCTTGCCTACAAGATAATGGAGTATTCTTTTTCTAAAATCTGCATTGCAGCATTCCAGGAGCTGCTATCCTATCTTTCCTTTACCTCGAGGTCTGAGCCTCAAGAAAGCCTAGGAACCCAGACAGTGCCTCTCCACCCACACAGAATTGATCCCGCTTCCCATACTCGGAGCTCTCCTGGACTAGGGAGAACTTCAATCAGGCCCCTTCCTGCAACCCTGGTAATTTTCATTTATTCCTCACAAAAGGCCTGTGAAGCACGCAGGGCTGGAATTCTCTCTCTTTTTTTTAACTGATGAAGAAACATGTTCAAATGGAGCAAGTGGTTGGTGTGCAGTGATTCTGATGCTCAGTCCGGGGCTCTTTCCATTATATTCCAAACCCTCCTTTTTATATGCAAATGAGCCAATTGTGGCAGTGACACTTTCCTACAAAATGAAACAATGCCGTAATTACAAGGGCTTGGGAATTAATGGCACTAAATGGGTAATTTGGGTTTAATGTTAAATCCTGGGATAGGCGACCCAGGGCCAGAAAGAGAGGCTTTCCAAGTGTCACCTCTGCCATCTGGTGGTCAAATGACAATATAACTGCAACAACTCAGTGTGGATACCATCATCATGTGAAAGTCACCCATGACCCCAGGGTTGGGTGAACTATTTGAGGCTGGGCTCTGACTTTTACGGCCTGAGATGAGAAAATAAAATGTTGAATACACAAATAAAGGTCAGAGGTTTTCCCCTATATCTCTGCTCAGGGTGAGGAACTGTGTAGTTTACAATGGAAGAGCCCATTCATCCATTTATTCAACAAATATTTATTAAGCACTGTCTTAGGTTGGCTTCCTAGGAAACAGATTCTAGGCAGAGATTTGCTTAAGGAGGGTTACTGGGGAGCATTCTTGAGGATCACCCTTGTAAGGGGTTGAGGGAAACAGAACTCGTCAGAAAGAGTTGAACTGGAATGAATTTGCAACAGTGGCGTCAGCCAATCTTACTGGGAGCTCTGGTGTTGGCTTGGCAAGGGGACTGAGCCTCTGCACTTCTTTTTCCACCAGTTATTGGATTCGCTGAGAGCTGTAACAGAGCTGCACCTAGGGGGATGAGTGCCTTGGTCCTAAAAGGGGGTATCTGGGCAGTGCCCTACAGCATCCACTACAGACACCTACTATGTTCTGGGCACTGTGCCAAGCTCAGGAGATGTAAAGTTGAACAAGATAACATCTCTGCCTTCAAAGGCACCCAGGGGTGCAGAGGTATAGAAAATAAATATGAGGACTAATGAATAAAGGAATAAATAAATAAAAGGGGGTTAAAAAAACCCAGGAAATATAAAACAATTGTCTTATAGCCAGAAAATCTATCTAAAAAGAGTAAACAACAAAGAAAATTCTTGCCAGAAATGTTGGCTCACACATGTAATCCCAACACTTTGAGAGGGCAAGGCAGGAGGATTGCTTGAGGCCAGGAGTTCAAGACCAGCCTAGACAATAAGGGAAGATCCTGTCTCTACAAAAAAAAATTAGCTGGGCATGGTGGCATGCACCCGCAGTCCTAGCTATTTGGGAGATGAAGGTAACAGGATCACTTGGGCCCAGGAGTTCGAGGTTGCGGTCAGCTATGATTGCACCATTGCACTCTGGCCTGGACAGGAGAGTTAGATCCTGTCTCTAAAACAAACAAGCAAAACCTTGCCTTTTCTTTTTATGTTTGAGACAGGGTCTCGCTCTGTTGCCCAGAAGTGTTTCAAACTCCTGGGCTCAAGCATTCCTCCCACCTCAGCCTCCCAAAGTCCTGGGATTACACAGTGACTGGATCCTTTCCTTTTATTTTATTATTATTTTTTTTTGAGATGGGGTCTCACTCTATCATCCAGGCTGGAATGTAGTGGTGTGATCATGGCTCACTGCAGCCTTGACCTCCCTGGGCTTAGGTGATCCTCCCACCTCAGCGTCTCAAGTTGCTGGGACTACAGGCACACGCCACGATGCCTGGCTAATTTTTGTATTCTTTGTAGAGACAAGGTTTGCCATGTTGCCCAGGCTGATCTCAAACTCCTGGGCTCAAGCGATCTGCCCACCTCGGTCTCCCAAAGTGCTAGGATGGCAGGTATGAGCCATTGCGTCTGGCCCTTGCCTTTTATTAATGGCAGTAAAGAAAGCTGAAAACATTTGGTATGAAAACTGAATTTACCCTCTGCTGATATAAAAACTGAAAAAGAAGAAAAAACCATCTGGAAACAATTCTAGATAAACACCTATGAAACTTAACCAAAGCAGTGGGAGAGTACCTTGGCATTCATCCCCAGTGGAATGTGGCTCCCTTCAGTGCTACCTAAGAATAGGTGATGGGGCTTTCCCTCTATCCTGGGGCCTACACCTGTTCTGAGCTGTTGGGAAGGAGGTCTGCCCATAGGTAGGTGTCATTCCTGGGGAATATTCTATCTGCTGATCTTGTATTGATCTCCCCAGATACAGCACCTTGGAAAAATCAGGAAAGTCAGCTCCTTGGTACCTGCTTAGGTGGAGCCTGGGGAGGTTTTGGTGCTGATTCTGCATGTGGCCACATGATGCACCCCAACCCAATTCTGTTGTCCCAGATGTTTCTTTCTCTACATCCTTTTTGTTTTTCTTCTTCCCACACCTGTAGAATCTTTATTTCCTCGCAGGGAAAAGGGAAAAGTACTTGGATCCTTGCCTGTTGTCCCTAGCCTGTTACTTATAGCATGACAATCAACTCCATCCTATGAGCTCGTTAGGCTTAAATATTTGAAATGTACAGAACTATTTCTCCACCATGAGTTTCAGAAAAATCATTTGGGGACTTAAAAAGCCTAAAATTGCCTTTCTTGTCTCCTGGTTTTGCTGTGGCATCCATTCTCTAAGGCAGCGGGAATAGAATTGTCCAGAGGCGTTGGGCGGGGCAGAGGTTCACAATAGAGGTACCTGTTGACAATTCTAAAATCTCTCTCCTCAGAACTTCAAGATGCTTGCCCTGAAGCAAACGCCTCCATTTGATGTCCAGCCTCAAACTCCTATCTCTTTTTGCCTCACTTCTTTCTTTACCTTTTCTTTTCTTTTCTTTTTCTTTTTCTTTTTCTTTTTTTTTTTTTTTTTTTTTTGAGACAGATGCTCGCTCTGTCGCCAGGCTGGAGTGCAGTGGCATGATCTCGGCTCACTGCAACCTCCACCTCCTGGGTTCAAGCAGATTCTCCTGCCTCAGCCTCCCAAGTAGCTGGCACTACAGGCCCACGCCACCACGCCCAGATAATTTTTGTATTTTCAGTAGAGACGGGGTTTCACCATGTTGGCCAGGACGGCCTTGATCTCTTGACCTCATGATCCACCCACCTCAGCCTTGTAAAGTGCTGGGATTACAGGCGTGAGCCACTGCGCCCGGCCTTGCCTCACTTCTTTCTGCCTCTTTCCTCCTCCTGAATTTGCTATACTAACTTATGCCCTAAACAAGCAAAAATTCTGTAAGTCTTTTTCTCTTAAACTCCACTTCCTCCTAGCTGATTAATCATTGAGTTCTAGATAGTTCCATATTTGCTATTACTGCCCCATTCTGAGACACTGTTAACAACCTGCTTTCCCTATAGATTGGAATTTATCAATCTCAGCACTGTTGACATTTTGGATGGCATAACTCCTTGTTGTGGGGGACTGTCCCATGCATTGTAGGGTTTTTAGCAGCACCCCGACCACTCCCCACTAGATGGCAGTAGCATCACCAAGTTGTGACGATCAAAAAATGTCTCTAGCCCTGTACTGTGCTAAGTCACATTGGAGCCTGAGGCAAAAGAAAAAAATGTGTGCCCTACGTACACTTACCAAAATGTCACCTCATAAGTTAATAAAAGTTCTACAACAATAAAAAGACAGTATTTACACTATGCTGGAATAAAACTTGAAGGGAGGAAAAAAAGACCCCCCAAAACAATTTGACGGAAACTTTGAGGGCCCAGTGCAAAACGAAAATGCAGGTCCTCTTCTTCAAAACTTATTAAGAACTTCAAAACAGTGACAGCAGAGCATTAAACCAAGCATGGAGCCCTTCTAAGTATGGAGGGTCCGGTGCTGCATGGCTCTCAACAGCTGGCCCTGACCCGTGTCACCCCATCTGTCCACTCGCCTTTGTCAATCCCCATAAATCTGCCTGATGGGGAATGTGACAGCCATGTGGACTTTGGGAACCCCAAGCTGATGGAAAACAACTGTCCCCATTGCACAATAACGCGGGGTCTAAAAACAAACAGCCTGCCTTTATTTAGAATTTTGGGTCGGGTGCAGTGGTGTCTGTAATCCCAGCACTTTGGGAGGCCACGGTGGGAGGACTGCTTGAGGCTAGGAATTTGAAAAGAGCCTGGTATTGTATTAAAATGTTACTTCTTTTGATTACTGAGGATTTTGGAGCTTTTTAAATTTTGCACCTTGCTGTCTTCACCCTAATCTAAGCCCTGTTCCAGATACTGTCAAGTTTTTCCTGCTGATTTAGAGTAGTGGTCTCCAAACTTTGATCTATATCAGAATCACCTGCAGGTCTTGTTAAAACACTTACGGCTGGGCCCTGCTTCCAGAGTTTCTGATTCAATAGGTCTGGGATGGGGCTCGAGAATTTGCATTTCTAACAAGTTCCAGGAGATGCTAAAGCTGCTAGTCCACGCACATTGAGAACCACTACTTTAGAGCCATCCTTCATGTTGTGCCAGTGCAAATGTTTTTTCCAAAATCCAAGGGACTTCTCTGCTTAAATCTCTTCAGCGGGTCCCTATGGCCTATAGAATACAGTAGCTGCTTCTTGGGGGAATACATTACCCTTATGGGCTACCTTTCCCACCTCCGCTCGTGACCTGCACATAATACTCTAGTAATGTGGGCCTGGCTGACTCATACACATCTTTTAAGACTCAAATCAGCTGTTATTGCCTCTAGAAACCTTTCTTAACCCCTAGATTGTGCTAAATGCCTGTTATTGTCCTCTGATAGCACACTGTATCTACCTCTTTGTTAACATTTACAATTTTGTATGGAATGATCTGTTTGTATGAATGTCTACCCCATCAGATGGCAGGATCCTGGAGGGCCGGTACTATCTTTATTCCTCTAGTTCCTGTTATAGTGTCTGGCAAACAAGTGCCCCAGTAGCATTTTATAAACTGACCTCAATGGGCCTGAATGCCATTCTGTAGTCTTGCAAAAATGCAGAGAAAAAGAATACCAGCTTGAGCGAGAGTTAGAGATGTAAGTGCATAGGGGTAACAGATGATACACCTGATACCTCAAGAGCCTTGAGGTTTGAGGGCCTGGCAGACTATTTTTCAATTGTCTATAAGAGTATAATTCTTGGCCAGGCATGGTGGCTCACAACTGTAATCCTAGCACTTTGGGAGGCTGAGGCGGGTGGATCACTTGAGGCCAGGACTTTGAGACAAGCCTGGGCAACATAGGGGGACCCTGTCTCTACAAAAAATAATACGAAATATTATTTTTTGTATTATTGTATTAATACAATAATACAAAATACAATAATAATACAAAAAATTAGCCAGGCCTGGTGGTGCATGCTACTCGAGAGGCTGAGGCAGGAGGATTGCTTGAACCCAGGAGGTCAAGGTTGCAGTGAGCCAAGATCGCACCACTGCACTGCAGCCCGAGCAAGACTCTGACTCTTAAAAAAAAAAAAAGTTTAATTCTTTTTTATGCAGAATTAGCCCTTAGTATGTTCTACGTGACCTCTGGATCCTATTGGTAGCAATATCCATGTAAGGTGTGAAAGAAAGCTAAGAGGCCAGGTGCAGTGGCTCAAGCCTGTAATCCCAGCACTTTGGGAGGCCGAGGTGGGCGGATCACAAGGTCAGGAGATTGAGACCATCCTGGCTAACACGGTGAAACCCAGTCTCTACTAAAAATACAAAAATTTAGCCAGGCGTGGTGCGGGGCACCTGTAATCCCAGCTATTTGGGAGGCTGAGGCAGGAGAATGGCGTGAACCCAGGTGGCGGAGGTTGCAGTGAGCCGAGATCGCACCACTGCACTCCAGCCTGGGTGACGGAGCAAGATTCTGTCTCAAAAAAAAAAAAAAAAAAGAGAGAGAGAGAGAGAGAAGAGCTAAGAGCTGAGAAAGAAATCTTGAAGCATTGGCTAGAGCAGATAAGAAATGCGGTCCTGAAGAAAGAGCAACAATGTTAGGCTGGTGTGAAAGTAATTGCGGATTTGCCATTAATTTTAATAGCAAATAATAGGATGATCTAGGGTGACACAGGTAAGAAAAAAGGAGACCAAGAGGAAAAAAATCATTAGATGCAGAGGAAAAGTTAATTTTTTTTTCAAATAAAAGGTATTTTTTTTCCCTTAAGGAAACAAAAAAGAAAGATTTGTAAGTAAAATTCTTCAATAATATCTATTATATTAAACAAATTTCAAGAAATCAGTTGGTTTTCTTGCTTTAAAATAAGTTCAGGGAGGCTGGGCACAGTGGCTCATACCTGTAATCCCAGCACTTTGGGAGGCCGAGGCAGGTGGATCACGAAGTCAGGAGTTCAAGACAAGCCTGACCAATACAGTGAAGCCCTGTCCCTACTAAAAATACAAAAATTAGCCAGGCACGGTAGCAGGCACCTGTAATCCCAGCTACTCGGGAGGCTGAGGCAGGAGAATCGCTTGAACCAGGGTGGCAGAGGTTACAGTGAGCTGAGATCATACAAGTGCACTCCAGCCTGGGTGACAGATTCTGTCTCAAAAAAAAAAAAGAAAAAATTTCAAAGAATTGTTTATTTATTTATTTTTGGAGACAGAGTCTCACTCTGTCATCCAGGTGGGAGTGCAGTGGTGCCGTCTTGGCTTGCTACAGCCTCAACCTCCCAGGCTCAAGTGATCCTCCCGCTTCAGCCCCCCAAATCACTGGGACCACAGGTGTGTGCCACCACAGCCGGCTAATTTTTGTATCTTTTGTAGAGATGGGGTTTCATCACCGTGCCTAAGCTGGTCTGGAACTCCTGAGCTCAAGCAATCCTCCTGCCTCAGCCTCCCGAAGTGCTGGGATGGGGTGAGCCACCGTGCCCAGACGAATTATTTTATAACATAAAAGAATAACACTAAACTTCCAAGTGTAGGGGCTACCATATGAATCAGTTTAAGTATGATTTGTTTGAATAGGCAGCTCCTGATGTCATGGAGGAGGGATGGGAAAAATGAAATTCATAGGAGAGAGTGATCTGCAATCTGCCATGGAAAATGTTAGATGTTTTATGGGATAAAGTAAACCAAAATTCTGGCATGAAAGTCTTGCCCATCAAACTTAAAGGAAGCTACATGGCAATAGCTTCAGATGCCAATAGTATCTCTGAGAAAAATTTATTTTTAGTATATTTCCAGTATACTGATGTCTATCATACATCTTTGATGTTTTCCAAACCTTTTAAAATACGTACATTCTTGTTAGAGAAATTTGAACATAACCTACCTCCTTTGAAATTATGACTGTATGTTTTTGGATTAAGGCTTCAGTAGATACGGGGATCCTACTTCAAGGAAGGGTTTGTTGCCCTGGCTGCTGCGAACGTGGTAATCAGACAGCTTCCAGCTTTCACTCCCATTGAGGTTTCCCTAAACTGTTGTCACATCCAAGCACGTGCCCTTCCTGGGAGGCCTACGTTCACCTGCTGATGTACTGATGGCATCCTGGGCATGAAGGCCTGGCTATTTTAGGTCATTGTGGGACGATTCTGAATGAAATTGTACGTGCCTAGGACTCCTCAGGACATTGGCTGAGGCTTTGAGGAGTCTACGTTAGTTTTCTTAAAATCCTACGTCCTCTCCTTCCCTTCACAAGAGGTGGTCCCTAAGTATCTTACATGCCAAGCCAATCTCAGCTTCTGCTTCCACAGAACTAGTAGGAGACAAATATCAACAAATTTATGAAATAAAGTTCATGTGTGGTTCTTTACTTCCTTTACTAATCAGGCAAGAACTAGAATATGGATAGATATAATAGATATACCTATATCTATAGCCACACCCATCTCGATTTATATCTATAATATAGACATACATTTATATCTGTAAGATAGATATAAATTGAGATGTTGACTCTGTTGACTCTGCAGACATGTGGCACTGTTATTCTCTTCTTGATGCAGAAAAGTCCTAGGATTTTTCCAGTCTTGTCCAAGTGAAACAGAAGCAGAATTAATAATCCACTCATTCATTAAACAAATATTTAGTGAGTGACTATGCCTGCCCATTTGGGTTCCTAGTGTCCAAAGATACAAAATATGTAAGACATATTTTCTATTCTCCAAGGAATTTCATGTAATGTTGAAGAAAAACATTGCTAAGGGATATAATGGAGGAAAAAACTAATTATAGTAAAGGGATGAAGAAGGAAGTGATTATTTTGGCTTATGTGAGACAAGAAGAGCCAAGTAGGGCACGGTGGCACACACCTGTAATCCCACCTACTGAGGAGGCTGAGGCAGGATAATCCCTTGAGCTCAGGGGTTCAAGGCTGTGGTGAGCTATGATTGCACCACTGCACTCGAGCCTGGATGACAGGGTGAGATCATATGTATAAAAAGAGGGAGAGAAAGAGGCTGGACATGGTGGCTCATGCCTGTAATCCCAGCATCTTGGGAGGATGAGGTGAGAGGATCGCTTGAGGCCAGGAGTTCACGACCAACCTGGCCAACATAGCGAGACCCCATTTCTATAAAATTTTTTTTTAAAAGAGAAAAAGAGGAAAAAAAAAAGCCACATAGTAAGGGATTTTTCAGGATGTAGAGGTGATGAAGTGGGAAACAGGGTGGTATTCCAGCCATTCCCAGCAGAGGGAACAACATGTGCAAAGACTCAATACAGGAAACAAATCTCCACCCTGGGGAGGGGTAAGCTTTTAGGTCCAGCAACATCCCCTCACTGCTCAGCCTTTCTGCAGATTGTTCTCTTTGCATGAAACATTCTTTTTTTTTTTTTTCTAGGCAGGGTCTCACTCATTGCCCAGGCTGGTCTGGAATTCCTGTCCTCAAGTGATCCACCCACCTTGGCCTCCCAAAGTGCTGGGATTACAGGTGTGCGCCACCATGCCTGGCATGAAACGCTTTTGACTCTCCTAATTTTTCACCTGGATTAATTTCTTGTCTTTCATGCCTTTGCTAGGACACTGCTTCCTCCGGGAATTACCCTGATTCTCTCGAGACTGGGCTAGATGAGTCTGCTATACAGTCCCACAATGTCTATCACAGCATTATCACACCGTGCATTAAATCGCCTGTTTACTTGTCAATGTTTCCCTCTGGCTAAACCATAACTTCCTTGAAGGCAGGCATTAGTCACTGTTGATCAGCAGATGTCAACACAAGTGCTTGAAAAATAAAAGGTAGTGTTCGTTAAATGAATACATGAATGCTGCCAAGCGCAGTGGAGTTAGGAAAGCATATTTTATTTATTTGATGAACATTTATTCCGTACTATTATGTGGTAGACATTTCTAAGTACTGAAGGTAACAGGAATGAACAGAACAAAAAGCTTCATGGAGCTTACATGCTAGTGGGGAGAGACAGAGGATAGGCAAATTGTTGGAAAGTACGAAGTGGTGTAGGACAGAAGATTATTATTTCATGTAGGGTGGTCGGGGAAGATGTCATTCATAAGGTCATATTTGAGCAAAGACCTAGAGGAATTGAGAGAATGAGATACAAATATTTGGCATATAGGGGATACATTGGAAACATCATCAGCAAGCAATACTTCTTAAAATTGCCCCACTAATGGTGGTTCCTTATTGTGGCTAATTTCTCTCTGCTATTGTGGGTAATATCGTGAGGATTTTTGTTAAACTCTCACTTTTATTTTGGCTATCTCTTTCGATACTACCAAAACATCTCCAGTTTCTTTAATTCACTATCCATTTTATAAGGGTTCCTGTAATGGTTGGGAAATCCTTTTGTTTCTAAAGCATTTTGAAGTCAAGGACTAACCCAAATAATGCCTACTGTCAGTACAAATATTTTATCTGTCGATAGCTGGCAGGTCTGGGCAAGAGTAGTTAATATGGCCACCTGGACTGATTTTTTTTTTTTTTTTTTTTTTTATGAAGTCTCACTCTGTCGGATTCAAGTGATTCTCCTGTCTCAGTCTCCCAGGTTGCTTACAGGCGCACACCACCATGCCAGGCTAATTTTAGTATTTTTAGTAGAGGCAGGGTTTCACCATGTTGGGCAGGGTTTCATCATGTTGGGCAGGCTGGTCTCGAACTCTCGACCTCAGGTGATCCGCCCACCTCGGCCTCCCAAAGTGCTGGGATTACAGGCTTGAGCCACAGCACCCAGCCCATCTGGACTGATTTAATTTCTGTGAGAAACTTTTATTTCAAGGGTAAATTCAAGCTTGTGATAGCCTAGGCTGCCTGGCAAGTTTTAGTTTTTCTTTTTAAGTATGAAAAATCACAAAATTAAATCAGGGATGCCCAAGGAAGTCTCTAGGAGGTCCATAAAGGAATGGAGAGTTCCCTGTTAGGGGTTAAATAATCACAGAGTTCTTTTTTCAGATAAAGGAAGGGAAGGTGGTTGGTTAGTGCTGCAGTAATATGGGAAAGGCAAACAATAACATTTTATTTATTTATTTGAGACAGGGTCTCACTCTATTGCCCAGGTTGGAGTGCAGTGGTGCAATCACGGCTCACTGAAGCCTCAACCTCTTGGGCTCAAGCGATCCTCCCCCCTCAGCCTCCCGAGTAGCTGGGACTACAGACACGCGACACCACACCTAGCAAATTTTTTGTAGAGACGGGGTCTTGCTATGTTGTCCAGACTGAACTTGAACTCCTGGGCTCAAGCAATCCACCCGCCTCAGCCTCCCAAAGTGCCGACATTACAGGCAGGAGCCACTGCACCTGGCTAACGATATTTTATAAAGCTTAGCTGACTAGCTGAAAAGTGATGAGCGTGTTCTGTCAATAGAAGAGTCTATATGGTATAGGAACCACTAAGTTTAGTGGAGACGTTAAAACAAAACAATAGAAGTTTTTTTGTTTTGTTTTGTTTTGTTTTTGAGATGGAGTCTTGCTCTGTCACCCAGGCTGGAGTGCAGTGCTGCGATCTCGGCTCACTGCAAGCTCCGCCTCCCGGGTTCACGCCGTTCTCCTGCCTCAGCCTCCCCAGCAGCTGGGACTACAGGCGCACGCCACCTCGCCCGGCTAATTTTTTTGTATTTTTAGTAGAGATGGGGTTTCACCGTGTTAGCCAGGATGGTCTCCATGTCCTGACCTCGTGATCCGCCCGCCTAGGCCTCCCAAAGTGCTGGGATTACAGGCATGAACCACCGCGCCCGGCCAATAATTGAAGTTTTTACACATTTTATTGTTGCTGCCCCACAGACAAGGTGGCTATGTCTTGCTTATTCAATGAAATTCTGAAATTCAAGCAATAGGCCTCTAAAGATGACCATGTATTTGAATTATTACCACTAACATTTATTCAGGCTTCTTATGAGCAAAAAGAGAAATACAGATTGTGAATCTAGAATCCTGAAAGAAGTATCTTAGTAGACAGTTAATATACTAGTTTATACATGAGCGTGCCTTTTTAAAACATAAACTTGAGAGCAAACAGTCATAGAGAGACTAGAGAAACTACTTTTTTTTTTCTTTGAGACAGAGTCTTGCTTTGTCGCCCAGGCTGGAGTGCAGTGGCACGATCTCAGCTCACTGCAACCTCCGCCTCCTGGGTTCAAGCAGATTCTCCTGCCTCAGCCTCCTGAGTAGCTGGGATTACAGACGTGTGCCACCACACCCAGCTGATATTTGTATTTTTAGTAGAGATGGGTTTTCACCATGTTGTCCAGGCTGGTCTCGAACTCCTGACCTCAGGTGATCCACCCACCTCGGCCTCCCAAAGTGTAGGGATTACAGGTGTGAGCCACCATGCCCAGCCGGAAAGACTATTTCTTTAAGACTAGTCAAGTGTAATAGTGAAAAGTGGGGAAAGTAAAACAAGGAGTTTCATCTGTAACTGTGAATAATCAGTTGAGATAAGTCATTATCTTCAGACAAGCCGAAATATATTGGTATTAACATATGTACGTAACTATAATTTGCCTAAGAAGATAAACTCTTTTTTTAGTGTCCGGTGTTTTTTTTAGTGTCTGTCAGGTGTTTGGTGAACAAAAGACTGCTCATACAAATTTTGAATTAAAATTTGAAGAGTTTTAAACAAACCTAACTTATTTCTATTTTCCCTTCTTTTATAGGGTGATGGAGCAGCTCTTTGTGTTATTTAATGGTCATTTTAAGAAACTGAACTATACTTTAGGTATAAAAAACATCATAACAGGTTTTTCTTCTGAATTTGAAGCTTAATTTAGGGAAGGCAACATCAGGAATGGTTAAAGAAGACAAGGGATAAGTTGCAAATATCTAAAGATGAAAGTGTCACAAAACTGTAAAAACACAGGGGAATAAACAACAACAGTTACTAAGAACATTTTTTTTTCAAAAGTAAGGACTCAATCCAAATTCTAATTTTATTCTCCTTTGGCGTATTATTTACATTACAATTTGCAGTTAAGAATGTATTGATATACCTTCATATGTATGTGCTTCATCATCTATACAAAGATATATAAGTATACAAATAGATATTAATTTAAAGGTTTTATAATTTTAAAATACAATTAACATCAGTATAGTAAATAAAACATTGTATATATCATACTCAGTTTGCCATACGACAATACCATAATTTTCTTAATAAACAAACAGAAAATCATAACCACTGTCTTGTATATGTTTGTATTATAAAACATTACAGTATTGTATTTAGCATAATAAAATATTTATATTAAGTGTTAAATTTAACAGAAGTAACAAACTTTTCTTTTCTCCAGACACGAAAGAAAATTAGAGAATTGAAAGCCAAAATCTACTTAGTTATTTTCTTCTCTTTGAAACTTATTTAATATTATTCTAAGAAGTTTGGGGAGGCAAAAATAACTAACTAAAAATATAGATATAGCATGTTATTCAAGTATATTTTCATACTTTGTTAATCAATTGTCAATTTAAGCAATAAATATAACTTAAAATTATGTTTAGTGACCAATGTTTCATATTTGTTTCTCTTTTGTAAACTGTCTGCTTGTAAATGCACACAAACATATTTAAGTATTAACTTAATTGTTTGTCTAAGGTTTTAAAGTTGGTTAAAGATCTGGAGATTATAATTTAGCTAACACATAAGTTCTTATGATTTCGAACATTGAAGAATTTTATAAAATTAAACCCTTTGACCAGACATTCATTATCGTTCCCTTCAGTTGAATACAGTTTTACACATATAAATTTTTACTTGAAGCAAGTGGTAATTGATTTAATTTATAAAACCAGTATAGGAAATTTAAGAAGTTTGTATTATAAGAAATTTGATTCTGGTCTTGAACAAACCAAACTATTATGCAGACATTATTTTAATATGGTAAACTAATTTTTACAGACTCTCAATCATGACAAAATATCTTCTTTTATTTTAGAATTAAAACCTTTTCTTTTTATCTCCTTGCTGTTATGTAGGCTATTATGTAAATATACCTTTATTAGGGTCGAAAAGAAGAAACACAATTTAATAACTTTTTCTTCCTTTTAGATAGTTTTGACTGCTTATCTAGACTATAATCCTAGAGTAAGTACATAACTGAATGCTTTTTAACAATTAATTAATCTTTAAAGTATCCCAAGAGAAGAAAAATGAGAGGAAAAAGAATAGGAAAAAAAGTAAGGAAGCCAGCTTCAGACAAATGTCAAATTACATTTTGTAAAAAGGTAATTATGGTCCCTCTGTAAGAAGAGGAAAGGAAGTTTAGATGTAGAAAAATAAATTCCACATATATACACACAAAAGAGAATGACATACAATTGGTTTTGACATAACTTGAGTCCTTGATAATTTTATGGAGACATACAATTAAAATGTCAGGTCTTATTAATTCCCAAAGTACAAAAACCAATAAGGGGATGTTTCCTGGGTTAAGCAAAATGTTCTCTCTTTTAGACAAACAAGACATCGCCTTGTGAGGGTTTCTTCATTCTTTTGTCTTGAGATACTCCTCAAATGAACAATCTTGTTCGTGTCAAAATTTCCCCCAAATTGGCTATTACAATTCCAAACTTTCCCTGAAAAAATTGTGCCAGTTAGAAAAGTAAGTGTACAAGTTATCCTATGAGGGGAAAAACATGAAGGAGGCAGCTGTTAGCTTGGAAGAAGTGCAGTGTTATATTGAGAAAGCGCCTGAGAGCTGAGTGCTCTGTAAGGATGGTGAGTGGCTAACTTTGTGTCTCTGGAGCTTGGCCAGAGGCCAATAGCTGCTAATCCACAGCTGGACAAAATGCCCGATTTAGTGCAGATGAAATTAAACAGAGAAGTTCTCAGGAAAACAAAGACAAAGCCTGAGGTTTGTAACGGGGACCCAGGGAAAAGTTTACTGAAACTTTTCAAACTGGTCTGTGGAGACTTTCGAACACAGCCTTTGAGGCTAACTCAAAGATGAACTTCTTAGACTTGTGGCATCCTCTCCCTGCAGAATTTTCTTTCTATAGGTAACATGCAAAATGCTAGTCAACTAGCAGCAGGTGTTGTTAGAGGGCTAGAAAATAATTTTGCCGAACAACACAAATCTGCTTCGATTTGTTTCTTTAAACCCCAGGGGATGTTATTCCTATGAAAATAAAATAAATCCAACACTGGGCTTCAATGAAGGGTTTCAGTGGAATATTAGAGTCCAATTTAACATGGGAAAGTAAAACACAAAGGGTCTTAGATGTGCACAGGACTGAGTTGAGGGTCCTGCTCCAAAGTGGTGAAGGCTTCAGGTGAATCTCACTGGAACTTCTATTTGTGTCCATTTCCTCCAAAGACCACCAGACTTGTAGTTGAACTTATACCATACATACACTGAACGTTAACTTTAACCAGATATTGGGGGAATAAAGGGGAATTCAAGGAAGAAGTGAGGTTTTGCTCTGGATTATATGCTATTAAGAAGTGAAGATAATTTTATGATTGGGCATTGTAATGACTATTTTTTTTTTTTTTTGGAGACAGAGTCTCACTCTGTTGTCCAGGCTGGAGTGCAGTGGCAGAGTCTCAGCTCACTGCAACCTCCGCCTCCCGGGTTCAAGCGATTCTCTTGCTTCAGCCTCCTGAGTAGCTGGGATTATAGCCACCCGCCACCACACCTGGCTAATTTTTTGTATTTTTAGTAGAGACAGGATTTCACCATGTCGGCCAGGCTGGTCTCTAACTCCTGACCTCGTGATCTGCCCGCCTTGGCCTCCCAAAAGTGTTGGGATTACAGGCGTGAGCCAACGCGCCCGGCCTGTAATGACTCTTATCTGAAAGGAGGCAAGACTACAGTGAGGCTAAAGCTATAATTGATAAAGAGGCGGTGGTCACTCATATTAGCCAGGACAGGGGAATACTTTTGGGACATTTGCATTGTGAAACTTGCTTTTGTCTATGCTTAGTCAAAATTGTGCAGTAGTGAGGTGTTTTGTTTTGTTTTTAATCTCATCTCATCATGGTAACAGAGTGACCTTGTCTGATATTGATAGCCTGTGAAATTGTTGATGTCCAGTAGAACACTGTGGCCTAGCTGTGACACCATGTGCTAGCTCCTTACAACCCTGAGAATGAGCTGTACTGCAAGGCTAGTTCTCAGATTTTAAGGACGGTTTTTCTCTTTTTCAATTGGGAACAATCAACCATGTCAAATGCTTCTGTTCCATCAACTAAGGTTAGAACTGAGAATTGACCATCAGATTTTAATGATGTGAAGTTCATATAAGATTCTTTCCTCCTAGAGTGTTAAATCCAGTTAGACTTAGAACCCAAAATGAAGGACATTCGCATAAAGGCAGTTCAGAAGAGAGACTCAGTGAGAAGAGCCCCAGTTGTCCAGGGAGTAATTAATTACCCTTCATTAATTAATTAGTGTACACTTACTGGCTTTCCTTCCACCCCTTCTTCACTTCCCCACTCCCTCCTGTAACCATTTCTCAAATAGACTGCTTGCACCCAAATCCTTGTCTCTGAGATTCTCTTGTGGGAACCCGAACTAAAATAGATTGTTCTTAGACTGGTTATTTATCAAAGAAAGTAGTTGCAACCACATTACACTTATAATTTTGGAAAGCCTGAGCAACTGTATTTTTGAATTTTTGTTTCTATAAAATATTTTATTAATATAAATTATAGGATAAAATGTCCTATGGACTTAATACCAACATCCAAGAAGACAGAAAACAGAAAGAATAGAAAAGGGAAGAGAGTATTACATCAGAGGCTTAGGTTCTAGTCTGGGGTGTGTTTTCAGTTGATGCCATGGCCTTGGGCGTAAGTATTTGTCTGTAAAAGGAACCTAAAATATTTGCCTTACTCACATCACCAACCGATTGTGAGAATTTAAGAACATCATATTTTTAAAAATTTTTGAAAACTGTAAAGCACATATAAATAGGCATTATTGTTATCTGCAATGAGTTTTTTGTGTTAAAAGCCATCTTTTGGAAGACTTTGCAATTTCAAAGCTTACTACAAAGCTAGTTATCAAGACAGTGTGGTACTGACTTAAAGACAGACATATATATCCATGGAATAGACTTGAGAGTGCAGAAATAAAGCCTCATATTGACAGTTAGTTGATCTTCAACAGGATACATACAAACAACTTTTTTTTTTTTTTTTTATGAGACGGGAGTCTTGCTCTGTCACCCAGGCTGGAGTGCAGTGGCGCGATATCAGCTCACTGCAACCTCCATCTCCCAGGTACAAGCTATTCTCCTGCCTCAGCCTCCCAAGTAGCTTGGATTACAGGTGCATGCCACCATGCCTGGCTAATTTTTGCATTTTTAGTAGAGACAGGGTTTCACCATGTTGGCCAGGCTGGTCTCCAACCCCTGACCTCAGGTGATCCGCCTGCCTCGGCCTCCCAAAGTGCTGGGATTACAGTCATGAGCCACCACGCCCAGCCTACAAAGAACTTTTAATGGAGAAAAAACAGTCTTTTCAACAAATGATACTGGAACAACTGGATATCCATATACAAAGGAATGAATTTGAACCCCTATCTCATTCCATATATAAAAAATAATGGGGAAAATGAATCAAATACCTAAATGTAAGAGCAATAGCTCTAAAACTATTAGAAGAAAATAGGCATAAGTCTTCATGACCTTGCATTAGGCAACTGTTTCTTAGATATGACACCTAGAGCACCAATGACAAAAGAAAAAGCCGATAAACTGGAATTTGTCAAAATTTAAAAATATTGTCCTTCAAAGGACACCATCAAGAAAGTAAAGGCCGGGCGCAGTGGCTCACACCTGTAATCCCAGTGCTTTGAGCGATTGGGGTGGGTAGATCGCTTGAGCCCAGGTGTTCGAGACCAGCCTGGGCAACATGGCAAAATCCAGTCTCTACCAAAAATACAAAAATTAGCCAGGCAGATCACTTGAGCTCAGGAGGCAAGAGGTCAAGGCTGCAGTGAGGCAGAATTGTGCCACTGCACTCTAGCCTGGGCAGCAGAGCAAGACTCTGTCTCAAAAAAAAAAAAAAAAAAAAAAAAAAGAAGAAGAAAGAAAGAAGGTAAAAAGACAACACACAGAATAGGAGAAAATATTTCCAAATCCTGTATCTGATAAGGGAATTGTATCTAAGATACATAAAGAACTCTTACAACTCAATAATAAAAAGACAGATAACTCCAGCCAGGTGCAGCAGCTCATGCTTGTAATCCTAGCAGTTTGGGAGGCCGAGGTGGGCAGATCACTTGAGGTCAGGAGTTCAAGACCAGCTTGGCCAACATGGTGAAACCCTGTCTCTTCTAAAAACACAAAAAGTAGCCAGGCATTGTGGCAGGTGCCTTAATCTCAGCTACTTGGGAGGCTGAGGCAGGAGGACCACTTGAACCCAGGAGGCAGAGGTTGCAGTGAGCCAAGATCATACCATTGCACTCCAGCCTGGGGGAAAAGAGCGAAACTCCATCTCAAAAAAAAAAAAAAAAAAAAAAAAAAAGATAACTCGAATGAAAAATTAGCAAATGACCTGAATAGACTTTCTCCAAAGAAGATATGCAAATGGACAATAAGTACATGAAAAGATGCTTAACATTGTTAGTTGTTAGGGAAATGCAAATAAAAAAGACAATGACATACTACTTCACAACCATTAGGATGACTGTAATAAAAAGACACATAATAACAAGTATTGATGAGGTTGTGGTGAAAGTGAAATCCTCACTCACTGCTAGGGGAATTGCGAAATGGTGCAGCCACTTTGAAAAACAGTCTGGAAGTTCCTCGAAAGGTTAAACATAAAGTTCCTATGACCCAGGAATTCCACTTGTAGGATATACCCAAAGCAATGAAAATATATGTCCACACAAAAATTTGTACAGAGATGTTTATAGCAACATTCATTATATAGCTAAAAAGTCAAAAGAACCCAAATAAATGTCCATTAACTGCTGAATGGGATAAACAAACTGTGATCTATCCATATAATGGAATATTATTTAACCATAAAAAGGAATGTATTACTGATAAATTCTACAACATGGATAAACCTTAAAAATAATAGCTAAGTGAAAAATCCAGTCACAAAAGACAACATATTATACAGTTCAATTTGCATGAAATGCCCAGAATAGGCAAACCGATAGCAGCAGGAAGTGGATTAGTGGTTGCCTAGGGTTGAGGGGAATGGGAGGATTAAGAGGTGATGATTAAAGTATACAAGGTTTCTTTTTAGGTTGATGAAAATGTTCTAAGATTGATTATGATAGTGGTTGCACACTTCTGTTAATATACTAAAAACTATTAAATTATACACTTTAAAGGGGTGAATTGTGTAGTATATGAGTGATATCTCATCAAAGCCACCATAAAAAAGTCTTCCGAAAGACTATTAGGAAAACATGAAAGTTTGGAAAAAGTTATGCTGTTTTTATACTAATTAAAAATTTAAAACAATCTAACTGTACAATATTAAATGCTTAAATACACTAGGATAAAATCTTAGGATGGACTATTAACCAATCATGAAAAACATTTTCAAATAATACTTAATGACAAGGAAAATGCTCACAATAATATGTTAACTATAAAAGCCTGATAAAAGTAAGAATTCAGCATAATCCCATATTTTAAGGGAAATAAGTATATGTACAGAAAAAAGACTGAAAGACAACAAAATGTAAAATTGTTTATGAAGACTGCCTGTGGTTTATTTAGGTTATCTTTGTTCTTTCTATCTTTTTATATTTTCCAGTAAAAATGAGTTTATATTGCTGTAGAATCAGGAAACAAAATATTGTGATGCAAATATGGCTATGGGACTCTTAAGAAAAAGGTTTTTATATTGATTTGAGTATATAACAGAGTAACATAGCACTAAAGTTCAAAGTACAAGGCCACCATATGAATTTGATTAAGTAAAGGAAAAGAATTATTGAAAACAAGGATGCAAGTAATTACTTTTTCATTTGGATTGTTTGTTCAAAATGTTGCTGCCAAGTTATCTCACGTTATTTCAGCTAAGCTCAGAGAGACCCCAACCTCCTGAGTTCAGCATGTCATTGGCTGTTCTGTTCCTACACATTGCCCTCTTGCATTTTTTCATTTCCCTGGCTTCAACTGCCTAGTCCTCCTAACCTTAACTCTTGGGATTGACCTGCTGTGTATCTCCTATTTTTCAAAAAAATGCTTTATGCAAGTTTCTAATACCCACCAAATACACTAGTATTGTACTTCATTCGGTACAGTGCAATCAAACACAGGTTGAGTATTCTTTATCTAAAGTGCTTGGGACTGGAGGTGTTGCAGGTTTGGGAATTTTTTGGATTTTGGAATATATGCATATACATAATGAGATATCTTGGGGATGTGACCCAAGTCTAAACATGAAATTCACTTATGTTTCACATATACCTTATACACATAGCCTGAAGGTTAATTTTATACAGTATTTTAATTTAATAAGATATTTAAAATAACTTATGCAATATTTCAAATGCATGAAACAAAGCTGGTTTACACTGGACTATCAGAAAGCAAAGTTGGCTCAATCTCAGTTACCTGTATGGACAATCTGTGGCTGTTTGGCATCACCATCATTCCTGACTCTGATTTTATATGCTACCGACAAGCAATCACTTCCTTATACTTATTTTCACATACTTATTTAATAGGGAAAAAATGCCATGTCACTAACACAGTGAAAAAAATGATGTATTCAGGGTAACTAAGCAGTATAGTAGCCTTACCAGAATACCTGGGTCAGCTGTGAAACAACAGCAACAACAAACGATGGTGGGCTTTCAGCCTCCACCTGCTATGCTGTGTTTGATTAAAAGGTTACTGTACACTGTATTTTATTGTTCTTTAGGTGAGAAGAAACATTAGAACCAGTTTAGGGACCAGGAAGTGGCCCTCTAGTAATGAGGAGACCTTTTGCTGGATGGTTTTTTAAAAAATATTATCCCCAAAGTCATCTACTTTATTGACAATGGTTTTTGTCTGAAAAGTTTCTCTTCGATTTTATAAGCAAACACAATTTTTGTTCTCTTATGAATGCACACTACTCTAGTCCTTTAATAAGCCCATCACAAATTTCCACCATGTCACATGTCACTTGGCACTTATTCTGTAGTGTTAACAATGTCATCTTCATTGTCACCATTGTCACGATCACCTTGATTCAGAACCATATCAGCTATTTCACCATCGGTCAATGAATAAACAACTGAAGCCTCATTATCGATGTTAAAAACTTCTTCAATATCCACTTCTAGCTTACTGCTGGACTCTGAAGGTATATTTTTCACATATGAAAAGAGGTTGGACATCGTATTTTTCTCACTTGACATAGAGAATCTTTCAAAGTCGTCACCTTGTTCATTATTGCCAAACATAGTCACAGGCCAGAGGTTGTGCCAGGCATGAACAACCTGGTCTCTAACCGCTGTGTTCCAACCCCTGGCAACAACATATATGGCATCCTTCATGCTCAATTCCTTTCGAAAATCTTCCACATCCATGCCTCTGTTCACTGCTGCTAGCATACAGTTCAAAAAAGTATTTTTATGTTTACTATTCATTGATCTAAGGACACTCTCTGGTCACATGGCTGAATTAACAAAGTTACATTTGGGAAATGTGGAAACCACATTTAGAAAGTGCATGGCATAAACATTATTTTTGATGAGATTTTTAACTAGAGGATGAGCAGAAGAGTTGTCAAGGAAGAACAAAATCTTGCAGTTGTCATCCAGTCTGGCTTTCCTGAAGCCAGCATGAGCCGCTGGTACAAAATGTTTATGAAACTAATCAGAAAAGATGTCCCTGGCAATCCGTGCCTTTTTGTTAGCATAAAGGACCAGTAAGAAATTCACTCTTTGAAAACAGTGAGGAGTCAAGCTCTTGCCTGTCATGCAAGTTTACACTCATGTAGCCCTGCTGCATTAGCAGATCCCAGCACAGTTATTCTTTCTGTGGCATGCTTAATTCTTTTAGGGTCTGTCTCATCAGCTGTGGTCAGTGTCTGACTGGGGTAGCAACGCCAAAACAGTGATGTTTCATGAGCATTGTAGAATTTTCTGGCATCAGATTTTTTTTTTTTTTTTTGAGACAGGGTCTCACTTTGTTGCCCAGGCTGGAGTGCAGTGGCATGGTCTCTGCTCACTGCAGCCTTGACCTCCAGGGTTCAGGCAATCCTCCCTCTTTGGTCCACTGAGTAGCTGGGATTACAGGCATGTGCCATTATGCCTGGCTAAGTTTTGTATTTTTTTTGTAGAGATGGGGTTTTGCCGTGTTGCCCAGGCTGGTCTCAAACTCCTGGGCTCAAGTGACCCTCCCACCTTGGCCTTCCAAAGTGCTGGGATTACAGGCATGAGCCACCGTGCCCAGCCCTGGCATCAGGTTTTTATCAGTGATGACCTTTGCAAATTCGTCAGTGAACTTCACTGCTTTGTAGATCAGCAGATGCTTCATCACCAAAGATCTTAAAAAATTTAATCCTGTGTCTTTTCTTAAATTTCTGCAACCAGCCTGTTGAATATTCACAGTTCACTTCAATTTTCAGTTCACTGTGATAGATCTTTGCTTGTTTTATGATCAGCATTACCATTAAGTGGCATGTGTTCACTGAATCACTGATGGATTCAGCCTTTCAATATATGATCGAGATCTTAATTTTTAGCTTTATGGAGTGTTTTTTTAAATTTTTCATTAACTTCAGTTCATCACTTTCTAACAGTTCATCCTTCTGTTTCTTCAGAAGGATATAGGTGGTGTTCTGTCCAACACTATACTCTTCTGTGAGATATTTCACACACTCTCGTGCAGTTTTTCCAATGGTTTGAATTTTGGTGCTATAGATCAACAAAAAGGCATCCTCTTTTTCTTATCACTGTTACCCGGGGGTACCTGCAGGCCTTTTTTACATTTGCAACAATAACTTTATACCACAGAGCAGAGAATAAAAAACAAAAACAAAAACAAAACCACCGTGAATATTGCACATAGATCTTGGCTCCATGTGGGGCATTGTGGGAAACCTGCTATTGGAATGTTCAACCTGAACATGTGCCATTTAATTACCCTTTGTGGGTATGTTTGCATGGGGAATCTGTGTGTGCACAGAAAAGTTGTATCATACCTGAAGAGGGCTGGGAGGGTCGTTTTCCTTTGGGGATGCTAAATAAACTGTGTTGTACACCTGCATTTTGTCTGAGACTCATAACATGAGGTCAGTTGTGGAATTTTCCGCTTCTGATGTCACGCTGGCATGCAAAAACTTTCAGATTTTGGAGCACTTAGGATTTTGGATTTTCCATTTAGAGATGCTCAACTTGTATGTCTTCAACCACTCTGCCAAGTTCTGAAATCTCCATAGTATATTCCACAGACAATGATATAATAGAAGAAACTGTAACAGTCACTTCTGATTATGTTGTTTTGGACCTGCTTCCCAATACTTCGATGTCATCTGGTAGAACCGGATATCAGCTGATGCCAAACTTCTTTCCCCTCCAGCTGGGCAAGACGGCTCAATCTCCCTCGTGAATACCACCATCAATCATTCATTCATTCATCCGTTCACTCGTGCTCACAGGCTAGTGCCTCCTGTTGTGACCTTGCCTCACCCTAACCCTAACAATGCAGTAACCAGATCCTTCTGATTAACCAGTTCAAGTCCTGCCTCCCCATTGAGCATTCTGTACTTGTTACCATCCTGTTGACCTCAGCTTTCTCTGGAGTCTTTTGAAGACGCAGTTTCATTTTACAATTATTACACAGCACATAATAATGTTCTTATAGTGTGTCTTTTCTCTAACCGTTAGCATCAGGGGATATCGTGGTCAGTTTTGCTGCGTTGCTTTGTTCCCTTAATTCTGGCATAAGCTGTCTCTATGCACCATATAGAGAGAGAAGGAGGACTGTTAGCTGTCAGCCGTAATAAGATTCTGTACCAGAATGGCTGCCTTTGCCTGGTAGGTACTGACCCCAAGCAAGAAAAATAATCTGTTCACATTTAACACCTTTTTACTGTCTGGATCACTGTTTTCTTGTGTGATTTTCTTTTTCTTTCTTTCTTTTTCTTTTTTTTTTTTTTTTGAGACAGAGTGTGACTCTATCACCCAGGCTGGAGTGCAATGGTGAGATCTCAACTCACTGCAACCTTCACCTCCTAGGTTCAAGTGATTCTCCCTGCCTCAGTCTCCTGAGTAGCTGGGATTACAAGGGCATGCCACCACGCCTGCCTAATTTTTTTTGTATTTTTAGTAGAGATGGGGTTTCACCATGTTGGCCAGGCTGGTCTTGAACTCCTGACCTCGTGATCCGCCCTCCTTGGCCTCCCAAAGTTCTGGGATTACAAGCGTGAGCCACCCTGCCCAGCTTTCCTGTGTGATTTTAATGTCCAGTGTCTTTTTTTCTTTTTTTTAACTTCATGGGTCCTGAACAAACTATTACTGGCTCTCCCTCAGTCTGGTTCAACAATTCTTTTCCTCTTTTCAGTTGCCTTAAAATAAGTGGTGCTCAAAGTACCCACCTCTGTGCTTTTGTTATGCTTCTGTACACACTTGTTTTCTTTTCATGACCTTAGCAATGCCCATTAGTCTCTCACCTTCACCAGTTCTGGCACCACCTATGCTACCCCCAACCAATCTGTGATAGTGGGGGCCCAGCTCACCTGGGGAGGTGAGATTGAAGCAAATCCTGCCTTCGTTGCAGACCCAAAGGACTGAGCAAGCCAGTATGCTCTGGACACTGGGGACACATCAAAGAAACTGTTTTCCTGGTCCACCCCCACTGGGAGGGCCAGGATGCTTGTCTGTCTCCTTGTTTGTAGGGCCTCCTTCATGCCAAGGCTTTTCTGGTCTCCTAGGTTGCAGGTAAACAGCCTGGAGTGCCCAGACCTGTACCCTCCTCAGCTAGAGAGAGCTGTTCCTGCTAGCTCTATTCATTTTTCCAAATCTTCCCCTTGTCTTTGATATCTTTTCCCAGGTGCTGGGGTTTATACTTTCTCCGTGCCAGAAGCCACAAGCTTATTCTAGTGGAGATAGTGTCTCCGCCCTCCTTCTTTCTTTTTGGATTTTATGTGTGGTGGATTAAAGGATCAGATACTTATTCCCTGATATTTACCCAGCTCCGTACCTCTTTTCCCTTCAACCCCTCTGTCCTTGCTCCCAATGTGCCAAATGGCCACATGGCCAGCAATCATTCTACAATTTACAGTAATCTCCCCCTATGCAGAAGTATACGTTGAAATGTACACCCAAATTCAAACCTTCTCCCCAGCTCAGCCTGACTGATTTTCTCTTGGCTCTCTCCTGGATATTTCACTCGCACCTCAAGTTGTGCTCAGTACCTCCAAGCCAGATCTCATTCTTCTTGTTCCCTCTCCTTGCTTCCTTACTTTTGTAAATGGCACCATCATTTCCTGATAATGCAGACACAAAGCCTCCCTTCTAATCCGCCTTCTAATCAGCTGTTAGACCTTGTAGGTTCAATTTCTTGAAAGAAGTTGAGATGTATAAACAGTTCCTGATTTACGGTGGTTTGACTTATGATTTTTGCTAGATACTGGATATACATTAAAGAGCAAAAACAGTTGTTCTACTTTTCTGGCACTTACAGTCTTGTGGGGGGGAAAACAGACAAAATAATCACAAATAAACATAATATCACAATTTAGATTAATGCTTATAAAACAAAGGTGCCTATTGCTACTAACATTTTCTATCCCTGCTACCTAACGTAAAAACACAAAATTCAACATGTTTTTCTTTTTTAAAACATCTTTATTGAGATATAATTCAATAACATCCAGTTTATCCATTTAAATTGCGTATGTCCATGGCTTTTTGTATGTTCAAAGTTGTGTAATCATCACCATAAATGTTTTTATTATCGCAAAAATAAACCTCACTTGTCTTAGCCATCACCCCGATCCTTCCCAGCCCTAAGCAACCACCAATCCACTTATGTCTCTATGGATTTGCCTGTTCTGAACATTTCATGTAAATGGGATCCTACAGTATGTGCCTTTTAAATGACTGGCTTCTTTCATTAAGTATAATGTTTTCAAGGTTTATCAATGTTGTAGCATGTATCAGTACTTTATTTCTTTTTACCACTGAATAATATTCCATTGTACCATGTGTTTTTCTCAGCATAGACAAAGATAGGATGCTGTTCCGCTGTATTCTCCATACCCAGACAAATTCAGTTTGTCATGTTTCTAGAAAAAGGTGACAGTAAGTAAATATTGGCTAAGCCTTACAAGGGTGGCAGCCGTGTTTACAAAGCGGCTTTTCATGAGTGACTTTATTCACTCAGTTCTTTTAGTCTAATTAGTATTTCTGACTCACAAACGGAAGTGATTCTATTTTGGCATTCTTTCTCTCTTTCTCCTGCTTGGTCTCTACTGACTTGCTGTGTTAAATTATGCAAGTTACTGAAACTCTGTTTGTTTAACTCCTGCGTGCTCTATAAAATAAGCCCAGTCCAGTCTGCTTGTTTGCCAAAGCTGTTTGAAGACAATTTTTCATATGATATGCATCATCAGCTCCCACAGAAGGCAAAAGGAATTTGATGTGTGGGGGTAGTCTGGGATCCTGTTCAAAATTAATGCTCATCTGGAAGAAATATGAAAGCCTGATACTTGCTTACTGGACTTTTAGTTGTATTCACTTATTGCTTTTCCTCTGAGAAACTTTGAAAATCTTTATCTCTTTTGTGGTTTTTTCTTTCCTTTTTTTTGAGACAGAGTCTTGCTCTGTCACCCAATCTGGAGTGCAGTGGTGCGATCTCAGCTCACTGCAACTGCTGCCTTCCTGGCTCAAGCGATTCTCCTGTCTCAGCCTCCTGAATAGCTGGGATTACAGGCGTATGCCACCATGTTCAGCTAATTTTTGTATTTTTAGTAGAGATGGGGTTTCGATATGTTGGCCAGGATGGTCTCAAACTCCTGACCTCAAGTCATCTGCCCGCCTTGGTCTCCCAAAATGCTGGGATTACAGGCATGAGCCACTGTGCCCATCCTCTGTGTGTGTGTGTGTGTGTGTGTGTGTGTGTGTGTGTGTGTGTGTGTGTTTTATATAAGATGAGATAAAGTTAAAAAAAAAAAGATTGTAGTAGAAAAAGTTTTTCTGATACTCTCTATTGGCCAACTGTGAACCAAAGAGAATAATCTGTCTGACCTAGCTTTGTGACCTGGGGAACGATTATCCATAACATTCAGAATTCTCTTTATTTTACCCTGAGATTGACCTCTCCAGACCCTAAGTTGGGATGTAAAATTCACCTGGATTTAAATTATCACTAATTTACTTATGCAATATGCTCTGTGCTGAGGAGAATGCAAAAAAAAAAAAAAAACCACAAATCCTTGTTTTCAAAGTGCTCACAGTCTAAAAGAGATGTGAGGAGCTGTGCATAAGGCAGAGGGAGCTAAGCCCCAAGAGAGGCAAAAATCTAGATGTTCAGGGAGCAGAAACCAGAGAAGACCTTTTTTTTTTTTTTTGTCTCAGATGGAGTCTTGCTCTGTAGGCAGGCTAGAGTGCAGTGGTGCTATCTTGGCTCACTGCAACCTCCGCTTCCCAGGTTCAAGCGATTCTCCTGCCTCAGCCTCCCGAGTAGCTGGGACTACAGTCGTGCACCACCACGCCCAGCTAATTTTTGTATTTTTAGTACAGACCAGGTTTCACCATGTTGGCCAGGATGGTCTCGATCTCTTGACCTCGTGATCTGCCCTCCTCGGCCTCCCAAAGTGCTGGAATTACAGGCATGAGCCACTGCGCCCGGCCCAGAGACGACATTTCTGCCAGGTGGAGCGACAGACATAGTTACATGGAGAAGATGATGATGATGATGATGATGATAATGATGATGATTTGAGACAGGATCTCGCCCAGTCGCCCAGGATCCAGTGCAGTGGCATGATCGCGGCTCACTGCAGCCTCCATCTCCTGTGTTTAAGCAATCCTCCAGCCTTAGCCTCCTGAGTAGCTGGGACTACAAGTGAGCGCCACCAAGCCCAGCTAATTTTTTTTTTTTGTGTGTATATATATATATATATATATATATTTTTTTTTTTTTTTTGGTAGAGACAGGGTTTCACCATGTTGCCCAGGCTCGTCTCGAACTCCTGGCCTCAAGTGATCCACCTGCCTCGGTCCCCCAAAGTACTGGGATTACAGGCGTGAGCCACTGCGCCCGGTGAGAAGATTATTCTGAGCTTTTTGAAGTGGAGACAGGAAATAGCATGTAAACGCTCCTAGTGCCACTTCCTTCGGGTGGCGAGGTGCACAGCAGTAGTCTCAGGTGTGTGAAGGGCAGCTGTGAGAAATAAACCTGAAAAGACGGGATGGAGACCTTGAACACTAGACTAGGGAATCTGTTCTTGATAATTTAAGCAAACGGAAGCCAATGAAAGTCTTTGGCACACTGTTCATCAAAACTGCTCTTAAGGAAATTAACCTGGCAGGAAGATGAAGGGTGGATTGGCAAGAGGAGAGACTTCAGACTGGGAGACCAAGGGAGGGTGCTGCAACAGTCCAGGCAGACGGAGTGGAATGAAGGTGACCGGCCGCTGCAGCAAGCTCTGGAGTCTCGCAGTTGGGACGTTAGGGGTACCACTCCAGGACAGAGCTCCCTCCTGGGGCAGGGACTGGGAGGAGCCAAAGTTATAGCCACACCCCCGGTGACGCCCGGTGGTCGGCTGTGGTCTCCCATTGGCTACACCGGCTGCCAGTCCCTGGAGGAGGCGGTGCCCTTCCCCGCCCTCTCCGAGCTCGGCTTGAGGCGGGCGCGGGCTGAGAGTCCGGGGATCCCGGGGGCCAGTCGCGGCCGGGACATCGGGCGCTGCGGCCGGGGACCCGCTGCTGAGATAGACAGGTGAGAAAGCCCGGGGACGAGGGGCCACTCCAGAGTTCCTGCCACCCTGGGATCCCCGCCCCCTTGAGGGCGCCCCGTCCAGGGGGGCTCGCGGGGCCGAGGTTTGGGGCGCCGGGAGGAGCGGGAAGGCGGGGACGAGAGGGACGGAGCGGGCTGACTCGGGATCCGCCGCTGCACCTCCCGCCACAGCCCAGAGTCGGCCCCCAAGTCTGGATGTCGCCGGGAGAGGTGGGCAGGGGGCGGTGGCCGGCGGTCCCTCGCGCCCGTGGGCTCCCGTGACGTTCTGTTTGGAAACACTGGGCCCGGGCTTCTGGCGCGGCGCGAGCGGTCCCGGGGGCGCAGCGGGGCAGCCCAGGGTCCCCGAGCCGAGGGACCCGCGCGGTCAGGGATGCCGCGCTCGCCTTAGGCTTCGGGAGATCCACCAGGATCTCCGGGGCGAAACTTTAAACTCAAAACTTTAAAGAAGCATTTTGTACACCTCGAGTTGCTGGCACGTCAAAGCACCCTAAGGTGACCTACCCGGAAACCACTGTCCCCGAAGTTAGTGGGGCACTTTTTAAAGGACAACACTTTTTACCCGTCGATATTGTTGTGCGTAACGCTGTGGAAATAGAAGTCGAACCACTTACATTGGAAAAGCTCTGGTGGTGGGCTACCTGAGGGTCACTGCTTTCTTTGTGAAAATGCCAGTCTTGGAAGCCTGGCCCGCACAGCGGTGTGTCCCAGAGGAGTATGTAGTGAGGAGCTCGGCTGTTCTGGGCAGGGTCACCGAAGGGCAGGCGTTGCCCAAGTGGGGCTAGGTGGCTAGGTGGTGGTCAGAAGGTTCCTTAAACAAGGCATGCCTCAGTCTCGTCGAGAAAGATCTTTTAACACACACACACACACACACACACACACACACACACACACTCACACACACGATTACCCAGCCCAGTTAAGCTGTCCCTTAAGAGGCAAAAACTAAAGAATATCATAGAGACTAACGCTGCGCTTCATCAGGGTAAGCCTAAGTAGAATAATTCTTTCATTTCTTTTTCTTTCCTTTTTGGGATTTGGAAGAGAAACAGGAAGTCAGAGATTCAGAGAAAAGAGCATTCACTCCACAATTGTAAACAGTTTATCTTATGTCAGTAAATACTTCCAAAAATCACTGGGGGTATTTGGAACTCCAAGACTTTTTCCTGTCCCCTGAAGTGAAGATAGATTATTTTCAAATGCAGAATCTAGACATGATAGATTCCTTTCAAATTCAGAATCTATATGTGGTATTTTCTTTATTTAGCAGTCGGCTATGTTATATAGTTATATATATATTCCCAATGTTATATAGTTCTATAACATTAGTGGTAATGAAAAGGATGGCGGATATTGTTTAAAATTAGAATTTTTAACTACCCAAGATGGTGCACTAATACAACAGTTGCTTTGTACTTGTTAACTAACTGAAATTACAGAATGAAATGAGGGAATCAGGTGTCTGGATCTCAGTGCAGACCATTATCCAACCAATTTGCAGTTCTGATTTATTATGACCCATTAATAGGGAATGTAGATGTTAAATGCCAATTTAATAATATTCTTAAGGCTTTGCTACTTCACTATAAAATATATAATTAGCATAACTAAAGAAATAGGTATGTTTGACTTTGAATTAATTTATTATGTCATCATAGCAAAGTGCGCTAGGTAAGATATATGTATGATACTTTTCATATTTGGGGTTAACAGTTACCTCTCAATTTTTTGAGCTAATTGTGAAATTCTTGGCAGGGATAACCACAAATAATGGTTGATTAAATTTGTAAATGCAGTCCTAGTATACATCCATTTAAACTGCGACTTTTTCTTTAGTCATTTGTAAATATGTGATCTTTTTTATTGAGATCTTAATATAAGTCACAAACTATAAGATTTTTCCTTTTAAAGTATACAGTTCACTGGGTTTTGGTATATTCACAAGGTTGTATAGCCATCACCAATATCTAATTCTAGAATATTTTCATCACCCCAAAAAGAAACCCCCTATCCATTGTAGTCAGTATCTGCTACCTTCTCCTCACAGCCCTTGGCAACCACTAACCTACTTTCTGTCCTTTGGATTTGCCTCTTATGGACATTTCATGTAAATGGACTCATACAATATGTGGCCTTTTGTGTCTGGCATCTTTCACTTAGCATAATGTTTTCAAGGCTCTTCCATGACTATAGCGTGTATTAGTACTGTATTCCTTTTTTATGGCCGAATAATATTCCATTGTATGGATGTACCACTTTTTTTTTTTTTTTTTTTTTTTTGAGACAGAGTCTCACTCTGTCACCCAGGCTGGAGTGCAATGGCAGGATCTCAGCTCACTGCAACTTCTGCCTCCTGGGTTAAAGCAATTCTCCTGTCTCAGCCTCCCTAGTAGCTGGAATTATAGGCCTGCACCACCATGCCTGGCTAATTTTTGTATTTTTAGTAGAGACGGGGTTTTGCCATGTTGGCCAGGCTTGTCTTGAACTCCTGACCTCAGATGATCCACCTGCTTTTGCCCTACAAAGTGCTGGGATTACAGGAGTGAGCCACTGCACCCAGCCAGATCTACTACATTTTATTCATTCATCTGATGGTGGACACAGGCTGTTTCTACTCTTTGGCTATCATGAATAATGTTGCTCTGAACATTTATTTACAAGTTTTGGTGTGGATGTGTATTTCATCCCTTGGCATATGACCCCATCCCTTGGCATATGACCCAGCAACTCCAATGCCAAGTATAAAGTTACCAATACTTTATATTGATATACCAAATATAAAGTTACTCCAATAACTTGGTAACTTTATATTTAAACTTTTTTTTTTTTTTGAGACGGTGTCTCACTCTTGTCACCCAGGCTGGAGTGCAGTGTATGATCATAGCTCACTGCTCAAGTGATCCTCCCACACAGGGCTCCCGAGTAGCTGGGACCACAGGTAAGCTCCCCGACGCTTAGCTGATTTTTAAATTTTTTGATAGAGATGAGGTCTTGCTATGTTGCACAGTCTGGTCTTGAACTCCTGACCTCAGAGATGAATTCTCCAACCTCAGCCTCTCAAACTGTTGGGATTACAGGCGTGAGCCACCATGCTGGCCTGTTTAAACTTTTCAGGAACTGTAAAACTGTTTACAAAGCAGCTGTACCATTTTTACATTCCCACCAACAATGTATGAGGGTTCCCATTTCTCTACATCCTCACCAACACTTGTTGTTAGATGTCTTTTTCATTAGAACATCCTATTTGATGTGAAGTGGAATGTTGTTGTGACTTTGATTTGCATTTTCTCTCATAGCAAATAATGTGCTTATTGGCCATTTGTATATCTTCTTTGGATAAATCTCTATTCAGATACTTTGCCCATTTTTATTTATTTATTTTTAATTTATTATTATTATTGTTTTTAAAGATCGGGGTCTCCCTCTGTCGCCCAGGCTGGAGTGCAGTGGTGTGAACATGGTTCACTGCAGCTTCGACCTCCTGGGCTCAAGTGATCTTCCTGCCTCAACCCCCAAGTAGCTGGGACTACAGGCCTGCACCACCATGCCTGGCTAATTTTTTTTTTTTTTTTTTTTTTAATAAAGACAGGGTTTTGCCACCTTGCCCAGGCTGGTCTCAAACTCATGAGCTCAGGCAGTCTAACCGCCTCGGCCTCCCAGAGTGCTGGGATTATAAGCATGAGCCACCACGTCCAGGCCTTTGCCCATTGTTTAATTGGGTTATCTTTTTTTATCGTTGAGTCCTAAGAGTCCTTTATATATTCTAGACACAAATCCCTGAGATACATGATTTGCAACTATTTTTCCCATTCTGTGGGTTATCTTTGCACTTTCTTGATAGTGTCCTTTGAAGGACAAAAATTTAAAAATTTTTATGAAGTCCAATTTATCTATTTTTTCTTCGATTCCTTGTGCTTTAGGTGTCATATCTAAGAATCTGTTGCCTAATCCAAGGTCATGAAGATTTATACCTCTTTTCTTCTAAGAGTTTAGAGCAAGCGTGTCCAACCTGTGGCCTGCAGGCCACAGGCAGCCCAGGATGGCTTTGAATGTGGCCCAAAACAAATTTGTAAACTTTCTTAAAGCATTATGAGATTTGTTTTGCAATTTTTTTTTTTAGCTCATCAGCTACCTTTAGTGTTAGTGTATTTTATGTGTGGCTCAAGACAATTCTTCTTCTAACGTGGCCCAAGGAAGTCAAAAGATTGGACACCCCTGGTTTAGAGCTTTGGCTGGTACCTGTAAGTTTGTGATCCATTTTGTGTTACTGTGTATATATGGTATGAGGTATGGGTCCACATTCATTCTTTTACATATGGATATCCAGTTGTCCCAGCATCATCTGTTGAAAAGACTATTCTTTCCCCCATTGGATGATCTTATCACTCTTGCCAAAAATCAATGTGAGGCTTTAATTCTGGACTTAACTTTATTCTGTTTATCTATATATCTATCTTTATGCAAGTACCACACTGTGTAATCAAGCTACTGTATAGCTTTGTAGTAAGTTTAGAAATAGTAACATGTGAGTCCTCCAACTTTTCAATTTTATTTTGTCTATTCTTCAGCCCTTGAATTTCCAGGCAAAGTTTGATCAGCTTGTCAATTTCTGCAAAAAATGCAGTTGCAACTTTGATAGAGATTGCATTGTGTGTATATAGCCATTTGCAAGTATTGCCATCTTCACAATATTAAGTCTTCTAATCCATGAATATACAATTTCTTCCATTTATTTAGGTATTTTTAAATTTCTTTCAGTGATGTTTTGTAGTTTTCAGTGCACACATTTTGCACTTCTTTTGTTAAATTCATTCCTAAATATTTTATTAGTTTTGATGCTATTGTAAATGGAATATTTTCTTATTTTCATTTTTGGATTTTTCCTTGCTAGTGTATAGAAAAACAACTGACTTTTGTATGTTGATCTGATTTCCTGAAACCTTGCTAAACTCTATAGTTTAGTATTTTTTTGTGGATTCCTTAGAATTTTCTATGCACATGATCATGTCATCTGTAAGTAGAGATAGTTTTATTTCTTCCTGTCCAATCTAGATGGTTTTTTATTTTATTGTCTTGCCCTGGCTATTATCTCTATTACAGTGTTGAATAGAAGTGGTGAGAAAAGACATCTTTGTCTTGTTCCTGATTTCAGGGAGAAAACTGTCAGTCATTTATCAGTAAGTATGATGTTAGCTGTGGGCTTTAGTAAACGTCCTCTATCAGGATGAGGAAGTTCCTGTCTATTTGTAGTTTCTTGAATATTTTTATCATGAAGGGGTGTTGGATTTTGTTGAATGATTTTTCTGTGTCTATTGAAATGATCATACGGTTTTTGTTCTTTATTCTTTTCACATGGTGCATTACATTGATTGATTTCAATTTGTTGAAAAATATCCACTCTTCATGTTATTTTTAAAACTGTGGACATTTTACTGTAGGACATAGGCAAGTTATTTTACATGTAGAGCAAAAATTAACCAGTATTAACCTATTAACAAATAGGTAAATAGACTCCTCTTATTCCTTAAGCTAGAAGAGTATCCCTACATTTCTGCGGAATGATATGGTAGTTCAAGACGTAAAGATGCCCCTTTCAGGCCTACTTTTTATTTTCTAGTATTGCATCCATATTTTCTTTCCCTGTTCGCTCTAAAGCTAATAAGGAGAAAAATGAAGCAGCCCCAGAACTGTGAACGTGTTTGTGATCGACAAACTGCATTATCTACTCCTAAATCATTGCTAGTAAATGCCAATGTGAATCATTAATCATAAATGCTAATATGGGTAATGGAAAAGGTTATTAACAAGGTTAATCTCCTTAGGAAAAACCTCAGGAAACAATGGGGCAAGGATTCTATGAAAACAAAGAAATGAAAATAAAATGACTTCCAGCTCTACAGTAATATGTTTCCTTTAAATTAAGGCTAGAATTTGGGGACATCTGAAGGCTTTAAGAAGCTGGGGTGCACTTAATAAATGTTGTAGTCTTTTAAGAACGATTCTGCTTATATTTATTTCTAACGTACTGAATATTGTCAGTATTAATGTGAAAATTGATTTAAGTACAAAACAATCTTCATGCTAGGAAAATAATCTTTTAGTGGGTTTTTAGCAGCATAAAGTTTTTAAAAACTGGTGTAGGATTAGGGAGGATTCTATATTACGCTAAATACTGGGAAAATCAATGTGGTTATATTTTTAGAAAACAAAAGAATAGAATAGTATACTTCAACTGCAGTTCCATTCCAGGGCTCTGAGAGTTTTGCTGTCACCGTTCTTCATAACTGAGGCTTTCCATTCCTAATGTAAATTTCATAGCAGGGCAGTTCATAGCAAGGGGAACTCAGAAATACATTATTAGGCTGCTTATTAAAAATAGCCTGATAAAATATTACCAAACATTTAAAACTACTTTTATGTATCTCAGAGCCAGAAACCATCATGCTTCCAAAATCAAGTAACACTTCAAAATTTCAAAACCAATTCCCTTGCATCTTGTCCTCCCCCTTACAGTGCTTCTCCCTGCAATTAATATCCTCCCAAAGGAAAGTTAATATGGAAAACACTAATTCCAGATTTACTTCATATGGCTAACTCCAAATTGCATGTATATGTGCCTTCTCTTACACCAAATAAAAATTATGCAAACTTGTCAGGATCACAACAACTTACCCTTAAATACGCCAAAGGACCTCTGGCTTGAAAGACTTAACCTGGACCTGGCCAAATTGAGAGTGATGATAAGGAATCATTATAGTAAAAATCCAAACCGTGAATTGTAGCAATTGAATCAAACTGTAATACTTCCTTAAATTTCAGAATATGGTAAAATTATGAGCTGATAGATTCAAACAATCTTATCTGTTGGGCACAGCTAAAATAATAACACTCTGTGTTTGTGTGGTGTTGTTATACTGTCTGTTCTACTAGAAATAGCAGTATTTCATTTGTCCCTCACTACATACCCACAAGGAATAATGGTTTGTTGTCAACATGCCCCCTTTTCTGGATTGGCTAAACTGAGACATAGAAAGGTTAAGTAGCACAGTTGGGCTCCATCCAGCCTTAGTCTCCTATTTCCCATTAAGTTCTTTCCATAAGTTCTCACCAGTTCTGGAATTTGTCTTAGAATTTAAAATTTGTACATGGATCTCACTAGACAGTGATTATAATGTGTACATTGGGTAATTTAACAAATTATCCTGAATATTAATTGTGTTGTAGCATTTGAATGTTTTACTTTTTAATTTTTTGTTTATTTATTTAATTTTTTTAGAATATGGCAGAGCTTTCTGAGCCAGAGGGACCAGTAGATTGGAAGGAACGATGTGTAGCTCTGGAGTCCCAACTCATGAAATTTAGAGTTCAAGCAAGCAAGATACGAGAGCTTTTAGCAGAGAAGGTAAGCTTTCTCCCTAAGCTTTGTTATTAAATGTCAGCTATTTAGGGTCTGCTTCATTTATATTAAATAATCTCAGTACTTTGGGGGTTTGATTTAATTTTTGTCAAGTATTTGAAGCTATATTTGGCATATTCTTTTGCCAGTGTTAGGGTAGATTGGACTTTAAGACAAAAAATATTTATTTGCAAATGCTAGTGGCATATGTGAGAACCGTGTATGTTTGGTGAATGTAGAGTTCATTCATTCCAGAGAGAAAGCTATAATTTATTTGATTTTATTAGAGGAGTATGACAGCTTTGATCTACTAAATGTTTACAAAAATCATATTGAAGGGATTATAGAAAAAAATTATCTATTGATAGTAAAATGTGTTTATACCGTATTTGAAAGATGTATCTACTTAGGAATCTGTGTTGACTAAGTATATATTGCTAAATTCTTGCCTGGGCTAGAATTGAGTTTAAAATAATTATATGCTTTTCTAATCATGTAATTAGAATTTCATTTATATTACAGGAATTTTTTGCAAGTATGTGTATAAAACCAATAGATTTGTTCATTTATTCATTCAACAAATATTCTTTGAGGGCTAATTATGTGTTAGACACCGTTCTTAATACTACAGTTACATATATGAACAAGACAACCCATATTCCTATTTCCAGGGAACTTGAATTCTAGACCTCTGCTGTCCCAATGCAGTAGCCACTAGCCACATGTGGATGTTCAACACTTCAGATAAGGCTAGTTCAAATTGAGGTGTGTTGTAAAAGTAGAATAAATACAGGATTTCAAAGTTTTAGCATGAAAGAATGTAAAATATCTCAGCAATAATTTTTATATTGATTATATGTTGAAATGATATTGTGGATATTGGGTTAAATAGGCAATATTAAAATTAATTTTACCCACTTCTTTTTACTTTTTAAACGTGTGTATTAGAAAATTTAAAATCACACCTGTGGCTCATATTATATTTCTATTGGAAAGCACTGTCTGGATGAATGGATGAATGATATTAGTGGTTATTCAGAACTGATCAGAAGAACTTACAGGTGGTTTCTGAAACACTAATCTGCATAATCCTTTTGGGATGGAGATTGGTACATGTATCATATCTCCAAAAAAGGTATTAAATCTTCCTTTCATTGCTAGCCAAGAATCTCTTAGTACAGAATTATTATAATAACATTCAGCAAAACATCATTAAGTCTAAACTTGCATATATATCATCTCAAACTTTTGGGCTTTAACATCTTTTAGGTAGAAGACTAAAGTTATCCTTACTCACTTTGGGTCAAGGATGACTCAGTAATCAATCAGTCAATGAATCCTGAACTTCAATGTGCTTTATTTATTGATATTACATCAAAATTATTAAAATTATAGCTTATAAAATCCCAGTTTGAGTATCTCCAAGTTGGAGAAGTTTTTTCTAACGTAACTTAGTGACTCATCTTTTATCTTTTGCTCTTCTGTCAATGAAAATCATTTTCCATGTTGTACTATGATTTATCCGGTATTTTCCAACAACCCCAACTGCCCCATACAGTGATTTTTGTCAGGATCCACCAATTATGTCCTTATTACTAAACCTCATGGACACTTCCCATTTGTTGCCTAAGCCTCTCAGCAGTTGACACTGTTGACCACAGGATCCCTCTCAAAATTTTCCTGCTTTTCTTGACTTCTGTACTCGTTTGGCTTCCTTATGGACTAAATAGAAGATATTAGCTTATTTGGGTTGCAATTAGTTGACCTTTAAATTCTAAATTTTATGGCAACATTTGTTCTGTTCTTTAGAAAGCATGTTGCAGCAAGTTTCTCAATGAGTGCCCATTTTAAAAATAATAAAAGTGTTGTTATCTCCAGTAATTTCTCTATAAGTAAAATAGCTTTTTTATTATTAATTTTTATGCTATCAGATTAAATGTTTTCTTTGTCAGTGAATGAACATTGATAGGAATGTTATTTCGGAATTGCTGTTCTAGTTGTGGTTTCTTTTTCTTTAATTTTCTTCTTCTTTTTTTTTTTTTGGTCTGTATTTCGTATCTGTGACATAAATTCTTTGGCAGATCTAAGAGATGGAATTATTCTGATGTGTTTTACACATTGGAAAGTAGATAAATGTGCCAAGTTACTCATGGCTTCCCAATAAATATATTCAACACAAAAATATGAATAAGGATTTTCACAATATTTTCTGTTATATTCCATTATGAATATTTTTCTCAGGTTTAAAAATTTCTTTTGGTCTCCATCCATGTTTTAATGAAAATATCTAATATTTATTGATTTATTATGTATAGGATAAGCTCTGTATAGGTATGGTATGATTTATTTAATTCTTATAACAACTTGTGAAGTAATACATTTTATTGTGCTCATTTTATAGATTAGGAAACTGTTGCTTACTATGCCAAGAAATCTTCTAAGTGCTTTAAATATATAAACTTTTAAATCCTTATAACTATCCTATGAGGTAGTTACTAATATTATCCACATTTACAGAAGAGGAAACTTAGGCATAGAAAAGTTATTTAACTTGACTGAGTTCACACTAAAAAGTGAGTAGTGGAGCCAAGATTCAAACCCAGGCATTCTGTCTTTTTAAGCCTGAAGGCTTAGCTATCAGCCTATATGGCCTTTCTAATTTTCACCTTCCTTGCCTTCTCTGATATATCTATCCACTCATCCATTCTGTCCTCTATTCAGCCATGCAACATAAAAATCCACTTCTGCTTGGGGGCAGCTACCTGTGTGTGTATGTATGTATGTAGTAATAACGATTTACCTAACATTATGTATTTTTCAATGCAAACCGTATGGCATTGCTTCTAAGTGCCAACTCGAGTCAAATGTTGCATTCCAGAGACTGGTCTGGTCCTATCCACCTCTTTGGTTTTGTGTTAGCACCAGTCAGCCCCAGGGCTTCTCCCTAATAGTGCTCTATACCTTCCCCCTAAATGGATGCAGGCCCAAGGGTGAAGATTCTTGAGAGAATACTAATTTGGTTCTTTAGCTCTTTGCCCGGAATTGTGGCCAACTTCTCTTTCCTGCAACAGTTCTAGTTCTTAGTTCCATTTTATTAGTTATGGCTATAGGAAGCTGACTCTAGCGGCCAAATATGGTTCCTAAGTCTTTACTGCAACCATCAACTAGTTTAAACCCCACAGTAACCCTATGAGGTGATTGTTATTATCCTCAATCTAGAGAATTAACATTAAGGCTGAGAGTAATTGAGTAGCATGCCCAATATCACACAGCTAACAAAAAGCAGAGCTGCCGTTAGACCGTAGATCTTTCAGACTTGTGATGCAGCTAATAGAGCGTCTGGCACACAGAAGTAACTCGTTATTATTTTCCTGTGTCTTTCTGGTTTTTTTTGTTTGTTTGTTTGTTTGTTTTTTGAGACAGAGTCTTGCTCTGCTGCCCAGGTTGGAGTGCAGTGGCGCCATCTCAGCTCACTGCAACCTCCGCCTCCCAGGTTCAAGCGATTCTTCTGCCTCAGCCTAATGAGTAGCTGGGACTACAGGCACATACCACCACGCCTGGCTAATTTTTGTGTTTTTAGTAGAGACAGTGTTTCACCATATTGGCCAGGATGGTCTCGAACTCCTGACCTTGTGATCCGCCCGCCTTAGCCTCCCAAAGTGCTGGGATTACAGGCGTGAGCTGCTGTGCCCAGCTTTTTTTCCTGTGTCTTTCTGAATGGACACACTGGTTAAGTGAACAGGGGAGGTGACCTAAATGTAATTACATTCGTGTGTGTGTGTGTGTGTGTGTGTGTGTGTGTGTGTGTGTGACGGGGTCCCACTCTGTTGCCCAGGCTGGAGTGCAGTTGCGCAATCTTGGCTCACTGCAACCTCCACCTCCTGGATTCAAGTGATTCTCCCACCTCAGCCTCCCAAGTAGCTGGCATTACAGTCATGGGCCACCACATCTGGCTAATTTTGTATTTTGGGTAGAGACGGGGTTTCACCATGTTGGCCAGGCTGGTCTTGAACTCCTGACCTCAAGTGATCCACCCATCTCAGCCTCCCAAAGTGCTGGGATTACAGGCGTGAGCCACCGTGCCTGGCCTTAAATGTAATTACATATTGATAGCAGATGTATTTCTGAATTTTTAAAGGAAAAATATGTGAGATGATCTAGGTGTTTTTATAATTAGAGATGAATTTCAATTATATATGCCCTATATTTTTGGAGATGAAGTTGGATAATACATGGGATCTTTTAGAAAAGTTGTTTTGCACCTATTTTTTTTCATCACAGTTTCCAAGTAACTTAGAATATTGAAGCTTGTGAAGAAAAAGGCCTTATTGAAGTCTTGGGCAAGTGCTGCTGTAAGTGGGAGAGGTCTTTAGAGGAATTTAAGGAATGGTGTTGGAAATATCCCTAGTATGCCAAATATAAACTCTTCAGGGAAGCTGAGATTTAAGTAGTTTTCCTACTTTACAATATTACTAGTTAGTTTCTGAGTCAGGGAGGGAAAAAGGAAAGTTTCTTTGTCAGTTGAAGTGAAATGTTATTTCCTATGAGTTAGATTTTCGGTGAAAAGGAAAGGGAGAAAAATATGAAGAATTTTCCCTTTGGACATCAGCATTGCTCGCATAACCTCATGCTACCTCTACCTGATGTGGCATTGCCATCTGGAATTTCCTGCCACTTGGCATTTCTTTTGTGAATGTGATCCCCTTGAAGCAGACTTGGATTGCCTCATAGGAATAAGGAGTCCTTGGACAGCATAGTATATGCTTTTACCCAACAATCCAGTACAATATCATGATTAACCTATTTAAATTATACATTCCCTCAGTTACTCTACTGGCTTGCCTAATGTTTCACAGTGTCTAATGGAAATTCTACATATACTAACAATGGGACCGTATAGGCTAATTTAAATGTCACATCTTTGGTTACTGGTTGAAGATATTATTTATTATAACAACATCAAATAATGTTTGGTGGTAGAATCTTTCATGGGGTCTGTGGGGGAAAAGTCAGGAAGAGAGACACGTGGCAGGGAACTGCTGTCCACATCAGTGGGTGTGAAGGTCCTAAAGGATTCCACCTAAATTAACCAATCCATTAAACAAATTTATTTGTATACAATCCCTTTAACAATGAGAGGCTCTGTAAGTATACAGGCTCAGTGGCAAATTTCCCTCTGCCACTTGCTGCTAAGTTCACTTTGGCTACAGAGGGTACTTCTGTAGCAGTAAATTAAGCACTTAGAATTTGCTGCTTCATTTTGTTATTACATAATTGGCCTGTTCATAAAATACTTATTTTTGTCTAAAGCCTGATATGGGACCATAGATCATTTCAGGTTTGTTTTTCTTTCCTTTTTTTTTTTTTTTTTTTTTTCTGAGATGGAGTTTTGCTTTGTTGCCCAGGCTGAAGTGCAGTGGTGCCTTCTGCCCCCTGGGTTCAAGTGATCCTCCTGCCTCAGCCTCCTGAGTAGCTGGGATTACAGGTGTGCACCACCATGCCCAGCTAATTTTTGTATTTTTAGTAGAGATGGGGTTTCACCATGTTGGCCAGGCTGGTCTCAAACTCCTAACCTTAACTGATCTGCCCACCTTGGCCTCCCAAAGTGCTGGGATTACAGACGTGAGCCACTGTACCCGGCCATTTCAGGTTTCTTTTACTGACTTAATATAGATTGGCTATGGAATTGACCCAAGGTTTACATTATAGTCTATATTGTGAAAGTAAAAACTTACATGAATATTGTCTGCATTGCTTTTTTGAGTATTTTGCAAAGTTATTGTCCAGCTTGAATGATTATATTAATAGAAACAAATAATCACTCAAAAGCAAAGCATTACCTTTCTTCTTTTCTTTTTTCTTTTTTTTTTTTTAAGTTGAAGTCTCACTCTGCTGCCCAAGCTGGAGTGCAGTGGTACGATCTCTACTCACTGCAACCTCCACCTCCCGGGTTCAAGCAATTCTCCTGCCTCAGCCTCCCAAGTAGCTGGGACTACAGTCATGCATCACCATGCCTGGCTAATTTTTTGTATTTTTAGTAGAGACGGGGTTTCACTATGTTGGCCAGGCTGGTCTTGAACTCCTGACCTTGTGATCTGCCCACCTTGGGCTCCCAAAGTGCTGGGATTACAGGCATGAGCCACCGCGCCTGGCCAGCATTACCTTTCCTACTACTGTTATATTTAAACTGGTTTTAAAATAATCTAAGTTTTATTGGATATACCTAATGTATATTTACATTAATGCAATGTGAAGTGTTCAGAATTTATAATTTGTAATATAGATTGTGAAAATGTAGTGATTACCCTTTATCAAAGTTTATCCTCACAACATAATTTTTTGGAGTTAAAATCTTTTCATTCATTCATTCATTCATTCATTTATTCATTTTGTTCAGCAAACATTGAGTTTCTGTTATGTGTATTCATTATGCCTGCCTCAACCATTGTTGTATTTTTAGTAGAGATAGGGTTTCACTATCTTGGCCAAGCTGGTCTCGAACTCCTGACCTTGTGATCCACCCGCCTCGGCCTCCCAAAGTGCTGAGATTATAGGCGTGAGCCACCGCGCCCGGCCCTCAAATTTCAAATTTAGCCTCTCTTGGTTATATTTCTATCCCTTTGTTTCTTTCTGTGATAAGTTCCCTGATAACATGTAACTTAGCATTTTTCCTATTATGAATGTTATGCTTTTAAGTTACAGATAAAAGATTCCTAGGCTGAACAAATAGCAAAGGACAGAAATCAAGACAAATGCTTTTCAGCTAAGATTTTTGTGTCTTTTTTTTTGTATTTGGGACTCTGATTTTCATATAGTTCTGTATAACTATACACTGTGTGCGTCTGGCATATAAATTCTATAGCACCTGTGGTTCAACTAAAAGGGCATTAGGGAATCAGAACATGAAGACTGAAATCCCAGCCATGAACAAGGCATATTCACTCTGAACATCAATTTCCTAATCTCTGTAATGGGAATAACAATTCCTGTCTCATAGCATAGCTGTGAAATAATGTATTTGAAAGTTCCTGGTTCCTAAACACTAATTTGAATTTTTAAAAAGTTATCTTCTGTTCCCTGAATTATCTTTCTTTCTTCTAGGATTATTTTCCTGTTTTTATGTTTGTAATTACTTTTCAGGTTGCAAACTTTTCTCAAATGTCTGATGATTTTTAGTGGTCTATTTATATTTAAGAATAGGACACCTGCAAAGTAAACTGACAATTATGTATAAATGGTCAGTTGCTGGTTAGCAGTCAATCTTTTCTTTAGTGTGAGAGGGTGGGAGAGTATCTGCTGGGCGGTGAGGTCATAGATGCCATAGCTGTTGGACTAGTGCACTCCAATTCACTTATTCAATTTTGTAAGAGAATAACTTTTCAATTTTTTAGCAGGAAGTAAATGCTTAGTTGCTAGACATTTGGCAGATGGGTTTAAGAGAGAAGGTTTCAATGAATTAGTTGACTCTAAGGGCCACAGATTTTACATTAATACCTACTGTTTTCAGTCTTTCATGTCACTCCGCCTCTAGGTCTTTACAGGGCTCTGCAGGGCATTTGGCCCTTAGAAGGAGGAGCTCAAGCCTTATTCTCCAAGCCTTATTCTAGGCTATGCTATCCAGAACTCTGCTACACTAAAAATAGGGGAACTAACTGACTGTATGCATATTTAATGGTAAGCTGGCCCTTCACCCCCAACCTCCTTTCTCCCACTTGGCTCCTAAAATGCTAGCAGCCACCCTTTATTCTACAGGAGGAGATAGAAGTCTCTAGGGACTCCATGAGTCCAGGAGGAAAGAAATAGTGATGCTGACATCAGTAGTTCCCCAACAGGGAGCCCAGCCAGAACACCCAAGGTTAGGTTTTCTGGTTAACAAACCCCACATATGTGCCAAAGTTTCTAGTCAGCTTTTTAGTCCTTCACCCTTAAACCTACGTATCACATCATGGATGACCAGACATCTGAAGAAAGCCTCTAACACGAAAGACAGGGCACAATCAGAAAAAACCAGCATTGCCTATGTGGGGAAAAGTAAGCAAAACAAAATGAGCAAAACTCTATCATTTAATATTCTCAGAGAGAAAGGAAAGGATAGTGCATCCATGACACAGGGAATATTCAGAGAATAAATAAGAGCTCTTAGAAAACCAAAAACATGGTAGAAAAAATGGCAAACCTAAGAGCAGGGTTGAAATATAAACTAAGGGAAAGTTCCTGGGATGTAAAGCAAAACATTAAAGAGATGGAAAATAGGAGAGAAAAGATGAGAAATTTAGAGGTCCAGTTCAATATGTCCAAGATCCAAGTAATAGGAAGACTGGAGGGAAGAAAATAAATGAAACAATACAAGAAAGTTTCCTAGAATTGAAGCATACAAGATTCCAAGTTGAATGTGTCTACCAAGAACCTACCATAACAGATTAACATAATTTCCACCTCAAGTTACATCATAATGAACGTTTAGAATATAGAGATCAAAGAAAAGATTCTGCAAGCTTTCAGAGGAAAAAACAGTTCACATACAAAGCATCAGGAATTGAAATGGCTTCAGACCTTTCAAAAGCACCACTAGAAATTAGAGGATAATGAAAAAATGTCTTCAAAATTCTGAAGGAAAATTATATCAAACCCAGAATTCTGCACCGAGGCCAATTATGAATTTTATTTGAAGGTAGAATAAAGATATTTTGAAGACATTCAAGGTCCCATGTAACTTCTCTGAGGACTCTCCAGAAGGAGTGCTTTATTAAAAGGAGGAAGTAAACCAAGAACGAGGAAGGCATGGGATATAGGAAACAAGAGATTCTATATGGGAGAAAGTTGAGGGGTCTCCCCAAGAAGTCAGCTGTGCCCAGGCAGACAGGTGAACCAATTGAGCCTGGCACAGGTCAGTTCTGGGAGTGGCTTAAAAACATGAAATTGGTAGAAAACCAGACGTGAACAAACATTTTGAGAGACAATTTACACAGTGGTGGGAATTTGGAGTTGAATTATTGATTCATTCATGAGAAGCTGAATAAAAGACATTTAACTCTAGGAAAAAAAAGACAGGAAAGGAAAAAGTAAACAGTTCTTTTACATGGTTTTACATGGTTCAGCTCTGAATATCACACATAGTTACAATAATACTATTTCTGAACAATGATTTAACCAAAGGTAAGATATAAACATATTGGGAGAATGGGAGATAGGAAGTGTATTTGTTTGGATGGATGGCAAGGAGAACAGAGAGCTAAATCCTCATTTTTCATTAAGTGAGTGAATAAGAAATCACTAAACTAAAAAAGTCAAAAGAAACAGAAGCATGTTACTTAAAACATGAAGGCAAATATTAAAAGAATTGGCTAAAAGAGTACATTTACTTTTATTAATAAACCTTTTGGAAGTAGTTGACATTTTATGTTATTTATTTATTTATTTATTGAGACGGAGTCTTGCTCTGTTGCCAGGCTGGAGTGCAGTGTTGAGATCTCGGCTCACTGCAACCTCCACCTCCCCGGTTCAAGCGAGTCTCCTGCCTCAGCCTCCTGAGTAGCTGGGACTACAGGTGTGCACCACCACATCCAGCTAATTTTTTTGTATTTTTAGTAGAGATGAGGTTTCACCATGTTGGCCAGGATGGTCTCGATCTCTTGACCTTGTGATCTGCCTGCCTCGGCCTCCCAAAGTGCTGGGATTACAGGCGTGAGCCACTGCGCCCGGCCAGGTGTTGATTTTTATACACTGAATTTCTGTTCTTTAAGTGTAACCACTTAAAACTCTTAACTCCTTAACTTTTTTTTTTTTTTTTTTTAATGGCCAGCATTGGCTGCCACAGTGGCTCATGTCTGTAATCCCAGTGCTTTGGAAGGCCGAGATGGGAGGATTGCTTGAGGCCAAGAGTTCAAGACCAGCTTGGGCAACATAGTAAGACACCCCCCCCCCCCGCATCTCTACCAAAAAATTAAAAAAATAGGCCAGGCGTGGTGGCTCACGCCTGTAATCCCAGCACTTTGGGAGGCTGAGGTGGGCAGATCACTTGAGGTCAGGAGTTCTAGACCAGCCTGGACAACATGGTGAAACCCCATCTCTACTAAAAATACAAAAATTAGTTGGGCACAGTGGCACACGCCAGTAGTCCCAGCTACTCAGGAGGCTGAGGCGGGGGTATTGCTTGAACCTGGGAGATGGAGGTTGCAGTGAGCCAGCCGAGATCATGCCACTGCACTCCAGCATGAGCAACAGAGTGAGACTCCATCTCAAAAAAATTAAAATAAAGAAATCAAAATTAGCCAGGTGTGGTGTGCACACCTGTAGCCCCAGCTACTCAGGAGGCTGAGGCAAGAGGATCGCCTGAGCCCAGAAGTTCCGGGGGCTGCAGTGCTATAATGATGCCTGGGCTAAAAAATAAATAAAAATAAAATAATAATAATAATAATAAAGGCCCGCACAAATACTTTATAACAGAATAGAACTTGAAACTGGAATGTGGCAAGGAAATGTTGGGGATAATTAAAAACAACAAAAAAATATCTGTATAGGATAGTGTAGTGGTGGGGGATTTGGTGAAGGAAAGGTTAGGAAATCAAGAGCAGTGGAGAGCAGAGTATCAAAACCAGGAACTGCTGAAAGTCTTACAATAGCTGGGATTGATTTTTCTTTAGATAACACTTTAGAAACTAGGCATTTTCTGGAACAGAAACCAGCACCTTCAATTTGAACTTTCATGAAGCTCTTAAAATTTAGGTAATTATGTATCTTTGATGGACAATGGAAGATGCTAAATGTTGTGTAAATCCATTAGAAACCATAGAATGGAAAAATGGCAGGCAACCAGAAAGACTTCAGATGTCCCACCTTGTCCTAGAGAAAGAACTAGTGGTTTTTCCAACATGATCACAAAACGACCTACTTTGAAAGCCTAAGGTTGTGTGGGGATGGGTTGGAAATCTCACTTGGGGTAGGATGATTATTACAACTGAATGAGATTTTTCGTCTGGGAGAGTAATTCAGCCCTCAACAGCTCCTTGAGCTTTGCAACAGCAGCAGACTTTTAATTTGTAATATTAGATGCATTTTCATGAAAAGAAAAAAATACACATTCTTTGTTCAGAAAAATCTTTCTTCTAAAGGTTAACTTATCATTGTGCCATTAATACTTCATCATCTATTTAATCTGGAATGTATCTTAGTGATTTTTTTTTTTTGAGATAGAGTCTCGCTGTATTGCCCAGGCTGGAGTGCAGTGGCATGATCTCGGCTCACTGCAATCTCCACCTCCTGGGTTCAAGTGATTCTTATGCCTCAGCCTCCCGAGTAGCTGGGACTATAGGTGTGTGCCATCATGCCGGCTAATTTTGTATTTTTGATAGAGATGGGATTTTGCCATGTTGGCCAGGTTGGTCTCGAACTCCTGACCTCAAGTGATCTGCCCGCCTCTGTCTCCCAAAGTGCTGGGATTACAGGCATGAGTCACTGTGCCCAGCCTATCTTAACAATTTAAATGGGCATTTTTTTTGCCTCAAAACAAAGCAAATCTGTGTAATACATTTATTTTTGGTATATGTTTATACAGTTTGTGGAATGGAAAGTTAGGAAAAGCTCTGTACTTTTTATGAGTATAATTCTTGAAGCTGAGACACTGAATTTCTCCATTTCACATCCAAGGACTGAGAGCTAAGAGAAGATATGAAGATATTCCTAGAAGCTGCATGTCAAAATGAGAGTGGCTTCCAGTGGAATGATGACCAGATAGATGATCACAGGAATAGTCAGAGGATTATCTTTACAGATCTACACATAACAGGCTAACCTTGGGGTTTAGTTATCTATTGCTGCATAAAAAACTACCTCAAAACTTAGCAGCTTTATTGATTTAGCCATTCCACGATGTATACATATTTAAAAACATCGTGTTGTGCACAACAAATATATACAATTTTTGTCCATTAGAGAAAACCTTAGTGGGCTGGGTGCAGTGGCTCACGCCCATAATCCCAGCACTTTGGGAGGCTGAGGCGGGTGGATCACCTGAAGCTAGGAGTTTGAGACCAGCCTGGCCAACATGGTAAAACCCTGTCTCTACTAAAAATACAAAAAATTAGCCAGGCATGGTGGCAAGTATCTGTAATCCCAGCTACTTGGGAGGCTGAGGCAGAAGAATCGCTTGAGCCCGAGAGGTGGAGGTTGCAGTGAGCCGAGATCGCGCCATTGCACTCTAGCCTGGGCAACAAGAGCAAAACTCCGTGTCAAAAAACAAACAAAACAAAACAAAATAAAACAAAAAAACCTTAGTGGCTTCAATTAACAATCATTTTATTTGTTCATGATTCTGTTGGTGGTTCTTTTACTCTGTTTGGCATTGAATGGGATCACTCATGTGACTGCATTCAGTTGGCAAATCAGCTGGAGGGTGGACTCACTGCGGGTGCTCGGACAGCTGGGTCTGGATATCCAAGATGATTTCACTTGGATGTCTAGGTCTCCTGGCCTCCCATCTCAGCCCTCCTAGTAGTTGGGATTACAGGTGCTTCCAAGTAGTTGGGATTACAGGTGCACGCCGCCACACCTTGATTTCACTCACATATCTGATGCCTCAGCTGGGAGTGGTGAAACAACTGGAAACTATCTGAGCCACCCTACTAAACCGCTCCCAAGGTAGCCAGATCTCTGTCCATGGTGATTCAGGGCTCCAAGAAAGAGCAAGTGGAAGCTGCAAATCTCTTCAGGCCCAGTCTCAAAAGGTACAAAGCATTCTAACAACCAAAGCCCATCACAGGGTGGCCCAGTTTTAAGGGAAGGGGAAATATCTTTTATCTCTTGATGGAGGACATCCCATGGAAAAAGAGCACATGGGATAGGAGTTACTGGATCACCTTCTGGTTGTCTAGCATAAACTTGTTTCTGTCTATTGAGAAATTGAATTGTTTTTATCTTTTAAGTTTCACATGTAGTGCACCATGCAGGTCTGTCTGTACTTCAAGAAGGTGGACCTACCTCTGCAGAAGATGATCTCTAAATGTATTCCCAGTATCTGCAGCATTGATAGATACCGGGCAGACTGGTGTAGGGTGGCGCAGATAATTATTTATATTACCTGTGTGTCTTAAAATTTTAAGGGTAAACAGTAAGTTTTGCCCTCCTTCTTCTGTATCTACAATTGTGCCTACACTTTAAATTATAACACACATACATAATATAAATTGTCCTTGCAGAAGGTAAAGTTAACACAATATCATTTTCTGTCTTCTGAACAGTGATCTTCACATTATTCAACTACCCATTGAATATTTCTTCATCTTCCTTTGTATTATTATCTTGAGCTTTCATTTCATTTTTTAAAATAAAACATATAGGCCTTAGGCAATTATTCTGCATTATACAGGGAGTGTACTTTTATCTTTCAGCATAATTGTGCTATTCCTATTTACTCACTTGTTTTCTTCTGCTCCTTCCCATTACTTTGAAGTCTCTGCATGTCTCTTAAATCTGGTAATTTATATTTTTCACACTTACGTGTATTAAATGATACATGAATTGTTTGTACCATTTTTCATGTTATGAGCTCTCTCTTCTACTGGGTTCAGAGTATAGTTTACTTCATCTGTATTAGTTATCTATTGCTGTATTAACAAATGACTCCAAAATTTCATGGCTTAAAACAACTATAAGCATTTATTATCTTGCACAGTTTTTATGGATTAGAAATTTGGAAGCAACTTAGCTTATGTTTCTGATGAGGTTGCAGTCAAAATGTTGGCCTGGGATGTAGTAATCTGAAGGCTTGACTGGAGCTGGAGGGTTCACTTTCAATGGTTCACCAAAATGGTTGTTGGCAAATGGGTATTGGCTGTTGGTAGGAAGCCTCAGTCCCTAAGTGTGTGGATGTCTCCACAGGACTGCTTGAGGGTTCTCACAACATGGTGGCTGGCTTCCCCCAGAGCAAGTCATCCAAGAGAATGCAAGGTGGAAGATGCAGTGCGTCTTATGACCTACTCTCAGAAGTCATACTTCATCATTTCCACAATATCCTGTTGGTTGCAAAGGTCAGCCCTATGTTGTGAAGGAAGCAACTACACATGGGTGTGATTACCAGAAGGTGAGGATCATTGCGAGACATTTAGAGGCTGGCTACTGAACCATCTATTGAGTTTTTTCTTTCAGTGACTATGTATTTCTAAATTTTTAAGACTTTTTTTTCTTTCTTTTTTTTTTTTTTTTTGAAACAGAGTCTCACTCTGTTGCCTAGGCCTGAGTGCAGTGACTTGATCTCATCTCACTGCAGCCTTGACCTCCTGGGCTGAAGCGATCCTCCCACCTCAGTCTCCTGAGTAGATGGGAATACAGGTGTGTGCCACCATGCCTGGCTAATTTTTGTATATATATATTTTTTTCTTTTTTTTGGTAGAAGCGAGGTTTTTGTCATGTTGCCCAGGCTGGTCTCAAACTCCTGGGCTCAAGCCATCTATCTGCCTGCCTCAGCCTCCCAAAGTGTTGGGATTACAGGCGTGAGCCACCAAGCCTGGCAAAGACTTTAAACTGGTTTATTTTCTCGCCTGGTCGTTCTTGTTTAACACCTCCCTGCTGTTTTTCTTCTTTTTTTTTTCAATTCTTGTCCTTTAAAAAATAGATGTTATTCTCATTTCATCTCTTTGACAATCCTAAACATAAGAAATCTGAAGTCTTTCACATGGTGTTATCATTTTTATTTTACCAGACTAAATTGGTCTTTTGACCATTGATATTGTTATCTGTCTTTCTTAGTTTTCTTTGTATGTTTTGGAATTTGGGGTTGCAAGGCACTTTTTTTTTTTTTTTGAGACAGTCTCACTGCACTGGAGTGCAGTGGTCAGATCTCAGCTCACTGGCAACCTCTGCCTCCCAGGTTCAAGTGATTCTCCTGCTTTAGCCTCCCAAGTAGCTGGGACTACAGGCACGTGCCATCATGCCTGGGTAATTTTTGTATTTTTAGTAGAGACAGTGTTTGACCCTGTTGGCCAGGCTGGTCTCGAACTCCTGACCTCAAGTGATCCGCCTGCCTTGTCCTCCCAAAGTGCTGGGATTACAGGTGTTAGCCACTGTGCCTGGCCTGCAAGGCACTTTTTAAAAATTTTTTTTGGTCAAGTTAATTGAGTACATATGTAAAAGTCACCCTTTTGGGTGTTTAGTTCAAAGAGTTTTGGCAAATATATATGATTCCGTAACCACTACCACAATCAACATAAACACTATTTCCATCACCTCAGAAATTTCCCTCCTGCGCCTTTATAGTCTGTCTTCTTCTCAAACTCTAAGCCCTGGCAATCACTGATATAGTTTCTGGACCTTTAGTTTTGCCTATTTTAGAGCATCATATAGTATGACATAAAGTGTATAGTTTTTAGTGAATGGCCTCTATCGTTTAGAATGCTTTTGAGTTCACCAGTGTTGTCTGTATCTATAGTTTGTTCCTGTTTATTGTAGAGTAGTATTCCATTGTACGTGTGCACCATGATGTGTTTATCCATTCACTAGTTGATGGTCATTTGGGTTGTTTCCAGTTTTGGCAATTACGAATACAGCTGCTGTAAACATTCACATACAGGTGTTTGGATGTATATGTCTTTATTTCTCTTAAGTAAACACCTAGGAGTAGGGTTATAGGTCTATGGTAAACATATGTTTAACTTTTTTTTTTTTTTTTTTTGCCAATTAAGGAATTTATTTTTTTTTTTTTATACTTTAAGTTTTAGGGTACATGTGCACATTGTGCAGGTTAGTTACATATGTATAAATGTGCCATGCTGGTGCGCTGCACCCACTAACTCGTCATCTAGCATTAGGTATATCTCCCAATGCCACCCCTCCCCCCTCCCCCCACCCCACCACAGTCCCCAGAGTGTGATATTCCCCTTCCTGTGACCATGTGATCTCATTGTTCAATTCCCACCTATGAGTGAGAATATGCAGTGTTTGGTTTTTTGTTCTTGCGATAGTTTACTGAGAATGATGGTTTCCAATTTCATCCATGTCCCTACAAAGGACATGAACTCATCATTTTTTATGGCTGCATAGTATTCCATGGTGTATATGTGCCACATTTTCTTAATCCAGTCTATCATTGTTGGACATTTGGGTTGGTTCCAAGTCTTTGCTATTGTGAATAATGCCGCAATAAACATACGTGTGCATGTGTCTTTATAGCAGCATGATTTATAGTCATTTGGGTATATACCCAGTAATGGGATGGCTGGGTCAAATGGTATTTCTAGTTCTAGATCCCTGAGGAATCGCCACACTGACTTCCACAATGGTTGAACTAGTTTACAGTCCCACCAACAGTATAAAAGTGTTCCTATTTCTCCACATCCTCTCCAGCACCTGTTGTTTCCTGACTTTTTAATGATTGCCATTCTAACTGGTGTGAGATGGTATCTCATTGTGGTTTTGATTTGCATTTCTCTGATGGCCAGTGATGGTGAGCATTTTTTCATGTGTTTTTTGGCTGCATAAATGTCTTCTTTTGAGAAGTGTCTGTTCATGTCCTTCGCCCACTTTTTGATGGGGTTGTTTGTTTTTTTCTTGTAAATTTGTTTGAGTTCATTGTAGATTCTGGATATTAGCCCTTTGTCAGATGAGTAGGTTGCGAAAATTTTCTCCCATTCTGTAGGTTGCCTGTTCACTGTGATGGTAGTTTCTTTTGCTGTGCAGAAGCTCTTTAGTTTAATTAGATCCCATTTGTCAATTTTGGCTTTTGTTGCCATTGCTTTTGGTGTTTTAGACATGAAGTCCTTGCCCACGCCTATGTCCTGAATGGTAATGCCTAGGTTTTCTTCTAGGGTTTTTATGGTTTTAGGTCTAACGTTTAAATCTTTAATTCATCTTGAATTGATTTTTGTATAAGGTGTAAGGAAGGGATCCAGTTTCAGCTTTCTACATATGGCTAGCCAGTTTTCCCAGCACCATTTATTAAATAGGGAATCCTTTCCCCATTGCTTGTTTTTCTCAGGTTTGTCAAAGATCAGATAGTTGTAGGTATGCGGCATTATTTCTGAGGGCTCTGTTCTGTTCCATTGATCTATATCTCTGTTTTGGTACCAGTACCATGCTGTTTTGGTTACTGTAGCCTTGTAGTATAGTTTGAAGTCAGGTAGTGTGATGCCTCCAGCTTTGTTCTTTTGGCTTAGGATTGACTTGGCGATGCGGGCTCTTTTTTGGTTCCATATGAACTTTAAAGTAGTTTTTTCCAATTCTGTGAAGAAAGTCATTGGTAGCTTGATGGGGATGGCATTGAATCTGTAAATTACCTTGGGCAGTATGGCCATTTTCACGATATTGATTCTTCCTACCCATGAGCATGGAATGTTCTTCCATTTGTTTGTATCCTCTTTTATTTCCTTGAGCAGTGGTTTGTAGTTCTCCTTGAAGAGGTCCTTCACATCCCTTGTAAGTTGGATTCCTAGGTATTTTATTCTCTTTGAAGCAATTGTGAATGGGAGTTCACTCATGATTTGGCTCTCTGTTTGTCTGTTGTTGGTGTATAAGAATGCTTGTGATTTTTGTACATTGATTTTGTATCCTGAGACTTTGCTGAAGTTGCTTATCAGCTTAAGGAGATTTTGGGCTGAGATGATGGGGTTTTCTAGATAAACAATCATGTCGTCTGCAGACAGGGACAATTTGACTTCCTCTTTTCCTAATTGAATACCCTTTATTTCCTTCTCCTGCCTGATTGCCCTGGCCAGAACTTCCAACACTATGTTGAATAGGAGCGGTGAGAGAGGGCATCCCTGTCTTGTGCCAGTTTTCAAAGGGAATGCTTCCAGTTTTTGCCCATTCAGTATGATATTGGCTGTGGGTTTGTCATAGATAGCTCTTATTATTTTGAAATACGTCCCATCAATACCTAATTTATTGAGAGTTTTTAGCATGAAGGGTTGTTGAATTTTGTCAAAGGCTTTTTCTGCATCTATTGAGATAATCATGTGGTTTTTGTCTTTGGCTCTGTTTATATGCTGGATTACATTTATTGATTTGCATATATTGAACCAGCCTTGCATCCCAGGGATGAAGCCCACTTGATCATGGTGGATAAGCTTTTTGATGTGCTGCTGGATTCGGTTTGCCAGTATTTTATTGAGGATTTTTGCATCAATGTTCATCAAGGATATTGGTCTAAAATTCTCTTTTTTGGTTGTGTCTCTGCCCGGCTTTGGTATCAGAATGATGCTGGCCTCATAAAATGAGTTAGGGAGGATTCCCTCTTTTTCTATTGATTGGAATAGTTTCAGAAGGAATGGTACCAGTTCCTCCTTGTACCTCTGGTAGAATTCGGCTGTGAATCCATCTGGTCCTGGACTCTTTTTGGTTGGTAAACTATTGATTATTGCCACAATTTCAGCTCCTGTTATTGGTCTATTCAGAGATTCAACTTCTTCCTGGTTTAGTCTTGGGAGAGTGTATGTGTCAAGGAATTTATCCATTTCTTCTAGATTTTCTAGTTTATTTGCGTAGAGGTGTTTGTAGTATTCTCTGATGGTAGTTTGTATTTCTGTGGGATCGGTGGTGATATCCCCTTTATCATTTTTTATTGTGTCTATTTGATTCTCCTCTCTTTTTTTCTTTATTAGTCTTGCTAGCGGTCTATCAATTTTGTTGATCCTTTCAAAAAACCAGCTCCTGGATTCATTGATTTTTTGAAGGGTTTTTTGTGTCTCTATTTCCTTCAGTTCTACTCTGATTTTAGTTATTTCTTGCCTTCTGCTAGCTTTTGAATGTGTTTGCTCTTGCTTTTCTAGTTCTTTTAATTGTGATGTTAGGGTGTCAATTTTGGATCTTTCCTGCTTTCTCTTGTGGGCATTTAGTGCTATAAATTTCCCTCTACACACTGCTTTGAATGCGTCCCAGAGATTCTGGTATGTTGTGTCTTTGTTCTCGTTGGTTTCAAAGAACATCTTTATTTCTGCCTTCATTTCGTTATGTACCCAGTAGTCATTCAGGAGCAGGTTGTTCAGTTTCCATGTAGTTGAGCGGCTTTGAGTGAGATTCTTAATCCTGAGTTCTAGTTTGATTGCACTGTGGTCTGAGAGATAGTTTGTTATAATTTCTGTTCTTTTACATTTGCTGAGGAGAGCTTTACTTCCAACTATGTGGTCAATTTTGGAATAGGTGTGGTGTGGTGCTGAAAAAAACATATATTCTGTTGATTTGGGGTGGAGAGTTCTGTAGATGTCTATTAGGTCCGCTTGGTGCAGAGATGAGTTCAATTCCTGGGTATCCTTGTTGACTTTCTGTCTCATTGATCTGTCTAATGTTGACAGTGGGGTGTTAAAGTCTCCCATTATTAATGTGTGGGAGTCTAAGTCTCTTTGTAGGTCACTCAGGACTTGCTTTATGAATCTGGGTGCTCCTGTATTGGGTGCATATATATTTAGGATAGTTAGCTCCTCTTGTTGAATTGATCCCTTTACCATTATGTAATGGCCTTCTTTGTCTCTTTTGATCTTTGTTGGTTTAAAGTCTGTTTTATCAGAGACTAGGATTGCAACCCCTGCCTTTTTTTGTTTTCCATTTGCTTGGTAGATCTTCCTCCATCCTTTTATTTTCAGCCTATGTGTGTCTCTGCACGTGAGATGGGTTTCCTGAATACAGCACACTGATGGGTCTTGACTCTTTATCCAACTTGCCAGTCTGTGTCTTTTAATTGGAGAATTTAGTCCATTTACATTTAAAGTTAATATTGTTATGTGTGAATTTGATCCTGTCATTATGATGTTAGCTGGTGATTTTGCTCGTTAGTTGATGCAGTTTCTTCCTAGTCTCGATGGTCTTTACATTTTAGCATGATTTTGCAGCGGCTGGTACCGGTTGTTCCTTTCCATGTTTAGCGCTTCCTTCAGGAGCTCTTTTAGGGCAGGCCTGGTGGTGACAAAATCTCTCAGCATTTGCTTGTCTGTAAAGTATTTTATTTCTCCTTCACTTATGAAGCTTAGTTTGGCTGGATATGAAATTCTGGGTTGAAAATTCTTTTCTTTAAGAATGTTGAATATTGGCCCCCACTCTCTTCTGGCTTGTAGGGTTTCTGCTGAGAGATCCGCTGTTAGTCTGATGGGCTTCCCTTTGAGGGTAACCCGACCTTTCTCTCTGGCTGCCCTTAACATTTTTTCCTTCATTTCAACTTTGGTGAATCTGACAATTATGTGTCTTGGAGTTGCTCTTCTCGAGGAGTATCTTTGTGGCGTTCTCTGTATTTCCTGAATCTGAACGTTGGCCTGCCTTGCTAGATTGGGGAAGTTCTCCTGGATAATATCCTGCAGAGTGTTTTCCAACTTGGTTCCATTCTCCGCATCACTTTCAGGTACACCAATCAGACGTAGATTTGGTCTTTTCACATAGTCCCATATTTCTTGGAGGCTTTGCTCATTTCTTTTTATTCTTTTTTCTCTAAACTTCCCTTCTCGCTTCATTTCATTCATTTCATCTTCCATTGCTGATACCCTTTCTTCCAGTTGATCGCATCGGCTCCTCAGGCTTCTGCATTCTTCACGTAGTTCTCGAGCCTTGGTTTTCAGCTCCATCAGCTCCTTTAAGCACTTCTCTGTATTGGTTATTCTAGTTATACATTCTTCTAAATTTTTTTCAAAGTTTTCAACTTCTTTGCCTTTGGTTTGAATGTCCTCCCGTAGCTCAGAGTAATTTGATCGTCTGAAACCTTCTTCTCTCAGCTCGTCAAAGTCATTCTCCATCCAGCTTTGTTCCATTGCTGGTGAGGAACTGCGTTCCTTTGGAGGAGGAGAGGCGCTCTGCGTTTTAGAGTTTCCAGTTTTTCTGTTCTGTTTTTTCCCCATCTTTGTGGTTTTATCTACTTTTGGTCTTTGATGATGGTGATGTACAGATGGGTTTTCGGTGTGGATGTCCTTTCTGTTTGTTAGTTTTCCTTCTAACAGACAGGACCCTCAGCTGCAGGTCTGTTGGAATACCCTGCCGTGTGAGGTGTCAGTGTGCCCCTGCTGGGGGGTGCCTCCCAGTTAGGCTGCTCCGGGGTCAGGGGTCAGGGACCCACTTGAGGAGGCAGTCTGCCCGTTCTCAGATCTCCAGCTGCGTGCTGGGAGAACCACTGCTCTCTTCAAAGCTGTCAGACAGGGACATTTAAGTCTGCAGAGGTTACTGCTGTCTTTTTGTTTGTCTGTGCCCTGCCCCCAGAGGTGGAGCCTACAGACGCAGGCAGGCCTCCTTGAGCTGTGGTGGGCTCCACCCAGTTCGAGCTTCCCGGCTGCTTTGTTTACCTAAGCAAGCCTGGGCAATGGCGGGCTCCCCTCCCCCAGCCTTGCTGCCGCCTTGCAGTTTGATCTCAGACTGCTGTGCTAGCAATCAGCGAGATTCCGTGGGCGTAGGACCCTCCAAGCCAGGTGTGGGATATAGTCTCGTGGTGCGCCGTTTTTTAAGCCGGTCTGAAAAGCGCAGTATTCGGGTGGGAGTGACCCGATTTTCCAGGTGCATCCGTCACCCCTTTCTTTGACTCGGAAAGGGAACTCCCTGACCCCTTGCGCTTCCCAGGTAAGGCAATGCCTCGCCCTGCTTCGGCTCGCGCACGGTGCGCACACCCACTGGCCTGCGCCCACTGTCTGGCACTCCCTAGTGAGATGAACCTGGTACCTCAGATGGAAATGCAGAAATCACCCGTCTTCTGCGTCGCTCACGCTGGGAGCTGTAGACCGGAGCTGTTCCTATTCGGCCATCTTGGCTCCTCCCCCAACATATGTTTAACTTAAGAAACTGCCGAACTGTTTCTAAGGAGACTGTACCATTTTGCATTCCTACCAGTAATGCTTGAGTGTTCTACTTGCTCTGCAGTTTTACCACCATTTGGCATATTCAATCTTTGTAATTTTAGCCATATTAATAGGTATGTAGTTGTATTTCATTTTAGTTCTAATTTGCATGTCTCTAATGACTAATGATGTTGACCATCTTTTTACGTATTTAACTTGCTATCCATATTTATTTTTTGGTAAAGTATCTGTCTAAATCCTTTTAGCATTTTTAAAAATGGGGTTATTTGTATTCTTGAATTGTAAAAATTCCTTATATATTCTGGATACAAGTCTTTTATCAGATGTGTTTTGCACTAATTTTTCTAGTATCTCATTTTTCTTAATAGTAAGTATTGGCTTAGTAATAGTAATAGTAATAATAGCTTAGTGATAGTAAGTAATGGCTTAGTATCTCATTTTTCTTAATAGTGTGTTTTGAAAAACAGACACTTAAAATGGGTATAAAGTCCATTTTACCAATTTTTTTGGTTCATGCTTTTAGTATCCTTTCTGAAAAATCTTTGCCTAACACAGAATTACAAGGATTTTTTTCTAGTGTGGAAAAGGAACATGGTTTTTGTATATGATGCAAGATAATGGTTAAAGGAAATGTCATGTGGCTATTTCTTCTAGTATCATTTGTTGAAAAGACTCTCTCCTCTCTCCTTTTAATTACCTGGACATCTTTTCATACTCACTAGGATGGCTGTAGTCAAAGAGATGGACAATAATAACAAGCATTATATGAAAAAATTGAAGGTCTCATACATTGCTGGTGGAAATGTAAAATTGTGCAGCCACTGTGGAAAACAGTTGGGTAGTTCTTCAAAAAGTTAAATATAGAGTTATTATATGACCCAGAAGTTCTACTCCTAAATAGATACCTAAGAAAATGGACAAGTCCACACAAAAACTTTTACATGAATGTTCATAGCACCATTATTTATAATAATCAAAGAGTGAAACAACGCAAAAGCTCATCAACTAACTGATGAATGGATAAACACAATTTGGTATATCCGTATAGTGGAATATCATTCAGGCATAAAAAGAAATGAAGTACAAACATATGCTACAGCATGGATGGACCTTGAAGACATTGTGCTAAGTGAAAGAAGCTAGACACAGAAGGTCACATGTTATAGGAATCCATTCATATGAAATATTCAGAATAGGCAAAATCATGGAAACAAAGTAGACTATTGGTTGCAAAGGGCGATTGGGAGAGTACAATGGGGAATTACTGCTAATAGGTACAGGCTTTCTGTTTGAGGTGATGAAACTGTTCTGGAATTAAATGGTGCTAATAGTTCCACAACTCTGTGAATATAGTAAAAAAAAACGCTGAATTGTACACTTTAAAGTGGTTAATTTTGTGGCATGTGAATTACTTCTCAATTTTTTAAAAAGTTTGGAAAAATGGAGAAATACTGCCTGCTCTTTAACAACACTACTATTAGCATTCTTTTTTGTTGTTGTTGTTGTTTTTTGAGATGAAGTCCGGCTCTGTCACCCTGGCTGGAATGCAGTGGTATGATCTCAGCTCACTGCAACCTCTGCCACCCGGGTTCAAGTGATTCTCCTGCCTCAGCCTCCCAAGTAGCTGGGATTACGTGCTCCCACCACCACTCCTGGCTAATTTTTGTGTTTTAATAGAGACAAGGTTTTATCATGTTGGCCAGATTGGTCTCGAATTCCTGACCTCAGGTAATTCACCCACCTTGGCCTCCCAAAGTGCTGGGAATATAGGCATGAGCCATCGCACCTGGCCACATTCTTATTTTTAAATGTATAACTTAAAATATATATACATAGATGTAAATAGTTTAAATAAACTTGTTTCATAAAATATTAGATCATTTATCATTATCATGTTCTGTGTTGTCCCCTAGTCTCTGTATTCATAATCATAAAGAGCTCAGTAAATAAATACTGATGATTTACTGATCAGTTCCCTTACTATTAGACATACAGGCTACTTATAGTTTTCCATTAGTTTAAACAACATTGCAAATGAACTTCTTGTGTATATAACATTTTTAAATAATTGCAATTCTTTCTTCTGGAAGGTTCTCTAAAGTACAATGAATGGGTCAGAGTAGAACTACAGGATCAAAACTTTTTGATTAAAGCCCAGCACAATGGTACCTGTCTGTAGTCTCAGCTACTGGGAAAGCTGAGGAGGGAGGATCCCTTGAGCCCAGGAGTTCGAGACCTGCTTGGGCAACATAGTGAGACCCTATCCCCAAAACAACAACAATAATAAAACAACTCTTCAATTTGTGTTTCCACAGTTGTTACCCGAAGAGTTAATTAGCTTTGAGTCTGGCCAGTTCCCTTGATACCCATCCCTGATATTATGCACAAAGGTGGGGGAAGGGAAAAGGTGGTAACTGCTCTCTAACTTGAGAGAACTCTGGATGATCAAGGAGTAGGGAATGGTCAGCTGGTTGAGCTAAGCAGCAGTGCAGCAGAGAGCTCCAGGAATAGTCCGTTACTTAAACTTACAAGGGCTTCTCAGTCCTCTTTGGTTGACTAAGGCCCCTACTTGGGCAAAGTTGAAGTTCATGGAGTTCCAGCAATCTGTTAACTTCCTTGAGAGACTAGACACTGGTTCAAATACCCAGACTCAAAGTAATCACCATGCAAGCAGAGGCTATGAAAAGATAGTATACAAAAAATACTAGTAGCCAATAAACATGGAAAAAGGTATTCAGCCTCACTCATACTTAAAGAAATGCAGAGCAAAGCAATGGGGGAATGACTGCCAATGGGTACAGGGTTTTTTTAGGGGGAGGGTGATAGAAATGTTCTGGAATTAGCAGTGATGGTTGCACAACTCTTTGAATATACTAAAAACCACTGAATTACACTGTTTTAAAAGGTGAATTTTATGGCATGTGTATTATATCTCGACTTTAAATAGTGGGAAAAAATAAATTAACCAAAAGACATTAACAAAATGATATAAGACACGAATAGCATGAATCATAATTAGAAAAAAATCAGAAATGAGGTGATAGAACTCAACAAAGAATTACAAGTAGAAAAATATATTTTATAAACTAAGACTAAAGCAGAAGGAACCGAAGAATGGATAAACTCAACACATAATGCTTTAATGAGAAATGAAGGTGAAAAGGAAGAAACTTTTTTTTTTTTTGAGACGGAGTCTCACTCTGTTGGCCCAGGCTAGAGTGCGGTGATGTGATCTCAGTTCACTGCAACCTCTGCCTCCTGGGTTTGAGTGATTCTCATGTCTCAGCCTCCCAGAAACTTTTAAACATCAAAATGAGGAAAGATCAAAAGGATTTGAAACAATGACTAGTATTGAAGATAAGTAAGGAAGATACAATATACAGATAAAAGAAGCCCCTGAAGAAAACAAGGGAATGAAACAAATACAAACAGTGTAATTTAAGAAACGTTTACAGAACCTTAAAAAAGCAAAATATTGCATATTGAAATAGTGGATCGTGTGGCTGAGAACATCAACCTAGAATGACCCACTTCAAGGCATATTTTTCATCAAAATACTGGATGTTAAAGAAAAAGAAAACATTTTTTAGGTATTTAGGCAAAAACAAAAACATGACCTTTATATCATTAGGAGAATAAAATTATGTTCTTACACTGATAGTAATGCTTTATGCCAGGAGAACATGGACTACCATGTTTCAGATATCAAGGAAAGCACATATGATCCAAGGACTTCGTATTAAGCAGAACTGGCTTTCAAGTATAAAGGGCATAGCAAGCAGCTATTAGCAATTAAAGAACTCAGAAAATATTGTTCCCAGCAGTTTTCCCTAAGAAATTTAGAGAATGAGGTTCAGTCAACTAGAGTAGGGAGATTGTAGTATGTGATGGCTATAGGATCTGACAATGAAGATAGAGTAAACCAATAAAAATTGAAAAAAAATTGATTGCATATTTTAAAGTATATTTCTGAACCCTATTTTGTTCTATTCATCTAATATGTCTGTTTTTATATAAATATCATTCTCTTGACTACTATTGGCAATTTTATAAGTCTTGATGTCAGGTATTGTGAATATTCTAATTTTTTTTTTTTCTAAGCTGCTTAGGCTATTCTAGGTCCTGTGCATTTCTATACAAATTTCAGATTCTTCTTCTTAATTTGTGCAGAAAGGCCTGCTAGGATTTTGATTAAGACTGGGTGGAATCTATAGGTCAATTGGAAGAGAACTGACAATAATATCGAGTCTTCTGACTCATAGTTTAACTCTCCATTTATTTAGCTCTTCTTTAATTTTCCTTATCAGTATATTGTGATTTTCAGCATATAAATATTGTGCTTATTTTGTTAGATTCATAGCTAAGTATTTTATGGTTTTGATGCTTTTGTAAATGCTACTGTTTTTTAAATTCTAATTTCAATTGTTTATTGCTCTTATTTTTTTTTAACTTTTTTTTTTTTGAGATGAAGTGTCGCCCTTGTCCCCCAGGCTGGAGTGTGATGCGTAATCTCGGCTCACTGCAACCTCTGCCTCCTGGGTTCAAGTGATTCTCCTGCCTCTGCCCCCCACTGAGTAGCTGGGATTACAGGCACCTGCCACCACGACCAGCTATTTTTTGTATTTTTAGTAGAGACCGGGTTTTACCATGTTGGCCAGGCTGGTCTAGAACTCCTGACCTCAGGTTATCCACCCACCTCGGCCTCCCAAAGTGCTGGGATTACAGGTGTGAGCCACCACACCTGGCCATTTATTGCTCTTATATAGAAATACAACAGATTTTTGTATATTGACCTTGTATCCTATGGCCTTAATAAACTCATTTATTAGTTCTTTTGTAGATTATTTGGGACTTTATGTGTAGATACTCATGTCATCTGTGAATAAATATTGCTTTATTTCTTCCTTTCCAGTATATATGCTTTTTATTTTTCTTTCTTGGCTATTACATAGGTTAGCACCTGCAGTAAAACCTTGAGTAGAAGTGGTAAAACGACATTCTTGTGGAGGAAAGCATTCAGGCTTTCCCATTGAGTATGATGTTAGTTATAGGTTTTTTTGTAGATACCTTTTATTAGGTATCAGAAATTCCTTGTATTTTTAGTTTGTTAAGAGATTTTTATTGTGAATGGATGTTGAATTTTGTCAGATGATTTTTCTTCATCTATCGAAATGATATTTCTTTTCTAGCCACTTGACATGGTGAACTACATTGGTTTATTTTTCAAAAGTTAAAACAACCTTGCATTCCTAGGATAAACCCCACTTAGCCATGACATAATATCTTTGTTGTGTATATTTGGATTGGATTTGCTGATATTTTGTTAAAGATTTTTGCATCTGTGTTCACAAGGATATTCGTCTTTTTCTGGTTTTGGCAATACTGGCCTTATAAAATGTGTTAGGAAGCATTCCCTTCTCTTATGTGCTGGAAGAGTTTTTGTTGAGTTTCTATTCATTCTTCTATACATTTTTGGGTAGAATTCACAAGTGAAACCATCTAGTCCTGGAGTTTCCTTTGTGGGAAAGTTTTTAACTACAAGTGTGATTTATTTCATAGACATTGGGCTATTAAGCTAACTTATTTCTTCTTAAATGAGCTTTGCTATTTTGTCCAGTTTATGGGCATGAAGTATTTCATAATATTGTTATCTCATTAGCATCTGTGGGGTCTGTGGTGATGTCTCCCATTACATTACTGATATTGATAATTTGTGTCTTTTTTCTTTTTTGCTTTATTGGTCTGGTTAGAGAGCTATCAATTGTATTGATATTTTTAAAGAACCAGCTTTTGGTTTTATTGATTTTTCTCTATTTTTATGTTTTTAATTTTATTCATTTCTCCTCTAATCTTTATTGTTAGTTTTTAAATTTCTGTTGGCTTTAGGTTTAATTTGCTCTTCCTAATGACTTTAATTCATTCAGACTCTTGCATTCCAGCTTATGCCCTCACTTCTCCACAGTGCAGCTGGAATCACAAAAGTCACTAATGACCTCCTAATTAGCAGTGGCATCATCACCAGTTGTTGCCTAGTTAGATGCCACTTCAGCATTTGAACCCTTTTTCTATGTACTTTCATATATAGCCTCTCTAATTTCACAGGTTATTTGAAAATCTTCCTCTTGATTTTCTACTCATTCCCTCTAAGGGAGCAGAATTATCTTTGATTAACTATTGCCTACTATTTCTAATGCAAGTTTCTAACACCCATTTTTTTTCCTCCCTGCCATTATTCTCTTCCTTTTTTCAGCTCCGTAAAACTCCCTCTGGTGCCTCATCATATATGATGCAAACTACTTTATCCATAATCCTGTCACCTAGATATAGACAACTCCTTGTCCTTGGTTTATGTAATTCCATAAAAACAGGCACACGTAAATTTTTTAACAAACATTTGATTGCAACATTCATTACTGCTTTGCAGTCCCTTTTCCCTCAATATATCATTTATGTATAATATCATTCTATATATAATTTACACTTATTTTTAAATATGTCATTTACATCTTTTCATATATATTTAAAACATTTTATTAGAGAGATTTTCAAACATACAAAAGTAAGCAGAATGTTATAATGGACCCTCCTGTACACATCACCCAGCTTTCATGGTTGTCAACTCAGGGCCAATCCTGTTTCATCTTCATCTGCACCCTGACCTACTTCTTTCCTCCTATGTTATATTGAGACAAGTCCCAAATATATCATTTCCTCCATCCATAAAAATTTGTAATGACTGTATGGTATCTAACTGTAAGGATGTACCATTATTTATATATTTAGATAATCCTGTTTTTGGACATTTGTGACTTTTAGTTTTATCATTCAAATTATAACACTACAACTGCTACCATAATATTTTTAAATAAATGAGTTACCACCAGCTTTTCACATTGCTTGAATATATTTTCTTATTTTTAGCCCTACAACATCCTGTAAAGTAGTCAGAACGGGTTATATTATCCACATTTTATACACAAGAATTTTAGAGTCCAGTGGCAAACTATTGGTAAATAGTAGAGTTTCCTAACTTAAAATTATTCATAAAAATAACACATATATATGGTAGAAATAGGCTGCTTAAAAAATTTCTATGTAACTATTCATTGAACACCTGTTAAGTATTAGATACTATGTTGGATGCTTTTCTGTTTATAAATGCTGTGAAATAAGTGTTGTATCATTTTACAGGTAGGGAGAGGAGACTCAGATAAGTTAAATAATGTACCCATCATCACATAGCTAGTATTGGAATCTGAGTTCCAATTTAGGTCTTGCCTTTAAGTTCAGTATTCTTTCCAGTTTTCCCTATATTCATATTTCAAGGATTACCTCCTTTTCATTAAGAAAGCAAGTAACTTTTGAGCCTGATTGCGCCTTCAAGACAACTTTACAATGTAGTTGGGAAGATAGTACAAGATAGGAAGTCAGTGCCATAGGAGCAGAAAAAAAGTTATTTGGCAGTGGTAAAAATAATGATACTGTCCTTCATATATGCATGGTACTTTAGGCATGACAGAGAGCTTTGTCATTTCATCAATAATTTGTAATATATTAAATATCTACTATGTAGAAAGACCTGTATTAGTTATGTAACAGTGAAGCAAGCTGACTTTTATCCTTCCTGTTATCACTAGAAACTATACATTTGAGGAGAAATCAGACAAGATATTTGCATAGTTCTCTTAAGAGAACTATTTTTTTCACTAGCAAAATTTTGTGCATTCTTCTGTTTCTCCTGGCAATCCTGACAATATTCAAAATCCAGGCTAAGTAAGGCTCCAGAAAAACCAAATTTCCCTGAAAATAGAATATAGTTATATTGTAGAAGTGACAATTGTCAGCATATTGCCAGTAGTGGAAGAATGTGGTATTGGCATGTGTTTGCTAGTTGGTTTTTGGTTTAGGGAATATTCTAGAGACATCCAAAAGACTTAATGCTTGTCCAGCTGCTTCTATATAGTGCCATAGTCTAAACAAGTAATTCAACAAAATGCTTTGAAACCACATTACTTGCTCATTAAACATTTGAAATATTTTCACAGAAATTAAATATGAGGTACTGAGAATGTACTTGCACAGTTATTTACATATCCAAATATTTGAAACCTCTTCCAGAATCTAGATCCCTGTAATAAACTGCCTTTTAAAATGCTGCCATGGGGCTGCGTGTGGTGGGTCATGCCTGTAATCTCAGCACTTTGGGAGGCTGAGGCATGTGGATCACCTGAAGTCAGGAGTTCAAGACCAGTCTGACCAATATGGTGAAACGCTGTCTCTACTAAAAATAAAAAAATTAGCTGGGCATGGTGGTGTGTACCTGTAGTCCCAGCTACTCAGTAGGCTGAGATAGGAGAATCACTTGAACCCGGGAGGCGGAGGTTGCAGTGAGCCGAAATTGTGCCACTGCACTCCAGCCTGGGTGACAAAGCAAGACTCCATTTCAAAAAAAAAAAAAAATGCTGCCATGTGGACAGGCAGTTAAATATGTGGCCATACATGGTGGCAACAAATGTTCTACACCTTTATTATCCAGTAGAAATATGTAAGCTACATGTGTAACTTAAAATATTCTAATAGACACATTAATAAAATTAAAAAGCAGGTGAAATTAATTTTAATAGTATATTTTATTTAATGCAAAATATCCAAAACATTATTTCAATGTGGAGTCAATATGAAATATTACTGAGATGTTTTACATCTTCATACTGTTTTCTAATAATATATGAATTATTGAATGAAGTACGTATTTTACACTTACACTGTATCAGAATTTGGACTAGCCACATTTCAAGTGCTCTTGGACAGCACAGGTCTATTATTCTCCAGGCCTCAGTCATTTTCTGAACCAACTGGAGGCAAGAAAACGAGTGTGTCATTGAAATAGTGTCCAAATGCCCTGAGCCGGTACAGGCCATACATCATTACTTCCATCTTTTGGGGGGTCAGTCCATTGAAAGTAATAGCCATATCTGAACAGCAGCCTTCTACTACTTGCTGAGGGTTATTAGACAATGCCTCTTCAATAAGCTGTGCGATTGGTTTTGTATTAAATACATCTCTTCCTTCATAATCCTCTGCATTTTCTGCATGAACTCCTGCATATTTCAGGCATATTGCCAGCTGCTTATCTTCAGATAACTTCCAAATCACACTTTGATCTGCACAGGTCTCAGAGTTATCGAGAAGTCTGTTAAGTCTTTTCATCAACTCTCTGCTTAAGACAATCCCTCCTTCCACAGTCACGTATTCGAGGTCTCCAAATATAACAGTGTGGCCCAGATAGAAGGGCTGGGATGCATCCCTTGTAAACAAAAGGTACTTTAAATTTTCAATGACAGCAAACGTAGTGGGAAGTGCAAGGAAGAACCAGTTGTAGTTGTCACCATACTTTTCAAAGACGTATTTGTAAGCGGTCCTCATCTGTACCCACCTGTCATTACTTTCTATATTGAACAAATTATCATTTTTAGTATCGTAGAGCTCTGCTTTGTCACAGTGTTTGGTCCAGGTCTCTTTCAGTACAGCCCAGTAACTCTCATCTTCGGATTCTCCAAAGATGATACAGAAAACACGAATACTTTTACTGAGCTCCAAGAGTATCACTTTTGAAGTGTTTAAGAAATCGTTCCTGTTAGGTGGACGAAGGTGATGGTGCTCGTGGTCTTGAGTTTGACCTCTGTGTCGAATGTGAATTTGGCCAAACATAGTTATCAAAACCCAGGAAATGCTCCCAAGCAACATACCCTTAAAAAATGATGTCCCACTAGCGGAAACCATTTTCCAGGCGTTAGGACAGTGTGCCAGGGTCAAAGGCAGCCTGGGACCGGGTCCTGGGGTCCCGCGCCTTCCGGAGCTGGCGGCTGCGCTCCCGGTTGGGCCACTCTAGCTGCGGGAGGTCGCTTCTCGGTGGCGTAGAGAAGGGGGCGGGGCAGGAGCGGGACGCGGCGGCCACTGCGGGTGGGGTCCGGGCTGCTGCGGGTGAGAGGTATACCAGGAGTTCTGCACGCCTGGCCTTCCAACCAGCAATAAAGTTGAAAATGAGCAGAGATGAGTCACAGACGGCTCTAAAGTGAGCCAGACATCAGCACTGAGCCAAAAAGAATAAAATTGAGTTTTACCTCACGATTTGTGTATTCAGCCCCTGGTACAACACATCCCGTATGTTGATTAGCATGGGGTCCTTCTTAAGGCTTTTAAAATTCTCCTTATAATATTCGTTTTAGTATTTGTGTGTCTGTGTGTTTAATCAAAGAATCTCTTCTATACTCTCTCCATCAGTCTGTAAGAATGTAAAACTACCCAGAGTTTATTTAAACCTAGCACCCACGGAGTTCATGAGAACACACCACTTCCTTGATGTCATTATGACTTTTTGATCAAGCGGTCAAATAGGACATTTGAAGCCTTTCTTTCCTCTTAGATTTATTTTCTTGTTCTTAATATATGTTAATCCATAATTTTTAATCTACAATCCACTGAAGAAAATTCTATTGATGAATACTCTTGAGGTATATATGTAGTCCTTGTATTAAAAGTATCGAAACTCTGGCATTTTGATCAACTTTTAAATATGCAAAGAGCCTTTAATGTGCTAACTGTATTTAACTCATCTCCAGTGAACTAGTTTAAAATATCCAAACTGATGATGACTTTATGAGTTTTTTTTTTTTTAATTGATCATTCTTGGGTGTTTCTCGCAGAGGGGGATTTGGCAGGGTCATAGGACAATAGTGGAGGGAAGGTCAGCAGATAAACAAGTGAACAAAGGTCTCTGGTTTTCCTAGGCAGAGGACCCTTCGGCCCTCTGCAGTGTTTGTGTCCCTAGGTACTTGAGATTACGGAGTGGTGATGACTCTTAACGAGCATGCTGCCTTCAAGCATCTGTTTAACAAAGCATATCTTGCAACGCCCTTAATCCATTTAACCCTGAGTGGACACAGCACATGTTTCAGAGAGCACAGGGTTGGGGGTAAGGTCACAGATCAACAGGATCCCAAGGCAGAAGAATTTTTCTTAGTACAGAACAAAATGAAAAGTCTCCCATGTCTACTTCTTTCCACACAGACACGGCAACCATCCGATTTCTCAATCTTTTCCCCACCTTTCCCCCATTTCTATTCCACAAAACCGCCATTGTCATCATGGCCCGTTCTCAATGAGCTGTTGGGTACACCTCCAAGACGGGGTGGTGGCCGGGCAGAGGGGCTCCTCACTTCCCAGTAGGGGTGGCTGGGCAGAGGCGCCCCTCACCTCCCGCACCGGGCAGCTGGCTGGGCGGGGGGCTGACCCCCCCCCACCTCCCTCCCGGACGGGGCGGCTGGCCGGGCGGGGGGCTGATCTCCCCACCTCCCTCCAGGACGGGGCGGCTGGCCGGGCGGGGGGCTGATCCCCCCACCTCCCTCCCAGACGGGGCGGCTGCCGGGCGGAGGGGCTCCTCACTTCTCAGACGGGGCGGTTGCCAGGCAGAGGGTCTCCTCACTTCTCAGACGAGGCGGCCTGGCAGAGACGCTCCTCACCTCCCAGACGGGGTCGCGGCCGGGCAGAGGCGCTCCTCACATTCCAGACCGGGCGGCGGGGCAGAGGCGCTCCCCACATCTCAGAAGATGGGTGGCCGGGCAGAGAGGCTCCTCACTTCCTAGATGGGATGGCGGCCGGGCAGAGATGCTCCTCACTTTCCAGACTGGGCAGCCAGGCAGAGGGGCTCCTCACATCCCAGACCATGGGCGGCCAGGCAGAGACGCTCCTCACTTCCCAGACGGGGTGGCGGCCGGGCAGAGGCTGCAATCTCGGCACTTTGGGCGGCCAAGGCAGGCGGCTGGGAGGTGGAGGTTGTAGCGAGCCGAGATCACGCCACTGCACTCCAGCCTGGGCACCATTGAGCACTGAGTGAACGAGGCTCCGTCTGCAATCCCGGCACCTCAGGAGGCCGAGGCTCGCAGATCACTCGCGGTTAGGAGCTGGAGACCAGCCCGGCCAACACAGCGAAACCCCGTCTCCACCAAAAAAATACGAAAACCAGTCAGGCGTGGCGGCGCGCGCCTGCAATCGCAGGCACTCGGCAGGCTGAGGCAGGAGAATCAGGCAGGGAGGTTGCAGTGAGCCGAGATGGCAGCAGTACAGTCCAGCTTCGGCTCGGCATCAGAGGGAGACCATGGAAAGAGAGGGAGAGGGAGACCGTGGGTAGAGGTGGAAGTGGAGGTGGAGGTGGAGGTGGAGGTGGAGGTGGAGGTAGAATTATGAGATTTTTAAAGCCTTTTTCAGAAAGGCTCATTTTTCAAAAATAAATTTTTGTATTTATATTTTCCCTCACTCTACAGATGCAACAGCTTGAGAGACAAGTTATTGATGCTGAACGTCAAGCAGAAAAAGCTTTTCAACAGGTAGAGTATAATTTTACTTTAAATTTTTTTTGCCTGTACTACTCACATAAAGATTGTTTTGCTCATAATGGAAAGACAATTATCAGCCCACCTCTACATCTTATCTTTTTGACTGTTCATAGCTTGATCCATAAAGAAAATGGAGAATCTAACTCTATTTTGTCCATTAACAAATTTTCAAAAGGAAAAAAAGGCTTCCATTAGGAAGGAAGTTTTATCTTACTTCTGAGAAAAATCAAATATGACTTTTATGGTAATACTAACTATATTTAAGTTTTGTATATAAATATGTTCATAGTTGCTTTATTTGTAGTTATAAAGAGTTGGAAATAATATGAATGCCATATTATAGAAGAATGAAAAAGTAAACTCTATCAACTCCATGAAATATTAGACAACCATTAAAATAATTGTTTCTAAGGATTTGCATTAATATGTAAAAATGCTTAGAGTTGTATTAGGAAAAGTCAAACCTAAGAGTTAAAAAAAAAGGCTGAGAGGAAACACCCCAAAATTTTAACAAATGTTTACAATTGTTTGAATTACGGAATCAGGAATGATTTTTTCCCTTTTTTTTTTTTTTTTTTTGAGACGGAATCTTGCTCTGTGGCCCAGGCTGGAGTGCAGTGGCGCGATCTTGGCTTACTGCAACCTCCGCCTCCCGGGTTCAAGTGATTCTCCTGCCTCAATCTCCTGAATAACTGGGATTACAGGTGCGCACCACCATACCCGGCTAATTTTTATATTGTTAGTAGAGATGGGGTTTGTTGGCCAGGATGGCCTCAAACTCCTGACCTCAGGTGATCCATCCACCTTGGCCTCCTAAAGTGCTGGGATTACAGGTATGAGGTATTGTGCCTGGCCCCCTATATTTTCATACTTTGAGTTTTTTAATATAACTTTTATTTATTAAAATTTTTAAATTTTGTAATGACAGGGTCTCACTATGTTGTCCAGGATGATCTTGAACTACTGGCTTCAAGTGATGCTCAGTGTCCCAAAGTGTTGGGATTACAGGTGTGAGCTCACTGTGCTCAGACAACTTTTATTATTTTTAAAAGATGTTTTCATAAGTCACATAACCCTTTCTGGGTCTTCCAGCATTAAAATGAGCAGTAAAATGATGGGTTTGGATGGGCCCACCCAGCCTTAAAGTTTAATGATTCTAAATCCATAGCTTCTCATTTCATGAAAAGATCTCAGTCATATTCAGTTTAATCAATGAGTTCCAGTGAGTTCTGGTGTTCTGCAGCACTATGGAGTAATATGGTTAACTATAATTTATTGCATATTTACAAAAAGCTTAAAGAGCCAGCTTTCTATATTTTCATAAAGCTAGAAGAGAGGATTTTGAATGTTCACAACACAAATAAATAGTAAATGTTTGAGGTGCTGGACATGCTAATTACCTTGATTTGATCATTACACATTGTATACACACATGGAAATATCCCTCTGTATCTCATAAATATGTACAATTATTATGTATCAACTAAAAACAAAAGAAAAAAAAGGCTTAAATACAAAATTATTTCTCCTAAGAAGTGCATATGAAATTCCTTATGCTTCCTCTAAGTTTGTCATGTTTCCTTCCTTCAACTTGAGTACTACCAAATCTTTTTCCTTTTTAATTTTTATTTTAGAAGGGTAAGGAGTCTGGCAACAAGGCTTTCCCCGTTGCTGCACTGCTGTTCTTTCCACTAATTTTGGAAGTTGCAGTGTCTGTTTGTTTAGTGGTTTGGCTTTCTGGCTGCTCAAAATTGAAGTCAAGTAAGCCTTCCGAAGGAAATTTATCACTTGTAAATCTTTCAGAAGGACCTCTATATGTGGCAGCCGTACAAAGTTTGTCATTCCAAGTTTCTCATTTTCTTGACACTACCAATTATATCTTTCTTGATTGTATTTGCTTGACTTATTTGATTTCTTGTTCCATAGCATAGTCACATCTTCCATTTGACAAGTAGAATTTCTGTTTCTGCCTGGTTGAAATTTATGTCCAGGGCCACTTTAGTTGCAATTATTTTTACTACATACACTGGATTTCTAGTTTCCGTTACTGTTGTTCATATGCCAACTGGAAAAGTCACCTGTTCCCTCAGAATGCCAACTGGAATTCCTTCCTGTACCATTATGATTCCAATCTACTGTTCCACTATTTGAATGCCAACCAACTCCAGAATTACTATGGTTGTGAAACCAAGTCAAGGAGCCTCCTGCAACACTCTAATGCCACTCAGAACATCCTTTTGGTCCACCACTATTCCTCAAAGAATACAGAAAGCTGTTTCTCCATGTATTATTAAAGCGATCTTTTTTCCAATTACAATCCTCCTGTGGAGGTCCAGGGTGATGCCATGCTGGCTGACTGTAACTCTGTCTGTGTTGGTGAGGAATTTGGTGTTCTCAGCTCCATTGGGGTCACCTGTCATCAGAATTTACTTCTTGGCTGCTACTGGAAGGTTCTTGTCGACTTTGTTCTTTCCTTTGTTTTATTAATTGAATGAGTTCCTTGTCAAAATAATCTTCTTCCTCTTCCTCTCCTTTTCCATCATCTTCTCTTTCCTGGGCATCAACGTTATCTTTGTGCAGCTGGCCAGAAATGTGCTTTGCGTATGCAGAAAGACTCACTTCTGTGGGCCCGCACCTTCGGCACTCATGACTAGTGCCTCTTTTTGGAGCTGTACACGATATGACACAATATGCATTTTTGTTCTCCTACCATAGTGACCAGATCTGAATCACTCAACCAAACGCTCTTACTCCATCAGGCCACTGAGGGCCAGGCAAGGGAGCTCCCTGATGCCCCAGACACCCCATTCAGTTTCGGGTCTGAGAGCCTACTCTGGACCCTCTCCCCACCAGGCCCCATCACCCTCAATTTTTATTTTAGATTCAGCAGATACATGAAAGTTTTAATTTTATAGGGTAGAGTAAGTGCCTAATAGATTTCTAAATAAGCCCAATGTAGCCTAATCTTTGATTTTTTTAATTATGCTTGAAAAGGAAATCTTACAACTTTATTAGGCAAGACTTTAAGCACATACAAGAGTAGAGAAAATAGTATAGTGAACCCGCATCACCCACTTCAACAATTAGTCAAGTCATGCCTCATCTGTACCTCCACCCACTTCCCCTGCCCCCCTCACACTGGACTATTGAAAAGCAAATCCCAGACATGGTATAATTTCATCCATTATTATATACTATACTAATCTGAAACCAAACACCCTTAAAAATCATAACCACAATACCATCATCACACCAAAAAATTACCAGTAATTCTTCAGTATATCAAAGATCTAGTCAGTATTCAGATTTTTCCAAATAGCTAATAATTGCTTCTGTGTTTTGTTCTTTAATCAAAGTGGAATTCACATAACATAAAATTAACTTTTTTTTTTGAGACAGTCTCACTCTGTCACCTGGGCTGGAGTGCAGTGGTGCCATCTCAGCTCACTGCCACCTCCACCTCCTGAGTTCAAGCGATTCTCCTGCCTCAGCCTCCCGAGTAGCTGGGACTATAGGCACCCACCACCACGCCTGGCTAATTTTTTGTATTTTTAGAGAGATGGGGTTTCACCATGTTGGCCAGGCTGGTCTCGAACTCCTGACCTTGTGATTTGCCCCCCTTGGCCTCCCAAAGTGCTGGGATTACAGGCATGAGCCACCGTGCCCAGCCAAAATTAACATTTTTAAATGAACATTTCAGTGTTGTGTACAATCATCACCTTTATCTAGTTCCAAAATGTCGAAAGGAAACTCATCTCAAAAGGAAACCTTATTCATTAAGCATTTAGTCCCATTTCCCCCTCCCACTAGCCCCTGGCAACCACCAATCTGCTTTCTGTTGCTATGGATTTACCTATTCTGGATATTTCATATAAATGGATTTATATACTATTTGATCTTTAGTGTCTGGCTTCTTTCATTTAGCAGAATGTTTTTGATATTTATCCACGTTGTAGCATGTGTCATGCTTTATTCCTCATTATGGCTGAATAATGTTCCATATATACACACACACACACACACACACAATTTGTTTATCCATTTGACTTTTTATGGACATTGTCTTTTTATGGACTTTCACTGCCCTCGATGTCTCCTGTGCCCTACCTATTCTACCTTTTCATCTTTTGACTATTGTGACTAGTGCTGTTAAGAACGTACATATATTTGTTTGAGTACCCCTTTTTAATTCTTTTATTTATATACCCTTTTTTTTTTTTTTTTTTTTGAGATGGAGTTTTGCTCTTGTTGCCCAGGCTGGAGTGCAATGGCACGATCTTGGCTCACCACAACCTCCGCCTCCCACGTTCAAGCCATTCTCCTGCCTCAGCCTCCCGAGTAGCTGGGATTACAGGCATCCACGCCTAGCTCATTTTGTATTTTTAGTAGAGATGGGATTTCTCTATGTTGGTCGGGCTGGTCTCAAACTCCTGATTTCAGGTGATCCGCCCACCTTGGCCTCCCAGAGTGCTGGTGTTACAGGTGTGAGCCACCTCGCCCGGCCCTCTTTTTTTTTGTTTTTAATAGTTAGTTTGTTCAAATTGGGATCTAAACTAGATTGATACATTTCATTTGATTCTTAAACTCTTTTAATTTATAGGGTCTTTTTTCCTTTTTTCTTTCAACTTATTTGTATGGGTTAATTTGTTCTCTAAAGCTTTCCACATTCTGGAGTTTGCCTATTGCATACCTATGATGTGATTTAACAAGCTCCTCTTCCCCTATATTTCCTGTAAAATATAGTTAGATCTAAAAATTTGACTTTTCTTTCTCTTTTTTCAAGACTACTTCTTGGGTGATATTGTTGACCTCCACCAGGAGGTGGATGTCTAGTTATCTCTCTCTCTCTCTTTTTTTTTTGGTGATATTAGCAGCCATTGATTACCTTGTTTAAATCAATGATTTCATCAGGGAGGTTATTGCTTTTTTAAAAACAGACTTTAATTTTTAGAGCAGTTTCAGATTTACAGCAAAATTGATGGTGTATGAAGTACAGAGCTTTCATATATCCTCTCCCCTCCAACACACATTCAAGCTTTCTTCACCATCAGCATCCAACACCAGAGTGGTACATTTATTACAACTGATGAACCAACACTGACACATCATTGTTACCCAAATCCCATAGTTTACATTAGTGTTTACTCTTGGTGTTTTATGTTCTATGGATTTTGACAAATGTATAATGCTGTGTATCCTCTTCTATAGTATCATATAGGATATGATACTATACTCCCCTTCCTTTTCCTTCTTTTCTCCTTCCCTTCTTTTCCCCTTCCTTTCCCTTCCCTTCTTTTTCCTTCATTGTCTTGTGTTTTCTGACTTTGGCCTTCCTAGTAGCATCTTTCTTTACCTCTGTACCCTGGCTGTGTCTATATGTCTCTATATGTAATCTATCTGTTCTTCCCTATCTTTCCCTTCCCTTCCTTTCTCTCCTTTAACTGCCCATATTATGGGAAAAAGAGAAAAAAATTGAGGATGGTTTTGTTTTGCCTTAATTTAAAATTCTTAATTCATAATATGTGGCAAATTTGTTTGTTTTTGAAAATTAAACTAAATTAAGTATTTTTTATTTGTGATTTTCAACTATCTACACCCGCCCCCCACCGACCCCTGCCCCACCCCAATTCCTTGGGTCTTATGAGATCCAGTGAGGAGTCTTTAAAAAAGGATCCTTGTTCCCGATTCAAGGGAAGCAAACCACAGAGGTTTGTTGCCATCAGGGCCAACCACTGGTCTTGGTAAGTTTGACAGGAAGGACTTCTCTCCTTTGAAGTTGTTCTTTGAGGATGTTGGGTATAAAGTTATTTAATTCTATGTGCTATATCTTTAAGCAAAAATACACCAGGATTGGTTATTTTAGACATACTGCTACTCCCATTACCAAAAAAAAAAAAAAAAAGAGAGAGAATTACAAATCTCTCAGAGTTTCCATGTGTTAGCAAAACCTGTAGGCATTTCTTTTTGTCACAACACTTTAAATTTATTTACTGCATATTTTGTTACACTTCAGAAGGACTTTTTTTCTTTACAATTACTTCATAATCTAAAAGTCGACAGGAAATACAGACAGCAGATGAATTCTCATGCACTGATGAAGTCACCTTTTTTGGCCTTTGCAAGACTAAGTGTTAATAACTTAGAGTAACTGAATCCTTCGCCATCTTTAACAATTTCCATGGGACTGTGGCCTATCTGATGTTTATGTTGCTGAAATCAGCTTGCCTTTTCTCATTCAACCATGTCCTAAGACTCAAACAACTGTATTTATCTTAACCAAAAAGGAATATTTTGCCACTAAAAGCAGTACTCAGCTAAAGCCAGTGCAACTCTATAGTTTAGCTTTGTACATTTTTCCCTTTGTTTATCAATGAATGGCATCACTTCTGTAACAATTAACTAAATTGTCTGCAGAAAAAAAGTCACAGATAAATATTTTATTGCCAGATAAATCTTGGTGATCTTTATACTTAATGTTCTAGTACATCTTTTTTTTGTTTGTTTGTCTTTTGAGACAGGGTCTTGCTCTGTCATCCAGGCTGGAGTGCAGTGATGCGATCTCAGCTCACTGCAACTTCTGTTTCCTGTGCTCAAGCAATCCTCCCACCTCAGCCTCTGGAGTAGCTAGGGCTGCAGGCATGTGCCACCACACCCAGTTAATGTTTTTTAACCTTTTTTTTTTTTTTTTGTAGAGACGATGTCTCACCACATTACCCAGATTAGTCTCGAACTTGTCAGCTCAAGCAATCCTCCAGCCTCAGCCTTCCAAAGTGCTGGGATTACCGGCATGAGCCACCACCCACGCCTGGCCCTAGTGCATCTTTATTATTGTTGTTCACAAGTTTGGAAGCAATGTGATCAAATCAACCCAGTTCTACTTATGAGTACTCCTGTGAGATAGAAAAGCAGCAAAGAGCATATTTGGAAAATACTGACATATGGGATTCATTCCCAAGTATCTAATTAGGTGGATACCTTAATATATTACATTTATTTATGCTGACCAACTGGGGTAGATTATTCCCCTATAAAAGTATGTGTCTTTTTATTTTATCCTTTTGGGCTTGATCCCTTGCCTGTGTTTGATTCAGGCATGGTAGCAGCTACATTTAAAGTTGCCTCTGACCATTCTAACACATGAGCTAATCTTCCCTTTCTGTAAAGTTAGTTCTTCTTCTTCTTCCTCTTCTTCTTCCTTCTCCTTCTTTTTCTTCTTCCTTCTTCCTCTTCCTTCTTCCTCTTCCTCTTCTTCTTCTTCTTTCTTCTTCTTCTTCTTTTTTGAGACTGAGTCTTGCTCTGTCGCCCAGGCTGGAGTGCAGTGGCATGATCCTGGCTCACCGCAGCCTCTGCCTCCCGGGTTCAAGCATTTCTCCTGCCTCCACCTCCCGAGTAGCTGGGAATACAGGTGCATGCCACCACACCTGGCTAATTTTTGTATTTATAGTAGAGACGGTGTTTCATCATGTTGGTCAGGCTGGTCTCAAACTCCTGACCTCAGGTGATCCCCCTGCCTTGGCCTCCCAAAGTGTTGGGATTTCAGGCGTGAGCCACTGTGCCCGGCCTGAAGTCATTTTTGACTCTTAATAAATCAATACTGCTCAGTCATTCTAATATCCATGACCTTGTAATGGATATTACATTGCAATGCTTTGCTATATGAGGCCCACCCTTCATTATATGGAAAGCAAATTATTTAATGATCTTGCTTTTCAACTTCTGCAAGAAGAATCCTACTTTATAATCATGGAGTACTATGCCAAAATAATTGTGTTGTAAATGTGATTAGAATGATTAATTAATTTGCATTAAACATATAAAAATTATAATCAACTTGCTGATTTCACTGATAACATGTCAGTAAATTTTGACACATTCTTGAGTTCAAGTTTTCTAAGAAGCTTTAAAAAGATATTTTATAAACATATGGCCTTCCCTTTCTTATGAGATCCCATCCAAGTAGTGTAGCATGACATGCAAAGATCCGTGTGTCCCTCTCCTTATTTACAGCCTTATATCTGGCCATGTCCCCCCTTCTCTCTATATATATTTATATTTTAAAATAATTTTAACTGTTATTTTAGACTCAGAGGGTACATGTGCAGGTTTGCTACATGGTTATATTACGTGATGCTGAGGTTTGGGATATGGATGATTCCATCTCCCAGGCAGTGAACATAGTACCCAATAGTTTTTCAGCCCATGTCTCCGTCTCTTGCTCCCTGTCTCATAGTCCTCAGTGTCTGTTGTCCCTATCTTTATGCCCTTGTGTATTTAATGTTTAGCTCCCACTTATAAGTGAGAGCATGTGGTATTTAGTTTTCAGTTCCTGCATTAATTCTCTTAGGATAATGACCTCCAGTTGCATCCATGTTGCTACAAAGGACATGATCTCATTCTTTTTTATGGCAGTGTAGTGTTCCCTGGTGTGTATGTACCACATTTTCTTTATCTAACTCACCATTGATGGGCACCTTGGTTGATTCCATGTCTTTGCTATTGCGAATTGCACTGTGATAAACATAGAAGTGCATGTGTCTTTTTGGTAGAACGATTTATTTTCCTTTGACTATATACCCAGTAACTGGATTGCTGGGTCAAATGGTACTTCTGTTTCTTTGAGAAACCTCTGACTGCTTTTTATAGTGGCTGAACTAATTTACATTCCCACCAACAGTGTATAAGTGTTCCCATTTCTCCACAGCATTGCCAGCATCTGTTATTTTTTACTTTTTTAATAATAGCCATTCTGACTGGTGTGAAATGGTATCTCATTATTGTTTGATTTGCATTTCTCTGGTGATTAGCAATGATGAGCATTTTTTCATATGTTTCTTGGCTGCCTGTATATCTTCTTTTGTTTTATTTAATTATTTTTTTTTCAAGACAGGGTCTTCCTCTGTTGCCCAGGCTGGAGTGCAGCAGCATGATCATGGCTCTCTGCAGCCTTGACCTCTCAGGCTCAAGTGATTCTCCCACTTCGGCCTTTTGAGTAGCTGGGACCACAGGCATATGCCACTATACTCAGCTAATATTTTAGAATTTTTTTTGTAGAGATGCGTTCCCACTCTTTTGCCCAGGCTGGCCTCAAACTCCTGGGCTCAAGCTGTCCTCCCTCCTCGGCCTCCCAAAGTGTTGGGACTACAGGCATGAGCCACCACACCCAGCCTGTGTTTTCTTTTGAGAAGTGTCTGTTCATGTCCTTTGCCCATAGCTTCTGCACAGCAAAAGAAACTATCAATAGAGTAAACATACAGCCTACAGAATAGGAGAAAATATTCACCAACTATGCATCCAACAATGGTCTAATATCCAGAATCTATAAGGAAGTTGTTATTGTATGAATCTAAACAATCTAAACAAATCTAAACAAATCAACAAGTAAATTTTAAGTAACTGGAAAGTAGTCTGGGATTTAAAATACTCTAAACAATTTCTTTTGTCATTCTATTTGGAAACAATCAGGAATCTTTGTCATGCCACAGCAATTTATATATAGAAATAGAAACTTGCAACCCCCTCTTAAAAATACAGTCACATCTTGATTATGTATAGTGGACAGGAATGAGGTTAGAAATGGGAAGAAGGAAATAATGATATGAATAATTACAATGGGAGTAATATTTGCAGCTCCTGCTTTCTCCTATGGAAAATAGCCCTGGAAGCTGTATTGGGATCCCCAACAGTACTCTTGGGTTCAGTGATTTGCTAGAATAACTCATGGGACCCAGAAAAGCTGTTTTGCTCATGGTCACCGTTTATTACAGTGAAAAGATACAGATTAAAATCAACAAAGGAAAAGGGCACATAGAGTGGTGTCCAGGAGAAATCAGGTATGAGCTTCCAGTTGTCTTTCTGCTGTGGGGTTGCACAGGGATGCACTTAATCCTCCCATCAATGTGTGACAACATGTATGAAACATTGCCAACAAATAAGCTTACTCAAGCCTTGGTGTCCAGGATTTTTATTAGAGGTCAGTCATGTAGGTCTGAAATATCCACCTGACTGATCTTAGTCAGTCTCCAGCCCACCCAGAGGTCAAACTGATAAATTTTGGCCCAGGGCCCCAGGTGAACACAAAAACAGGCACTCACCATAAGTCAGACCATTAGCATAAACTATGTGGTGTGGCCCAAGATCTCACTTATATTAATACAAAGGCAGCCTTAACAGTCAAGATATTCCAGGGCATCAGAGGTTGTCTCCCAAGAGCCAGTGAAGGACCAGTCCTTTCTTTGGAATGTGGAGGATCTGTACACCCCAAGTCTACTGAGTTAACCCTTTGCTGAACAGGAGTTTAGGGACCTTGGGATCAAGAAGGTTTGGGAGAAGTGGGTGAGGAGTGTGCTGAGGTGGGTGGATACAATCAGAGGTTCTCCTAGAAGTAAAGAAGCAAAGTAGCCTAAAAACAGGAAGCATTCCACACTGGAGGCTATCCGTGTATACACATTTGTGAGGGTTTATTTAACAAGCAATTTGAATTCACAGGTGTTTGTTATTGGCCAGTCTCTGAGTAGTTAAAATTCTTAAATGGTTCTGGTTAAATGAATGGAAAAACAAGTGAGCTATTTTCCATATGGTTGTGGTGAGATGTTTTAAAAGGCATCTTGGCTTTTCTGTGGACCTCTTAGCTTTTCTGTAGACCTCTTATTCATATTAATTACCAAAGAAGGCTAAATCCTGTCTACAGAACTTGGTCTTAATAGGATCAGTTGGTAAGTAGGTTGCTTGTAACTACTTTGTGGTCTCTTTCTCTAAGAGATTTTGCCCCTTTTGCCAATATTTTTCTTGCCTAGGAAAATTGTTTGTCTAAAAGTAATGGTTGAATTAAAGAGCTTCAGACAGCAAGGATGCATCCGAGGAGCTCTGTAGCATTCACTCATACAATAACAACTTCCAAATTGAATGTGTTATTCAGGGTAAAAGAGTAGTTCCAAACCATAGTTTTTCAGGTCTATAGACCTTTCCTAAGCAACAATAGGACTATTTTATGTGGCAACCCAATGTCTGTAGGGTGGCTTGCTTTAACTTAATAAAAGGACACTAGATGTAGGTCTGGTAGCATTTATTTTTATTCTTACTCAGTTACTTTTGTTTTTCTTGAGGTTTACTTCTATTACTCTGTGCCCAGAGGAGAACTATCATTTTGGACTTGGGCTCTGCTCCTCGTTCCCTGCTTCCTCAGCTACAGAATGTCGTATGTGGAACTGGCTATAGCTATACCATCTTAAGATTACTGTTCAGCTGTCTGTCCTGCTTGGGCAGTTTTGCATGACATCATTTCTGATGCAGACCTTTGTCTTGATACAGATCTTTGTCCTTCAGCTCATGCAGAAAGCCCACTATATTTCTTAGAATCTAAGGTAACTTAAATTATCATTTGGATAGTAGAATACATTTTTCTTCTTCTTCAACTTTTTTTTTTTGTGCTTTTATTTTCCTAGTTTCCAGCCATGTGGTTGGTATTTAAATAGAACAGTTTTGGCATCTGAATTGATTTACATTTATGCAGTGAACCCACAGATGAAACCTGGCATTCATGGTTCAAAAAAATAAATCCAAACCAACCTTTATACCTTTTCAGGAGAAAACCCTCATTAGTCAAATATTTTTTAGCTTTAAGTAAGGATTCCTTTTGACTTTTCAGAAGTGTTTTTAATAATTTCAGATTTTCATCTTAACTATCATCTTTAATTTCTCAAATGCTTTCACATTATTTTTTCTCTTTGCCTCTATAATCTGAAACGTTGCTAAAATTTTAGTCTTACCTATTTGGAGTATGTAGAATGAAAGTCTTAATATTGTATATAGTACTCAATACTTTATTTTCCTTCTTACTACAATTAACATCTCAAACATCTCTTATTTGGATCTCCTTGTGAAGTTTCTGCTGAGGCATCCAATCAACTAGACCATCTACAATCAAGGATCAAGTTTGTGAGTCAAAGAACTAAAGGAGAGAAAAGTGAGAACTAAAAGGTGGTGATAGGAAAATCTAAACTTTACTATGAGTTGAATAGACTTATATTATCCATGTAGGTTGGCAAACACAATATGCAGATATGCCTTTCTGAGATTTTATATGCCTGGATGTGTTTTACAGAATATCCAAGCAGGGCCAATCTATCTTAGATATTAAACTTGCAGCACCACTCAACCTCCAGCCACACACTCAGTCTCTTTTACCCTGTTCTGTTTTTTTCCCATTACCCTTATTGATGCAGGATTTTTTGCTTCTTAGCTCAGCTACATCTGGGTTCTTGTCTCACGACCAGGAAGAAGTAGTTGCACGGACACTCAAAGAATGAGCAAGGCAGGAAGTTTTATTGAATGATGAAACAGCTTTTAGCGGAGAGGGGATGTTGGGGGTGGTCCCCCCACCCGAAGCAGGAGATTTCCCAATATGGCTGAGCCCGGGGCTTTTTATGGGCTCAGAATAGGGAGTGCGTGCTGATTGGCTTGTGAGTAAGCAAAAAAGGTTAAAGTAAAGACATCACTCAAAAGTGGGCATGATAGTTTAGAAAACCAATTAGGAAAGGGTAGGTATATGTAAAATAGGTGAAGGATGGGATCAATCGAAAGAAAGTGTGCCAAACGGGAAGGCAGGTTCTCAATCTGGTTCAAGGATTTACCAGGGACTGTTTCCAGCTTGAAGGTTGGGTTTCACCAGGGACCTGCCCCATCTGCCTAGGCATTTGTCTGCCTCCCGCCTCTATCATTATCACCTGAGTAATGTAAAGTACTGTTCTTTTTTTAAAAAAACATATTTATTATATTTGTGATCTCTCTTACCCATTAGAATTAATTTCTTGAACTCCTGGACTCAAGCTATCTGCCTGCCTCGGCCTCCCAAAGTGCTGGGATTACAGGTGTGAGCCACTGTGCCAGGCCTAGAATGTAATTTCTATGCAGGCAGAGATTTGGGGGTCTAGTTTATTTGCTGATGCTTTCTCAGGGCCTGGAATAAGCCGGACACTTGACAGGTTTTCAGTGAATATTTGTTAAATGAATGAATCAAGAAGCCCTCATTGAGTGTACTCTCCTACCTATATCTAGACTCTAATACATTTTTATTTTTTATGATTCCATCATTTGGGGCTTTAAGGTTGTTTTCCCACCCCCCTTTCCATTGTGTATATGTTTCTTTTTCACCTAGGTTCAAGTTTTTTCCCATAATACATTATTATACCAGGCCATCCAGTCTGGGTCTCACCTCACCACTCACCTGTGTTAATTTATACTCTTTGTTTAAAATATGAAAAAATGAGGGCTGGAAACTTTCTGTTTCTATACTCATATAAACACTTTGCATATTGTCATCGCTCTAGGAAACATGTACATTACTTTATATGATAGCAATATTCTGAGAATTTCTTATGTTTGTATGTACCTCCAAGGTAACACCACTTGGTGAAATAGGCTTGAGACTTTATAATCATTAAATATATTAAACCTTGCTGTTTAATATTTTCCTTTTTGAAGTCTTTTAGGAATCTACATAATATTAAGGTAAAATTCTAGGTTTAATACTGTGATAACCTGAGTACACACACAATTTTAATATTTTATCCTTTGAATTTAGGTACAAGTTATGGAAGATAAATTAAAAGCAGCTAATATTCAAACCAGTGAATCAGAGACAAGATTATATAATAAGTGTCAAGATCTGGAGTCGCTAATACAGGAAAAAGATGACGTCATTCAAAACTTGGAATTGCAACTTGAAGAGCAGGTTAGGAAGAATTTGATAAAGAGTTCTAAGTGTGTGCACTCATTTGTGCATAATCACAAAGATTAAAAAGAGAGAGCCTAAATTTCTATATTTGGGGAGAAATATTGCTTATTCGGTCAACCCATAGGATTGCATCACATTTATTGGTGAAAGGTGCAAGTAAAATGGCATTCCTTTAAGTTCAGAGTGATTCCAAGGCAAGATCTAACACTTTTTGGATGTGAGAATGCTCGTTAATATTCAAACATTTGAGTTTATTTATTTATCTGAGACAGAGTCTTGCTCTGTCACCCAAGCTGAAGTGCAGTGGCTCGATCTCAGCTCACTGCAACCTCTGCAAGTCCACCCACAACCAACAGGTTCAAGTGATTCTTGTGCCTCAGCCTCCCGAGTAGCTGGGACTATGGGCATACACCACGACACCCAGCTAATTTTTGTATTTTTTTTTTTAAGAAGAGAAAGGGTTTTGCCATGTTGGCCAGGCCTGTCTTGAACTCCTGATCCACACACCTCAGCCTCCCAACCTGCTGGGATTACAGGCATGAGCCACCATGCCCAGCCAGATGTTAGAGTTTAAATGTAGTATTTAAGTTGGGAACATTTGGTTATCAGCAGGTATGCCCCTAAATTGTTTGCAACCCATCTTTGCTTCAGATTGTTAGAATGTTGGAAATGTTTATAGAACATTACATTTTAAATATTTATATTTGATGCCAATCCTTCTGCTTAGAAATGTGTACACCATTTTTGAACCACTTTATTGGAATCAAGTAATCTAGTTTAAAAAATGTATTAGTCACACCTGTAATCCCAGCACTTTGGGAGGCCAAGGCAGGTGGATCACGAGGTCAGGAGATCGAGACCATCTGGCTAACATGGTGAAATCCCGTCTCTGCTAAAAGTACAAAAAATTAGCCGGGCGTGGTGGCGGGCTCCTGTAGTCCCAGCTACTTGGGAGGCTGACGCAGGAGAGCGGCGTGAACCCAGGAGGTGGAGCTTGCAGTGAGCCGAGATTGCACCACTGCACTCCAGCCTGGGCGACTGAGCGAGACTCCATCTCAAAAAAAAAAAAAAAAAGGAAAAAATTGCACTGGGGATTGGGGTTATGTACTTAATGCTCACTTAACATCATTTAAATATGACCACTATGAAATCATTTTGTTAAATGTGTTGTTTATTTTCAGCATTTTTTCCCCATTTCTTGATAAAGACCAGTGTTTCTTTAGGTCAGTGGTTTTCAGCTTTCTACCACCCCTAGACCCTGCCTATTGCGATTTATTTGGTAAACACATTCTCAATAGTTTTGTGACCATAACCAGATTTTAAGGCTGGTAAATGAGAGCTAGAATTTCACTATGTTTATTTTTCTTGCATCTTTGAAAGCTAGTATTTGAGGGGAAAAAAAAAGCCATGCCCCTAAGGAGAGTCTTATTCTCTTCTCCCCAACGTGGTTGACCCCTAAATCCTAGACCATTCCCAGAAATGGCTTATTTTGTTGATAAATTCAGTGGATTGACTTCAGTGTATGATCTTTCAGAGAAAGAGAATAGCGGTTGTTAAAACTAGTAATACATGCATGTGGCTTTGTGGTTTCTTATTGTATCTACCGAATAATTTTTTCTTTTAAAAACCTATTTGGTAATTTGAAAGCAGATATAGTAACTTGGAATCAAGTTTTAAGTGGATATGCCTTGTATATTTATGGTAAAACATTTCCAGACCATTGAGTTTATGTTTGAACTAAACAAATTGCTATTGTTATTTCAGAAACAAATAAGAATACAAGAAGCTAAAATAATAGAAGAGAAAGCAGCTAAGATAAAAGAATGGGTAACAGTTAAGTTAAATGAGGTATTTATTGCTATATGTTTTCCTTTTCTTTACCTTTTACTTCTTTTGAATTGATACATCATCAGAATATGTGATTACTCTGAGTAAAACAAAGAATTTTGATCGGTTGGTGATACTGCTATCTTTTGATAAATGAGATATAGGTAGCTTTCATTTTAATATCCAGTGTATTTTAAAAATTAAACATATTAATAGACTCATGAGGATCAGTGTGAATAACTTTATTCTAATAAGTTAATTTTAGTTCTAATTAATTTCAAATAATAATAGGACATACATCTATATCTCATAAAATTAATGTATTTGGTAGCTGAGAAGCACACGTTTTCATTTCTATGGCAGTTTAAAGCTGAAATCGTTTCCTTTAAAATAATTTTACAGTGGAAAAGGCATAAGGGGTGAAAACATTTAAAACTCTTAGTTCTGAAAAATGTAAATATTGATACCATAATTATCTAGGTCGATAGCCTATTCTGATAAATTAATCTGAGATTTGTTTATCATTTCCTTTGTATTTTGCTTACACATGTAGAGAAACTAAATATTAACATTTTCTAATATTATAATTTATTAGTACATTTTTATAATATTATCTCTATATGAAAAGAATACCATTATGTTCTCTTAGCTGGAATTGGAGAATCAGAATCTTCGTTTGATCAACCAAAACCAAACTGAAGAGATAAGAACAATGCAGTCAAAACTACAAGGTACAAATACTTTACTAAGATAGCTTAGTTGGATTTATTTGACTATATAGGCTTTTACTTTTTTTGATGTTTTAAAGATGCGATTATGGATGTCATCCAAGAAGCTGTTGCCATAAAATGAAAGAGAATTACTAAACAAACCAGAAGTCCTGCATTCGAGTGAATGTTGGGCCTGAAAGTGGAAGGCAAAAAAGAGATGGAATTGATGATGTCTACCAAAGTGGTCACTACGTAGATCAGAAAAACATGACCAAATACTAATTTTGCCTCTCTCTATTCTAAAAGACCTTCCATTGGTACACTTTTTAGAACCAAACTAAGTTCCAGAGAGTCCAGCTTGCTAAAAGTACTGTACAGAGACATTAGCCTGGGAGGTCAGACATATGGATGATGGGTACCAATCTCTAATGGTAAGGACATTTTGCTCCTTCTAAGTGATGTAGTTCTGTATCTCCCTGTTTTCTTGAAAGAACACAGGGGACTTTACCACACAAGATAGTGAGTTAGAGGTAGTTGTATCAGAGAGACATGCACTCCAGAAGTCCAAGAAGACTTGAATTTTGGCCTTAGAGAATAGACCTTTTAATGGAGATTAGGGGAGTCACAGATACCATACATTTGTAGCTGCATTGAACACTTTGGAGGAGGTTTCTTGGCATCACACATGCTGAACACATTATTGAACTTGGCATTAATTGAGGGTAGCTCTGAGGCACTTCCATGTGTTCTTAGATGCCTGAGCTGGTGGTTACTTGCATGCAAATGTCATAACTCAGTTCGTTCATGGATCACCAGTGTTCTAATCCTTTCCCCATATGGATCTTCTAGATGAGGGTTTGAATCCAGTCAGTTAGGAGAATCAATTGATAATCCGCTGATAAACTCAAGAATATCAGTGGTGAGATTGGTCTATTTAAAAAAAACATATATCTCCAAAATTATTTATAACTTTTGGCTGGGCCACTGGGCCAGGCGCAGTGGCTCACTCCTGTAATCCCAGCATTTTGGGAGGCCAAGGTGAGAGGACTGCTTGAGGCCAGGAGTTTGAGACCAGCCTTGGCAATATAGTGAGACCCCATCGCTACAAAAAAAGTTTTTTTTAATTAGCTGGCCATGGTGGCACACACCTATACTCTCAGCTACTTGGGGGCTGGTTAGGGAGGTGAGGTGGGAGGATCACTTGAGCCCGGGAGTTTGGGGCTGCAGTGAGCCATGATCATGCCACTGTACTCCAGCCTGGGCAACAAAGAGACACCCTGTCTCAAAAAAAAAAAAAAAAGTCCAAGAGATGAATTAAATTCATGATTAGATGCTGACCTAATCACTTCACTACCTGTATAAATTCTTTACTCACCTCCTCTTTTTTTTTCTCTTTAAAGAAGTGATTAAAGCTCTTTATATTGTGGTTACCATAGACCCAACCTCCCCATCTACTTTTTTCTCATGGCTGAAAACTAAGATAAGCAAAAGTCATTACAGTTATCATGGGATGGTTGCCCCAAGGATGATCCAAGTTTCTTTGGTTATTTCGGCAACCAGGACCTCAGTTTCTTTTTCTTCACAGTGGCATACTGTGCAAATTTTACCAACGCTGAACTGGTATTTGTCAATACTTGACTTTGCAGGAAGCTAGAGCTCTCTAGTTATTTATAATCTGTTTGTGTTTTGTCGTTGCTTAGAACTAACTACTCTTAAAGGGATTAGATATTTTTCTTTCTCCAGTTAAAAATATTTTGAACATTCAAAATATGTAAAACAGAATTTAAACATTGGGATGTGATGCTTGTCATTGAAGGTTCTATGTTATTGTACATCAATAAAGATGAACTTTAGGCTTTTTTTCTGGCATAAAGAGTGATTTGTTCAAGTTTTTATATGCCTTGGTTCTATGTTTAACAAACTTCTATAAAAAATTCAAATCTTAATTTTGATTAACGATGTTGTAGAAGTTCAAGGAAAGAAGTCATCCACTGTCTCTACACTAAAGCTTTCGGAAGGCCAGCGCCTGAGCAGTTTGACCTTTGGGTGCTTTTTATCTCGAGCAAGGAGTCCTCCTCAAGTAGTAAAATCTGAGGAAATGAGCAAGATATCATCGAAAGAACCTGAGTTCACTGAAGGAAAAGACATGGAAGGTATTTATGAACTACAGGAATTGACTTTGGCATTTTTTAAAAAGGAAGACTCATTTGCTAAGATTAATCCAAATATAGCTTAATTTTCCTTATTTTTTTCTGACAATTTGATGTTTTATGAGAATGTTTCTAAAGAGCAATACAACATTTAACTTTGTGTGTCTAATTATTTTGTGTTTTCTGAGAGCCTTTGCATAGGAGAAACTGATTTTTCCTTCGTAATATATTTTTCCTGCTGTAGGTGGAAGGTGGGTATTTAAAATTAAAAAGTTTACTGTCCCATCTGCAAGATGCTGTACTTGTTTTAGCTGAGTTTCAGATTAGAACTGTGAATTTCCTATTCATTATTTATTTAAAATATAAAACATTACTTAATATTACACATAAAACATTATTTAAAATATAAAACATTACTTAATATTACACATGAAATTAAACATTGGCATAGCAAACTTCTAAAGAAAAAAACCCTAGGGGATAAATTGATAACTCTTTGATTTTCCTTTAATCCTTCCAAGAGGAAAATGTTTTCCTAGATATTTAAACCCTGGTCCTGTATACAGATTTCTACTCTTCTTCTTTTAGTCTTGAAGTGCTTCTATCAAAAAAAAAGAAAAAATCCATCTAAATTTTGCTTTGTTGTAGCTGTTGGCTTTGCCACCTCTAGCACAATCACTTTTGTTGACTTTCCCCAAATATTTTAGAGAGGCCTGAGTTTTCATCCTCTCTACTTTCAGCTCCAACTTCCTTCCCCCAGAAGAGAAAAAGTATAACAGTAAAAGTTGTCTCTATGCTTGGTTATGAAATTCTGAAAATGATACATTTTCCAATCCGAAGGCTCCTTTGCTCCTTGCTTTCATGCCATTACTCGCTTTGCTCTTCTCTTCTCTCTCTCTTTTTTTTTTTTTTGAGACAGGATCTCACTCTGTCTCCCAGGCCGGAGTGCAGTGGCACGATCACAGCTCACTGCGGCCTTGACCTCCCAGACTCAAGTGATCCTCCCACCTCAGCATCCCTAGTAGCCAGGACTATAGACACATGCCACCATGCCTAGTTAATTTTTGTATTTTTTGTAGAGATGGGGTTTCACCATGTTGCTCAGGCTGGCCTTGAGCTCCTGGGCTCAAGCAATCTGCCAGCCTTGGCCTCCCAAAAGTGCTGGATTTACCGGTGTGAGCCACTGCACCCGGCCTACTTGCATCTTTTTTTTGCCTTTTGAGAAGCCATTTTCATTTCCTTCCCTTTTTCTAATAGTGGAGTACAGCTGAGATTGCTTGTACTGATGCTCTTGCTCATTTGCAAATTTAACAAACTTCCTAATACCGAATTTTAGAGTTTATTTGTTCAGCCTCTAGTTCCTTAATTATGAAGGTCCTGTCTATGTTTTCATGTTTTCAAAGTTTCTTTTCTACACTTCAGTCTAAAAGTTTAATTCCTTGTTTATGAAGCCAATGGTTCATTCTGTTAATTATGTTATACATAAAAATAAACCATATCTAAAGATATTTTTAAAGAGTGTTATTCTTATTATAAAAACACATTTTGTAGTTATGATTAAACCAAAAGTAGAGCAAGGAAAGCTTTTCTGTGTTTATATTTTCTTCATGATTTTGCATATCTCAATGTATCGAAGTTTGGTGCAAGGTCTGTTTATTAAACTATAGCTTTGTATTTATTATGCTTAAATTTACTTCATTATAATCTAAATATTTAGTTGAAAGGAGGTGTCATTTTCTTTCCTTCTAAAATAGAATTCATGCTGTTCATTTTTTTGGTGACTGCTTTCTTTGATAGTGAAAGTTGCCCTGTTTCACATTTTGCTTCTTTTATTATCTCTCTTTAGACTCTCAGTTTTTTTTTTCCCAACATGTTTTTTTGTAAAAACCAATTTGGAAACTATTATATTGACATGTTAGGGCTCTGAGTTTTATATAAAGCTTATAGTTTTCAAAAACTTGTGTTTAAAAAAGACATAAGACTAACACAGGATAATGTAAATTATTTGTATGAAATTTTTGGTTTATTCCTTTAAAAAAAATAGAGGCAGGGTCTTGCTCTGTCACCCAGGCTGGAGTGCAGTGGCTGATCATAGCTCACTGCAGACTTCAGCTCCTGGGCTCAAGCAATCATCCTGCCTCAGCCTCCCAAGTAGCTGGGACTACAGGTACACACCACTGCACCCAGCAAATTTCTACAGTGTCAATTTCTACAGTGTAGCTACATAAAGCTAAATGTACAGAAAGATTATATTCTTAAAGGCAGCATGCTGATATGATGTATCCTTTTCTAGAAATGGAAATTCCAGAAAAGTCTGTTGATAACCAAGTTCTAGAAAACAACAGAGGCCAGAGAACATTGCATCAAACCCCTTGTGGCTCAGAACAGAATCGGAAAACAAGAACAAGCTTTGCCACAGATGGTGGCATCTCCCAGAATTCTGGGGCTCCTGTGAGTGACTGGAGCTCTGATGAGGAAGACGGGAGCAAAGGAAGATCCAAGTCCAGATGCACATCCACCCTCTCCAGTCACACATCTGAGGAAGGGGTCCAGTGTAGCAGGATGGGAAGTGAAATGTATCTGACAGCATCTGATGACAGCAGCTCTATATTTGAGGAAGAGACTTTTGGCATAAAGAGACCAGAACACAAGAAGCTATATTCTTGGCAGCAGGAGGCACAGTGGAAAGCTCTAAATAGTCCTCTTGGAAAGGGAAATTCTGAATTAAGTAAAAAGGAACAAGATAGTTCCTCGGATGAACTGAATAAAAAATTTCAATCCCAGAGACTCGATTATTCATCTTCATCGAGTGAAGCCAACACCCCAAGCCCTATTTTGACCCCAGCTTTAATGCCAAAGCATCCTAACTCACTCTCTGGAAAAGGAACACAATTAGTGCCTTCATCACACCTGCCACCCCCAAAGTTAAGGATTCCTAATGTTTTCAGTATAAGTGTAGCACTAGCCAAAAGGCACTTAAGCCAGCCACAGTTAAGCTCTGACAGGATGTTTGGTACAAATAGAAACGCTATAAGCATGATACGACCACTGAGACCTCAGGAAACTGATCTTGATCTAGTTGATGGAGACAGTACAGAAGTTTTAGAGAATATGGACACGAGTTGTGATGATGGATTATTTTCCTATGACTCCTTGGACTCTCCAAATTCAGATGACCAGGAACACTGTGACTCAGCAAAGAAGGTGGCATACAGCAAACCTCCAACTCCTCCCCTGCACCGTTTTCCTTCTTGGGTAATTATATCACCGCATGTAACACATACGCAGTAGTTTTTTTCTCAACACTTTTTTTTTCTGGGAGGGAGTCTCGCTCTGTCGCCCAAGCTGGAGTGCAGTGGCGCGATCTTGGCTCACTGCAACCTCCATCTCCCGGGTTCAAGTGATTCTCCTGCCTCAGCCTCCTGAGTAGCTGATACAGGCATGCACTACCATGCCTGGCTAATTTTTGTATTTTTGGTAGAGACGGGGTTTCGCCATGTTGGCCAGGCTGGTCTTGAACTCCTGACCTCAAGTGATCCACCTGCCTTTGCCTCCCAAAGTGTCCACACTCATTTTCAAGTTTTACTTTTTCTTTTCTTCTTTCCTTTCAAATCCAGCTTTGTTCTGACGTTTTCCAGTTTTTAGGATAAAATTTCTTCTTCTCTTCCCTCACTGAGTTCTGAATCAATTGAGAAATAAGATAATGACAAGACAGATGGGAGATCAAGGTATTACCTTATTTACTGATAAAACTAATTTTAGAGAATTAGTGGGCAAATGAGCTTTCTAATACTGAACTTTGAGATTAGCTGGATTGAGTCACCTGTTCCCAGGAAGCCCTGGACCACCACAGGATTCTGCTACTGAAGCCATGCCCCTCTAAAACTTACTACCTCAAAAAACAGAACAGATGGTTGTTTCCTGCAGGCAGCTACTTCTCAAGAGAAAGGGGAGAGGAAGTTGCCAGGCTCTGCATGCCCAGTTTCTCCTTCTCAGCTTACCAATCACATTAAGCCACTCTTCCTCTTGGGGAGGGGAAAGTGAATAGGTGGAGAGGGATCAGCAGTGTTCAATTACTGGAGGTTCCTCCATGTGGAAGGAAACATTGGAGGTGGGAAAGAAGGGTTCCCCCTAACTGTGATATTTTGGGTGAATTCTGAACCGGGACACTTAACTCTTGTTAGTTATAAGTTTTTGAACTTAGTCGTTATTTGATTGGCTTTAAGATAAATTTAATTTTCTTTTTGAGCTTATATAGCCATTGGTTTCCAAAGTATCTTTCTACAGACCTAGAATAGATAAAATCTTCTTCCATTGAAACATTGACCATTAGTAGGATAACACTGCTAGACTAAAAAAAAAAAAAAATTCTTCCAATATTTGAAATAAAATGAAATGATCTGTTTAATTTTAATTTTTTTTTTTTTTTTTGAGATGAAGTTTCACTCTTGTCTCCCGGGCTAGAGTGCAATGGCGCCATCTCAGCTCACTGCAACCTCTGCCACCTGGGTTCAGGCAATTCTCCTGCCTTAGCCTCCCAAGTAGCTGGAACTACAGACGTTTACCACCACACCTGGCTAATTTTTTGTATTTTTAGTAGAGGTGGGGTTTCACCATGTTGGCCAGGCTGGTCTTGAATGCCTGACTTCAGGTGATCCACCCACCTCAGCCTCCCAAAGTGCTGGGATTACAGGCGTGTCACGCCACTGCACCTGGTCTGAAATGATCTGTTATAGATTTAAGTTTTTCTTCACATGCTGGCATAATTTAACCTTTGGCCTCCAGAGAAACATCTGGGTTGCAGGACTCTTTTGGTTTTTGGAGTCATGTTCTTTTATTACTATATTTTTTATTTTGTGACTGATGCAGTTTTAAGCAAATTAGGGTGGACATGTTTTTCTAATATAAATTCAGAACTTAAGATGTATGTGCTCTTATTTGCTTTCAAGAGGACATTTTATTTCAATATCCACATGAAACCTTCTGTAGTTTATTACTAAATTTTGGATAGCACAGGAAAGTGGAAGTTAATGGCATGTGAATCTCTGGAATTCTAATTATGTTATACTTTAGGCAGCAAGAAATTGAAATTTTGCCTATCTTATGATGTTGAGATTTTCAGAGATTTAGGTTAGGCTTTTAAGTTCGTTTTATTTGGCAACCCATTCTACTACTTTTTTTTTTTTTTTTTTTTTTCCATTCTGTCTTCTCTTACTCTTTTGAAGCTATTCGGTCCTGAAAAAGTAGTATTGCTTTTCAAAAGCCTTCCAGCAGACTGGCCAAGTCTGAGATTTTATTTCTGTGTTTATTAGGTATTTTCAGGTTTCAAGGAAAAGAGATGTATTCTAATTGCCTCAATAAATATGAGTTTATTTTAAAAATTTCTAAGAGCTTATTTTAAGGCATAGCCTATCCTTATTGAACTGGAATACCATGCAAATTACAATAGTCACTCTAGAGGGACAACATGTGATAGTCAGCAGTACCTCCGATAGAAACAAGTGACATCCATTGCCCCTGCTCCCAGTGGCTCAGCTTGTCCTCCCAGGCCTCCAGTCCCCTCTCTCTAATTCTACTACTAACCACTTTCCCCCAGTCTCCTAGGGCTTCAGACTGCCTCCCGTCTCCTGCTTACTGCCCTTATTGTTATATGTCTTTCTGTTGCTGTTTGTGTGTGGGTGTATCTCACACTCAAAGAAACTACATCTGATTCACTCAGCCAGGCACTATTCAATCGAAAATGTCCCTGATAGTCGGAGAACTCATGCCAGTTGCCTCTCAAGCCACTGGCTGTCTTGAAGAGGATGGCCTTAGTTGCCCACTGTGTCCTGGACAGTCAACTGTGTCCAAGTTAGACCCATTATTAAATTCAGGACATGTTGCTCTATGCATTAGGAACCACCTGTGGTCCCTTTTCTCAAGGGAGCAGGGCTAGTAACCTGTCCAGTACCTGTTTCAGAGATTTTTCAGAAGAGAAGAGAAAACAAAATAATCTACTTTTGGAACAAGATAATATAAATTCCATTGCAATTCTCATATTCATTTCTTGTTTGACTTTAGGTATCTCTTCTACTTGAGTGAAATGTACATTGACATAGGAAGGCGATAGCATTTAATGCTACTGTATCTATGACTTCTGACTTCAGGTTTTTCCATTCTTTGTTTAACCATGTTCCAGAATAGTAGAATATTAAAAGTGGTGTTTATGTGTAATCAATGATTGAGAATGGTTTCTAGCTTAATGTTATAGCCACTCATGGTTTTTCTCCCCACCGCCAACCATATTCTAGAATGGTAAGAATATTAAAGGTGGTGTTTATGTGTAGTCAGTGATTGTGAAAAAGCTTTCTCTTACTTTTTCTTCACGTCTTCAAAATAATTTATCAAACAAAAATGTGGGAAAAAGATAAATAATGGAAAAACTAACAGATGGAGAAAAATCTCAACAGTACTATTCACAATGGCATATTTTAGTTGGCACCGATGATGGTTTTATAATAATGCTGTACTCTAGTGAATCTTAAATGAAGAACAAATGAAAAACATGTGTATTGAAAGTAGTCTTTTTTTTTTTTTTTTTTTTTTTTTGCTTTAAATACCCTGTTCAAACTCTCTCTTTTACCCTAGGAAAGCAGAATTTATGCTGTAGCCAAATCAGGTATTCGAATGTCTGAGGCCTTCAATATGGAGAGTGTTAATAAAAGTAAGTGCTTTTTCATGCTGCCACCTGGATGAACCTTGAGGACTTTGTGCTAAGGGATAGTATAATACAAATACATGGTACAGTCACAAAAAGACAAATACTGTATGATTCCACCTAAAGGAGGTGTTTAAAGGGTCAAATTCATAGGAATAGAAAGTAGAATGGCGGTTACCAGGGTCAGGGTGTGCGTGGAGAAGCGAATTTATTGTTTACTGGGTATAGCATTTCAGATTTGCAAAATGAAAAAGTTCTAGAGGTCTGTTTTACAACAGTGTGAATACACTTAACATTACTGAACTGTACAATTAAAAATGATTAAGATGGGCCGGGCACGGTGGCTCGCGCCTGTTATCCCAGCACTTTGGGAGGCTGAGGCAGACAGATCACGAAGTCAGGAGATCAAGACCATCCTGGCTAACACGTTGAAACCCCATCTCTACTAAAAATACAAAAAAAATTAGCCGGGCGTGGTGGCGGGCGCCCATAGCCCCAGCTACTCGGGAGGTTGAGGCAGGAGGATGGCGTGAACCGAGGAGGTGGAGCTTTCAGTGAGCTGAGATTGTGCCACTGCACTCCAGCCTGGGTGACAGAGCAAGATTCTGTCTTAAAAAAAAAAAAAAAAAAAAAAAAGATTAAGATGGTAAATTTTATGTTCTGTGTTTTTTCCCACAATAAAAAAAGTTTAGAAAAGTGATTTGCATTGCTATTTCATTCGCTAAGAACTTCCTAAATGTCTAAATTCATTGGAATAAAGAGTTGTGTAAACTTTCAAAAAATGATTTCTAGGGTTGCTGATTTGTATTTTAAAATTGAAATTCATCTTAGTGTGGGGACTCAAATACACTCAACTCTGATGTATATTTTTTTACCTGAGAGAGACTAAATCAGAGAAACTGTGGCATTTCAGCTGTTTAAAATGGTAAAAATATAGGCTTCTATGTCCTTTTTTCCCAGAATTTAAAACACATTTCCCCTTTCTTTATTTCTTCCAAAAAATTCTTATGGAAACAATGCATGCTCATTACAAAAAATAAAACCAAACAACAAGAACTGTCTGGAATAACAAGAAATTTTCCTGTGGTTCTTTCTACCACCTCCTCCCTATCCCACCACTAATTCATATGTTAGGGGTAACTATTGATATTCAGTTCCTGTTCAGCTATCTGCAGTTCTTTCCATTCAGGAAATTTTATCCTTTTTTTTTTTTTTTTTTTTTTGAGGCAGCGTCTTACTCTGTCACCCAGGTGGGAGTGGAGTGGTGTGATCATAGCTCACTACCGCCTTGAACTCCTGGGCTCAAGCGATCCTCCTGCCTCAGCCTCCTGATTAGTTAGGATGACAGGTGCATACCACCATGCCTTGATACTTTTTAAGATTTTTTGTGGAGATGGGGGTCTCACTGTGTTGCCCAGACTGGTCTCAAACTCCTGGCCTTAAGCAATCCTCCTGCCTCAGCTTCTCAAGGTGCTAGGATTACAGGTGTGAGCCACTACACTTAGCTAGGAAATTACATTCCAATATTTCAACATCAGATTTACCTGATAAAGGCTTAAGAACAGTGGTTTTGGTTTTGGTTTTTGTTTGAGAACAAGTCTTGCTCTGTCGCCCAGGCTGTAGTGCAGTGGCATGATCTCGGCTCACTGCAACCTCCCCTTCCCAGGTTCAAGCAATTCTTGTGCCTCAGCCTCCCAAGTAACTGAGATTACAGGTGTATGCCACCATGTTTGGTTTTAGTAGAGAAAGGGTTTTGCCATGTTGCCCAGGTTGGTCTCAAACTCCTGGGCTCAAGCGATCCACTGCCTCAGCCTCCCAAAGTCCTGGGATTACAGATGGGAACCACCATGCCCCACCAGAACAGTGGTTTTGATACCATGCTGGTAATAGGGTTATGAATAGTCAGAGAATATCTTCCTATGTACTGCTTACTGAATTGGTTGGTAAGCAGTTGCCTGTACTTAGTTCTGCCCAGCCTGAGCAAAGCATGCATGGAGATTTCAAGGAAATAAAAGCTATGGTTCTTGCTCTCAAAGAGCTTGCAGTCTAGTTGGGGAACTAGCACACATGAGGAAATAATGAACCATGTAAAAAAGTGTATAAATAAACCTGTAAATGCCATAATCTGTAAAGTAGACTATACAGTTAGTAATCATGTATTAATCGAATTGCTTTTTAAATGGAGATTATGCTCATTTGTATTCATAAGAAAAAGACCAATGTGCTAATTAGAAGTTTTTTAAAATGTTGTTTCCTGTTTTTCTGTTTCAGATTCTGCTGCAACCCTTTCCTATACTACATCAGGACTTTATACATCTCTGATATACAAGAACATGACCACCCCAGTGTATACAACTTTGAAGGGGGTAACTCATTATTGTTATTGTTAAAACATGTGCTTCTCTTCATGATGGATCAAGGAAATTGTTAATTCAAGCTCCAGATTCCATTCTTAACATTTTACACAGGCTCTCCCTTTATAGAAAGTTTTACAAGTTCACGTTAACATATCATAAAAAAGAAGGAATGGAAAGGTCTGCAGAAGACACTTATCAGAATGTTAGAGGTCTGAGTCAGTTTTTACTGTGTCCCATGTGATTCCCCCACCTCCCCATGGCCATGAATTGTTTAAAGGAGACATATTATTAATAATGTAATGAAAACTCCTAATTTAGGCAGATCTTTGTATCAGTGCCAGGGTACCCCTTCCTTGCTTGAAGTATTAATTAAAAGAAGGATTGCAGGTATTGACAACCTTATATTTTCAGGCATCTTTTATAATTGCTTATTAGAATTCAGGGTTTAACAACATGATTTTGATAACAGCAAAATACATTCCCAAATTCCTTTTAAAAATCATATGCTGGCTGGGCACGGTGGCTCACGCCTGTAATCCCAGCACTTTGGGAGGCCGAGGCGGGCGGATCACGAGGTCAGGAGTTCGAGACCAGCCTGGCCAACATGGCGAAACCCTGTCTCTACTAAAAATATAAAAATTAGCCGGGCGTGGTGGCAGGTGCCTGTAATCCCAGCTACTCAGGAGGCTGAGTCAGGAGAATCGCTTGAACCTGGGAGGCGGAGGTTGCAGTGAACCGAGATCATGTCATTGCACTCCAGCCTGGGTGACAAGAGCAAGACTCCACCTCAAAAAAAAAAAAAAAAAAAATTCTATGCTATGACTTCTTCCTGTAAAACTTTCTGTTATCTAAAAAGAGTGATAACCTTAGGGATGGATACAGGGAGGTTGCTCTGCTTTTCTTTAGGAGGCGACCCTAATAACTAGCAGCCTTTTCTTGGATGAGTGGTAACATTAGGGATGGATACAGGGAGGTTGTTCCACTTTTCTTTAGAAGGCGACCCAAATAAGTAGCAGCCCTTTCCTGGATGACTCATCTGGGTCAGAGGAAGAAGACAGCTCCAGATCCAGCTCCCGGACGTCAGAGTCAGACTCACGCAGTAGGAGTGGGCCAGGCAGCCCCAGAGCCATGAAACGAGGTGAGGGAAAATCGCAGGCATATGAGGCAACTCCAGATCATTCTGAATATTAATTGGGAATTTTATCTCCATTACAGGATTATTTTTTAAATCCAAGAACTTGCTTCAGACCCTAGTGAAAAGAACTTTAGCCTATGACTGATATGTTTATATTCCTAATTCTCTTCTTAATTCTCTGTGATTTCAGACAAATTATATAGTTTTTTTTTTTCAGCTTTTTATTGTCTGTGAGAGGGAGATCACTTTATTGTTGGAATGAAGTGAGATAATTGGCCAAAATGAGGTTTCTTTCTTGGCATTTGTGAAATAGACTTATTTCAGCTAAAGTTGTTACACTGCTAACTGGCAGAAAATATACCTTAAAATTTGTCAATTAATCTGATGTTAAAGTGGAGAACAACATTTACTTGGAATATGTCTATGATTTTTAGTGGATTTTGAAGACATTCTGTGTGTAGGTAGTGGTTACAGAGAGATCTAATTCCACCAAATGACATCTGTATGTTATAAAAAGCCCTTAATGCAGCATGGTGTGTCTGTTGGCTTTCAAACTGTGTTCCATGGAACCTCTGGATACTTCCAATCCCCTCGGCTTCAACTGGAGCTGCTCAGCCTTCCTTGGTTTCATATTTTGAGCTTCCACTGGTCTTCTTGCTCTCAACTTGCCCCGCTACAGCCAGAATCAGGTTATGACACACTTTTGCTGGAAACACTGCAGTGGCTCCTCACAACGGCTATAAGGTGTTCCAGGATTCGGTCACGTACTTGACCTCATCTCCTTTCTTCTCTGTACTCAGCTCCAGTCTCACTGGCCCTCTTGCTGTTCTGAGACATGCCAGGCATGCTTGCATTTCAGGACCTTGGCACTGCTGTTTCCTCCAGCTGGTATTCTTCCCCTAGATGTCCGTATAGCTGACTCCCTCACCTCCATCAGCAAACGCTGCTTTCTCAATGAGGTCCACCCTGACCACACCACTCAAATTGCAGCCCTTTGTCTTTCTTCTGTTGCCAGCTCTTTTTATTCCCTTTAGTCTGCTCTATGTTTTATTGTTCCATACCACCTACTGCCTGTTTGTCAGTGGTCTCCTTCCGCTAGAATTTGTTCCACGAGAGCCAATATTTTTGTTGTTTGCTCTATCCCTAGCATCTAGGACAGTGCCTGGCACACTGGCCCTGGTCCTGGGAGCCTGAGACTTGTGTTCCAACATTGCCCCTGCCTAACTCTTTGACTTTGGACAAATCCTTTAATCTCTGGGCCTTAGTCTCCTTGGGCCTTAGCCATGACAATCACTGAGGTCCCTATAGGTCTACATTTTTGTTTATTCTATGAAAAATGAAGATATTATAGCAACTGTTACTTGTCTGAGTCAAATAAAAAGCAGTGTCACAAGAGTGGCATTGTTCTAATATGTCCCTTAAATGTTAATACATATTTTTAAAAATTGCTGGATACTTTTATAAATAATTACCTAAGTCCTTGATTTTATTTAATATATTCTAAATCTCCAATTGTAGTGACTCATGAAATGTGGCTTGCAACTCCCAGGTAGTTTTCTGTAAAGGCAAATGAATCATTGTATAAATGTTCCATTGAATTTTATGTTATAGCTGCTGGCAAGTGAAAGAAATAGTTTGTTTATATCTTTCAATCTTATTGTTTCTCTTTTATGAAATATTTTTAAAATCTGTAAACTGCTTAGTAGCTTATGGAACTTGAATGAAAAAATACTACTGAATTGTGTTTTTTTAAAATGTGAGGTTACTTTAAAAGTGATTACAGAAGTTAAGAAATTTAAAATGTGATTGTGAAAATCTTGATAAATTAAGGTTCAACATTTGTTTGCCTATATGTCAATGTGTAAATACACATATTTTTAATTCTTAATAAAATATACATGAGTAGACTCTTGCATATATTTTATATATGTAAAATAGCTGTGTGATTGTAATCATACCAAAATATTATTCCTGTTCCTTTCACTTCCTTAGAGATTTACATGACAGTCCCTACCTCTTAGTTCTGTTTTCTGCTTTAAAAGTTCTTCATGTTGGGAGGCCAAGGCAGGCGGATCACGAGGTCAAGAGATCGAGACCATCCTGGCCAACATGATGAAACCCCATCTCTACTAAAGATACAAAAATTAGCTGGGCGTGGTGGCGCACACCTGTAGCCCCAGCTACTCGGGAGGCTGAGGCGGGAGAATCGCTTGAACCCAGGAGGCAGAGGTTGCAGTGAGCCGAGATTGTGCCAGTGCACTCCAGCCTGGTGACAGAGCGAGACTCTGTCTCAAAAAAAGTTATTTATGGCCAAAGGAATGAGAATAAATCTAGTCTAGGGAGGCTTATGATTTAGGAATAATTGCATTCTGTAGGAGCACTCAGAGCTGGTGTTTGGCCCTCCCCAGTATTAAATACTGACTTGATTTCTTTCTTTGTTCTCTTAGGTGTGTCTCTCTCCTCTGTGGCTTCTGAAAGTGATTATGCTATTCCTCCTGATGCTTACTCCACAGACACGGAGTACTCACAGCCAGAGCAGAAGCTCCCAAAAACTTGCTCATCTTCCAGTGATAATGGGAAAAATGTAAATATTGAATATGATTTTTAAAAAGCAGTCAGTCAGATTGAGCCTCCAAAAGGAAACTGAAAATGCTTTTGTCTATCTTTTAAAAATTAGGAACCACTGGAAAAATCTGGTTATTTATTAAAAATGAGTGGTAAAGTCAAGTCTTGGAAGCGGCGGTGGTTTGTTCTTAAAGGTGGTGAATTACTTTACTACAAATCTCCGGTGAGTGGAAAGTGTTTTCTGTTTAGAACGTAATTCCTCAAACTATAAATCAGACGCCTGATTGATTTCCTTCCCATAATGCAAGTAATGATACAAAGCATTCCTTATTATTACTGTTAAAGTTAATCACTTTCCATTTGTTTTTCTGTTTCATACAGAGTGATGTAATTAGAAAACCCCAGGGCCATATTGAACTTAGTGCATCCTGTAGTATTTTAAGAGGAGATAACAAACAAACAGTTCAGGTACTTAACTTTTTTTTTTTTTTTTTTTTTTTTGTATCATGCCAGACTCAATTCTCAATTATCCAACCTAATGGAAAGGAGATAGGATAATTCAGTGTTTCTTTATTCACTTTGGGGGGTTAGTTTGATGCCTTGGAAGTATGTGAAACTCCACGAATTTTTGGTTAAAACTATAATGTAAGTTAGGTGTGTGTTGAGTAACTCCCACCACACTTTACCTTTCTTCCTTTATACTCTTCTTTCCTCATATTTAATCTCCTAGGTATTTTCAGCTGTCCAACTGTGAAGCTATTTTAAGGAAGGGTTATCTGGTAAATGAATTCTCAATAAGATGTTAGTTATATAATGTACTGTGAAATTCAGGAATGTTTGTATTTTAATATAGAATCTGAAAATGACAGTTCTTATATGAACTTCAGATGCCATAACACCAAAGTGGGAAATATATTGGTGAGCAGAGGGAGTGTGCTGCCAAGCAAGTCACACTGTAGGGGCAGCTGCTGCCCATTTTACTCACACATAAGGCCAGTCTTGCCAGAAATCTGTTAAATTTAAAACACAGGCTGTTGAGATATTCTAGTATATGTAATTTAAAGTCAGACACTTTATTTCTGAAATGTCTTCAATAACCATTATTTTCTTATATTGCTCCTTTGGAGGGTGGAGGACAACTTTGCCAGAAAGGTACATTATCAATGTTTCCAGTGATTTGTACCTGAAAACCTCTCAAAAATTTAGAAAGGAGAATCAAGGAAAGCTTTGTCTTTGGGCATGGCAGTTAAGAATCATTTGTAAGTTTCTGAAATTTGGAAAATTTGCAGTGTGGCTAATTTGAGACTGGAACATTCTGAGTTCATAATATCTAATCACATGTTCGTTCCAATAATTTATCTTCTTATATGCAAGATCTTCTTATTTTATTTATAGTTGATTTTGTCATTTGTATTAAGAAACCTCTTCTTTAGTTGCTAAAACTATGCTATTTTATTATAGTCTTTAATCATTCTGCTCCTCATTTCAATAAGTAGGAACCTGGCCGGGCGCGGTGGCTCACGCCTGTAATCTCAGCACTTCAGGAGGCTGAGGCAGGCGGATCATGAGGTCAGGAGATCGAGACCATCCTGGCTAACACGGTGAAACCCCGTCTCTACTAAAAATTCAAAAAAAATTATCCGGGCATGGTGGCAGGTGCCTGTAAGTCCCAGCTGCTCGGGAGGCCGAGGCAGGAGAATGGTGTGAACCCAGGAGGCGGAGCTTGCAGTGAGCCAAGATGGCGCCACTGCACTCCAGCCTGGGCGACAGAAAGAGACTCTGTCTCAAAAAAAAAAAAAAAAGAAAAGTAGGAACCTGTAACACATTTAAGCAAGAAAGGGAAAATGTGACAAATAAACAAGATATAAAATCATAACCCCAAAATTAGGTAAACTGGAGTAACAAAGTTATTTCCACAAAAATTTAATTGCTGTAATTCTCACAAAGTGGTTAAAATATTCTAACTGATATGGAGTCATTTATTTAGAAACTGGGACTTGAGATTTAGCATGTTTGCTTCTGTGTTAAGTAATGACGTTTGAATAATGAACAAGGAAATGCTAACAATCCTAAATCTTCACAGTTTTCTTTCCTATACCTTTCTCGTTGCATTCTAGTTGACCACTGAAAAACACACATACTATCTGACTGCAGATTCTCCCAATATATTGGAAGAGTGGATTAAAGTGTTACAGAATGTTCTTCGAGTACAAGCTGCCAACCCACTTTCCCTGCAGCCTGAGGGCAAACCCACCATGAAGGGATTGCTCACTAAGGTAGGAACCTCCTGTGCATAGCAATGTCCCAGGCAGCTATGGGCATGAGCCCATGATCGCTGAAAATGGGATGTCAGAGCATATACATATATTGAATATTGATATGATCTTGGGGATAGGAAAGGGTGTTTTTAAGTATGATGCCCAAGGCAAAAACTATAAAGATGAAAAGAAGACAAATTTGACTATAATATGTAAAAATGTAAAGGCTCTATTAAAAATTCTACGAGCAGAATTTTTAAAAGAAGGATTGAAAAACTTTGAAGAGGTATTTGAAACATGTGAAAACTGGTTAATATCATTAATATTTAACACGTTTTTTTCTAATCAGTAAGCAAACAATGAACACCAATTGGGGGAAAAGGAACAAAAGACTCAATGGGCAGGAAAGAGAGATCATCGAGGTTAGAAGGAATACAAATGATCAATAAGCATATGGAAAAACATTTTACTGTCACTCAATTTTTTTAAAAGCACAGATTGAAATAAGAGGTGGCACTTTTTAAAATCTGGTGAAAAGTAAGACGTTTTTACAAATTTTGAAACCTAGTATTGACACAGATTAAAAAATCTGCTAGTTTCTGCAATTACATAGGCAGTAGAAAAAAAAAGAAATCTGCTAGTGAGAGCATTACTCTAAAAGGCAGTTTGGCAATATCTTGGCTGAAGTGTTAACTTAGCCAATAATTTTGAGTGAACAAATCAATATCAAATCAACACACACACACACACACGCATATATATCTCCTTTGATCCAGCAATCTCAGTTTTAAAAATTTATCCTTAGGAAGTGGTCTTAATTTGCAAAAGATTTAATTATGAGATGTTCCTCACAGCATGTTTTTTTTCCTATTTTAAAAAATGAGGTATGATTAATATATCTGAAATGCACAGATCTTAAGTGTAGAGTTTGACTAGTTTTGAAAGCTATTTACTTTTGACTCTATCAAGATGCAGAACATTTCCATTACCCCAGAAAGATTCCTTGCACAGCATGGTTCATAATAAAGAAAAATTGGGATCAAATTAGATGTAGGGTAAGGTATAGCTTTAAAAAATGTTTGTACAACCATATAATGCTTTACTATGCAGCCTTTTAAATGTTGTAAAAGAATATCTAATGCTATAGAAATATGATGTATTGTTAGGTAATAAGTAGAGTGCAGTATTACATTATTATACCTTATTTGTTGTAAGTATTTATAGAAAAATGTCTGGGAAATATACCAAAGTATATTGGTTATCTCTGTGATTTTATTTATTTTTGCTTAATTCTGTTTTTTTTTTTTTTACAATGAGTAAGTATTGACTTAATATTATTTTTAAGTTTTAAAAAGTCCTATTGGTCACTTTTTGAAAAATACAACAAAATATGTATACACACATAATCACTCCTCATTCATGTACTCTGATTATGTAAGAGGTGGAAAATTAGATGGAAAGTAACTATGCTACTGTGTAGTTTATACTTATTATTAATGTGGGAATGTAGGTGGGTGTTATTCCATAATATTTAAAAAGACTGACCAACTATAGCAAAGGTAAAACTTAATTCACTATTGCATTAAACAAAGAAATATACTATGTACTATGTTTTTTCTAAAATACGACTGTGAAAATGTTTTCTTAGTTACTGATGGGTTAGGGAACAAAATATTTGCACAATACTTTTCCAGTGAACACACTGCTACTTTAAATCACATTCTTACTATAATTCATAATAATGAGCTATGCTCTTGTTTCAAGGACCTCATATGCATATCAAACCCTGAGAGTTTAAGATGATCCCATGGCTAAGGGTTTATTACTTCCCCCACAATTAGGATTTTGTTTGCTTGCTTGTTTTTACTTTATCAGCAAGGCATGTCAGTTTCTGCTCCTATAACATTTCTGCGATTCTCCACTTCCCATTTCACAATTGCATTTTAAATGAGTATGAGTCGATGGGATTCTCAGATGACTAAATCATTAGGGTTTATAGCCAGGATGCTTATTAAGTTTCCTTCCTGCCATTTGTGCTTGTCCACCCCCATATTTTCACCCTTAGAACCTTATGAGAGAACAGCTTCCCTCAGTTATTCTGAGTGACTTGTTCTGAGCTCACATTCAGGCTGCAATATGAGATACTGTCAAATTGCATTTGAATACCTTGGAGGGGAGGAAGTTTTCTCAGGTTGTCACATTGTTTTTATTAAGTACAGAATAATATAGGTAGATGCTAAGAACTTGACTAATTTGATTCTAGACAGTCACTCTTGCAATTTTTATTTTAATGCTTAGGAAAAACATTTTCTATATAAAAATTCAGTTCTTTAAAAAACGAAAATGTATTACGCAGTTACCACATGCAGCACAATGTGCTGAAAGATACTAAGATGAATAGGCCACTGTCCCATTCCTCAGAGAGCCTCATAATCTATTAAAAAAGAGGGAGACAAAAGCTTATTTACAATGATATAAAGTACAATTATTGAGATGTGTCAGTAATGACTTCTGAGAGAAGATTTACCTGTGCCGAGTCTTCAAGGAGGAGTAGGAGTTAGTTATACCAAGTGGGAATGGGTGGAGGGGTGGTACTCTAGGCTAGGAGACAGCGCGAATGAAGGCTTAGAGTCTTGAAGCAGTGGCTTATGCCTGTAATCCCAGCACTTAGGGAGGCTGAGGCAGGCAGATCACCTGAGGTCAGAAGTTCGAGACCAGCCTGACCAACATGGTGAAAACCCGTCTACTAAAAATACAAAAATTAACCAGGCATGCTGGCGGGCACCTGTAATCCCAGCTACTCGGGAGGCTGAGGCAGGAGAATCGCCTGAACTTGAGAGATGGAGGTTGAAATCAGCTGTGATTGCAATGTTGCACTCCAGCCTGTGCGACAAATGAAACTCCGTCTAAAAAAAAAGAAAAAAAGAAAAAAAAAATCTCGAAGCAGTGCCAGCTGCACTAGGAACAAGTCCTTTGGAGAAAAAGCTAGAGGGGCCTATGGATGGTGGAAAGCTATTTTTGTCTTTTTAAGGACTTTGGTCTTTATCCTGAAGGATATTTGAAACCCTGCAGGGTTTGTAACAGGAGCATGGGCATATTCATGTTGCTAACAGATTACTCTGCTAAGAGGAAGATGAATCAGTGGGAGGCAAGGTGGAGGTTCTAAGAACAGTTAAGGGAGTGGTTCCTATGAAGAGGATGAAACTCTGAAGGGGTTACAGGAAAAGAGAGGAGAGGATGAATTTAAATAATGGTAAGAGGTAAAATCTTTAGTTTGATTGAATTTGGGGTTAGGAAGTAGAAGAGATAAAGATGCCTGGTAGAAAGATGATAGCAGATAAGAGAGAGCTCAGGAAAGAGGAGCAGTTTTAGGAAGATTAGGTGATTTTGGAAGACATCAGGAGCTGGTAGGATGTCTTAGTTAAAAAGTCCAGCAGGCAGCAGACCACCAGTCTACATCGGAGAAGAGTGCTGGAGGGCTGGATTGGAGAGAAGGATTCGAGGAATCATCAGCATACATGTGGCAATTATGGGAAATTATGTAGGGCAGGGGAGAGCAGGGTAACACTTGTAAATTTAAGGGCACAGTAAGGAGATGTGTGCAGAGGTCTGAGAGTAATGCCTGTGACTGATCTAGTGTCACATGTGCTCAGAGAAGAAGGTACGTTGCCTTCAGTGGGTTGAAGGGTAAATGGGAGATTAATAAGTGAAGTATTTGAGTTTCAAGGACTATCTATACCTTTCAGTATGTTAGAATCAAGCTGGAGGGAACCTGGAGTCAGGAGAGGCATTTTTTAGGGTGGAAAAGATGTACCTTGAGTTCACAAACTAAGGGGAAGGCCCCTGGAAGAAGGGAGGAGGGGGATTAAAGACAAAGTCCAGAAGAAGTGGGTGGCTGGACATAGTGGGAAGGCACACTGGAAGGGCTGAAACTGGAGGAAAAGTGAGGAAGGGTGCAGAAAAGTATCTTAAGTTTGTAGGACATTGAGTGATATCATGTCTAATATCCTCAGTTTTCTTAATGAACATTATTCCGTACGACAATGTTATTTACTAAGAGTGGGGAAAAGGGTGGAGAATAATCATTCAGGAAAGTAGGATGTACCCAAGGATAAATAGAAGGCTTGGTAAGTATTATTGAAGGCCCACCAGACTTTCTGATTTGAGTTTTTATCGAATATTTTTCTCTAACATCTTCAGATGCCCAGAAAAAGGAGCAGAGAATTTACATTGTAGTGAAGTGAGGATAGTGGTTTTTTCTAACAGTTTATTATATAAATTTTCAAATATGCAAAAAAGCAGAATAATTTTACAGTGTACAACCATATGCCCATCACCTTGTTTCTACAATCAACATTTTACTTGCTTTACCACGTATCTTTCAAGATGATATTTGAAATTAATGTTTTATTATGGGCATTGCCAATGTATGTGAAAATAGAGGGAATAATATAATGAGCCCTCATATATTCATCATCTAGTTTCAACAGTTATTAATTATGGCTAATATTATTTCCTATAACCATCTGTCTCTTGTCACATTCTTCACTAGATTATTTAAAAGCAAATGGAATTTTGTTGAGTGGATTTGTTAGAAGCAAAGGAATACAGCATAATCACAGGCCCTGGAGCAAGAGTTGTTTCGTGATCAAACATGGAAACCCAAGTTGGCAGAGAAGGACATGGGGCCAGGAGGGGACTGATAAGCTAGAATAAAATGGAAGGATCAAGGGGCTTAAAATTATGAATGAGGTAAAGAACAAGAGTGTGGGCCAAGCATGGTGGCTCATGCCTGTAATCCCAGCACTTTGGGAGGCCAAGGTGGGAGGATCACCTGAGGTCAGAAGTTTGAGACCAGCCTGGCCAACATGGTGAAACCTTGTCTTCTCTAAAAATACAAAAATTAGCCGGGCATGGCAGCACATGCCTGTAATCCCAGCTATTCAGGAGGCTGAGACAGGAGAATCACTGAAACCCAGGAGGCAGAGGTTGCAGTGAGCCAAGATTGTGCCACTGTGCTTCAGACTGGGCAACTGAGTGAGACTCCACCTCAAACAAACAAACAAACAAACAAACAAACAAACCCAAGAATAGGAGTGTGGTAAGTGAGAGGGGGAGGGAAGTGGGAGGAATTGGGAGGAAGTTGTGATCAGAGAATAGAAAGTAAATTGCAGAAGTGGAGCAGTTCCCAGTGAAGGAAAAAGGATTAGGGTATGGCTGAGGGGATGGGTGGCAAAAGTGGAGGGACAGCAAAGGTTACTGGAAGTGAAGAGAGCAAGGTTGTGGAGACAGTGTGGCCAAGAGGCAAGGGCAAGGATGGGAACAAGACTGCCTGGGCACAAGTCCTGGCTCTGCCACTTACCACCTGTGTGACCTTGAAGAAGTTACTTACAGGCTCTGTGCCTTAGCATCCTCACCTATAAAATGGGGATAATAATAGAGCCAACCTCACAGGGTATTGGGAGGATTAAGTGAATTATTTAAACATATAAATTGTGTTAGAACAGTGCCTGGCACATCATAAACACACCAAAAAATGCTAGCTATTATCATCCAAGAGTTTCACCTTGATAGTGAAGTCAGCAAGGCTGGTGGCAGGATTTGTGGTGGAGAATGCTACAGGGATGGGCTTATGGGGAAGGAGAGAATACCATAGGGGCTTATGGTTTGTGCAGTGGCAAGGGCTAATTGGGATATGATATACTGTTTGTCTTCAAGATTTCAAACAAAACCAATAGAAACTACCTTTGTCATGGAAGCATGGTAAAAAATTATTCTTTTAATTAGATCACCTTGAGATTTGAGGTTGCCTTTAAATTTTCGTGAGGATTCTTCCAGTATAATTTGTTTTCTAGTTTTTTAAAGAGTAAGTCAGAGATTTAAGAAATTCTAGGCCAGGCACAGTGGCTCACAGTGGTAATCCCAGCACTTTGGGAGGCCGAGGCGGGCAGATCACAAGGTCAAGAGATTGAGACCATCCTGGCCAACATGGTGAAACCCTGTCTCTACTAAAAATACAAAAATTAGCTGGCCATGGTAGCACGTGCCTGTAGTCCCAGCTGCTTGGGAGGCTGAGGCAGGAGAATCACTTGAACCCAGTAGGCGGAGGTTGCAGTGAGCTGAGATGGCGCCACTGCACTCCAGCCTGGGTGGCAGAGCGAGACTCCGTCTCAAAAAAAAAAAAAAATTCTAATACAAGATTTATGTATAAAGATAGATTGTTAAAACACAGCTTTTACAGTGAATTGGCAAAGGTCTTCATTAATTTGCATTTCTTCGAAGGCATACATTGTTCTCTTTTAAAGATAAATCATTTCAGAAGTACACTGTCTATAGCCAGATGCATTATACTTCAGTTTTTATGAGACTTCTTTCTGAAGATTGTTTGAAGAAGAAAAGAAAAAAACACCCCACACAGCGCTATTTAAAGCTTCCAGGATATTTGTCTGTAAATATGTTTCTAAATTTAATTAAATTGAAACATGTCTCAAATGAGACATTTTTTGTTTTCTCTCAAACAGCATTCTAAATCCATCAAACCGTTAGGTGGTGGAGTTACTCATTTGCTTAAACCACAGCTTTGAAAGCCCAAAGGCTGACTGGGTTTATGAGTTTAAAAGAAAATGTGTTTTACTTTTTATTCATAGTGAGGACGGAAGCATTTATTGAGTAACTACTGTCATCCTTTATTTACATTTTCTCATTTGGTTCTCACAACAGCCCAGTTGTGAGCCTCTGCACTCTTGATGAAAATATTTAACATACTGCTGATTTAATTGTCTGTCTTCTTCACAAGGCTGTGAGTTCCCGAGAAAGAGACTGTATCTTGTTCAAATCTGTTACTCCAGGGCCTATATCACTTACTGACTATTCAAAGTTAAGAGCTAGATTCAAATTCTGTCCCAGTCACTTAACTTAGTACCTGATATACAGGAGGTACTCAATTTACAGTAATAGCTTTTAACATTATTTTATTACTTTGTATGATTACTTCTAAGAAGGCATCAAATGTTTTTGAATGAATGAATCTTTTACATTTGGGAAATTACTAGAATTCTTCAGGTTTTCATCTTCTCACTTCTTTTTTGTTTTTGAGACGGAGCCTGCTCTGTCGCCCAGGCTGGAGTACAGTGGTGTGATCTCTGCTCACTGCAAACTCCGTGTCCCGGTTTCAAGCAATTCTCCTGTCTCAGCCTCCTGAGTAGCTGGAACTACAGATGTCCACCACCACGCCTGGCTAATTTTTGTATTTTTAGTAGAGACAAGGTTTCCCCATATTGGTCAGGCTGGTCTTGAACTCCTGACCTCAGGTGATCCACCGCCTCGGCCTCCAAAGTCCTGGGATTACAGGCGTGAGCCACCGCGCACAGCCTTCATCTTCTCACTTCTAATGTTAGAGTGTTAACCTAGAGAGCCACAGGGCTATTGGAAATCTGTGAAATGTGGAAACTATGAAATATACTGGTGAAATTGTACTTTCTCTTTTTTTATGTTAATGCATTCATGGGGTACAAGTGCAATTCTGTTACATGCATTGACATTAGAGTGTTAACCTAGAGAGCCACATGGCTATTGGAAATCTGTGAAATGTGGAAACTATGAAATATACTTACTGGTGAAACTGCACTTTCTCTTCTTTATGTTAATGCATTCATGGGGTACAAGTGGAATTCTATTACATGCATTGATTGCATAGTGATTCTGTCAGAGCTTTTAGGATACCCATCACTCGTAATAACATACATTGTACCCCATTACATAATTTCCCATAATCCACCCCTCCACTCCCTTCTTTATCCATCTGTGAAACCTCAGTCCTAGGCATAGTGTTTGATGCATAGTAAACATTCGTTGTATGTTGAATGGTGAGCACCAAAGCAAAACTTGCCATTCTACTACTGTTAACAGGTAAATCTTTTTTTTTTTTTTTACAACTTTTATTTTAGATATAGGGGGTGCACGTGCAGGTTTGTTACATGTGAATATTGCATGATGCTGAGGTTTGGAGTACAGATCCCATCACCCAGGTAGTGAGCATAGTACCCGATAGGTAGCTTTTTAACCCAGCCACCCCGGTGCCCTCTACCCTGCTAGTCCACAGTGTCTATTGTTTCCCTATTTATGTCCATGTGTGCTCAATGTGTGACAGGTACATCTTAAACAGCACTGGACAATCTATTTGGAATATCACTTATATCTGGGCAAACTGGATGCCTATAGAAACTCAAATAGGGTGTATAAGCTATAATTTAAGGTGTCAGAGTTCTGGGCTAAACTTGTAATTCATTGAAATATGGTTTCAGGTAAAACATGGATATTCCAAGAGAGTCTGGTGTACACTAATAGGAAAGACATTATATTATTTTCGGAGTCAAGAAGATAAGGTATGTATGTATTTTTAATATGCCAATTGAAGTAACTTTTTGTGTGTTAGGGCTTAAACTTTTCCTTTTCTCTCTTCTCTTACTTTGTAAAACTTCAGAATCTTTATGAGGTTGAAATTTGGTATAATTTGGTGCAACTGAGAAAATCACACAAAGGTCTATCACCTACACCTACAAGGGTCTTGATTCTTAATTACAAGCCTTAGCAACTTTTAATTAATGCATCTTCTAAGACCTAGAACAGTCTTCTTCTATTCCCTCCCCACAACCATCAGTTTCTTATATTTTCCCAGGTTCTTACAGACCAGATAAGGTTGATAGAAGGAAGCAGCAAGTTAGGAAAGAAAACCTAAAAAGGAAAAGGAATCTATTTCTGTCCCAAGCCCTCAAATTCCCGAATACCGCTTATCTACCCATCCATCTGCCTGTTTATATTCTGTTTATTAATGTTTAAACTAATCCCCTCCCCAAAAGAATCTGAATTATTTTAAATTTCAGAATAAAAAGATGGGGTGTCTGCCCAAAGGTAAAACGCATGCCCAGTCATCATTATGGGTATTCTGTGTCACCTTTGGATAACTGAAGCTATAAAAATTGAACCAACATGGGCCACGAGTACTTGTATAACATAATGATGACTGCTCCTCTGAAGAGCAGCCTGTGACTGTTACTGTGTTAATGAGACTAAACTTCTTGGTCTAGTGACCACATGGGACAGTTAGTATTTCTCCTTCCCTTTTGATAGCCTACACTCTCAGGTCTGACCAGCTGTATTTAAAATACATGCCGTTATACTCAGTGTTGCTAATGGGGTAGAGATTAACGCAGTACAGCCATTAAAAACAATACTGAGGCCAGGCATGATGGCTCATGCCTATAATCCCAGCACTTTGGGAGGCCAAGAGGTGGGAGGATCGTTTGAGCCCAGGAGTTTGAGACCAGCCTGGACAACATAGTGGGAACCTGTCTCTACAAAAAATTTAAAAATTAGCTGAGTGTGGTAGTGTGTGCCTGTAGTCCCAACTACTAGGGAGATCAAGGTTGGAGGCTCACTTGAGCCCAGAAGGTGGAGGTTACAGTGAGCTGTGATTCGCACCATTGCATTCCAGGCTGGGTGACAGGATGAGACCCTGTCTCAAAATAAACAAACAAACAAACAATCTCTGAAGTAGTGTGGGAAAATGCCGACATACAAATGCTACCCGAATATGTACAATACAAAATTGTGCTGTCAATGTAATCCTAACTCATCAGTCAGGAAAACAGAAGCCACTGTACGTGTTACAGGTGTAAAAGATCTAATGCCACCCTAGGCAACATAGCAAAACCTAGTCTCTACTAAAAAAAAAAAAAAAAATTAGCCAGGCATGGTGATGCATGCTTGTAGTCCTGGCTACTTGGGAGGCTAAGGCAGGAGGATTGCTTGAGCCCAGGAGATTGAGGCTGCAGTGAGCTGTGATCATACCACTGCATTCCAGCCTGGGCGACAGAGTGAGACCCTATCTCAAAAAAAAAAAAAAAAATGTTAATATAGAATTGTGGACATACGTAAATATTAGAGAAGTTTTATAACTTACATAACTTTTAGAAAAGTTGTATGGGAGTGGTAAAAGTTAGGGAAACTGCCAATGAAGGTCAGAGAAGACAACACTGAAGATTTCTGGCCAAAGGACTGAAGGCAGCTGGTCCTCGAGGCTTCACTGGGAAGCTTCAGTGAATCTTACATGAGCCCCAACATCAGCCACCGTAGTCCCAGGAGAATAACAACTCTTCTACCCTCTCCTTCTAAACTTCAAGTAGATTCTCTCACAGGAAACTCTAACTGGGAACCATAACAGGGAAGGAGGTTCTGGCAAATACAGTTCCCAATTTCTCTGTAATTATGAGATCTTAGAGGATGGTGATTGGAAGGCCAAGTTTATAAATCTCAGTCTGACACATCTAAATAAAATAATTATCTGTGATCACAGTAATATGGATGGTTTCTTTCTTTTTAAAATCCTTTCCATACTTACCAAGTTTCTGTAATAAGCATGTGTTTTTATAAATAGAAAAATAATTTAATAAAAATGGATAGCATTGATCACAGAAGAAACAAGTCAGAAGAATGGATACATAAACAGAAATCCATTATAACAACTGGAAAAGTATTGAGAATATATGTGAATCATTATAGGCCTACTTCATTTTTTGCTATAAATATTTCCAAAAGAATTTGCTTTTAATCTGTATCAATGTCTTTTTTTATTAAATCAAAATATTTGAAACCACTAGGTCTGTTTGCTGCTTATCAAGGCATGGTGCATCCTTTGGTAAAATGAATAACCATCTTTAAATATTAGGGTGGATGAAACCTAGATTTTCATATCATTGTGCCTAAAGTACACAATTAGGTTAGTATTGTTATGTATTATCATAGTATTAATAGAATTTGTTTTCTTCATCCTATTATTAAAAGCTTGCTTTTTAGGAGAGGCGAAATTTTACCTCTACTTTCTTAGGGTTTTTGGCAGGCCTGAGAATTAAATTCACATTAAGACAGATTACAGGAGAAACATATACATTTATTTAAGTTTTACATCACAGAGGAGCCTTCCTAAGGCAATGAAGACTCCAAGACATAAAGGTGAACACTTATACACCAAACTGGACAAAGTGTAGTAAATTGTGAAAATGTGACAAGGCAAAGAGACTTGGGCTGGGGTAGTTACTTGGGTGGAGAAGTGAGGAGGAAGATAAGATTAAGTTTAACAAGGGTTGTTTGTATAACTTTCCCCAGGCTTCGGCTTCCCATCTTGACAAGAATCTTACTTTCCTTCTGGTAAAGGGAGGATATCTTTCATATAGGCGTTATGAAAGGCAGGTTCCCTCCTGCCTTTGGGAAGAAAACGCAGAGGGTCAGAACACCCTTCTTGCACCTGCTGCTTTTAAAAATGCCTTTAGTTCAAAATAACCCTTATGCCAAAGTGATATCTGTTGGGGTGGCAGATTCTGCCACCCTTCAGCTTTTGCTCTGAGTGAGATGACAAACAACTGGAGGGCTTTGAGCGGAACAGGGACATGATCTTGCCTGTGTCTAACAGGCACACGCCGACTGCTGATTAAGAATAGACCGGAGGGAATAAGGAGGAGATGGGTTAGGAGCCATTGCAGTAATCCAGGTGAGAGGGGATTGTGGTTTAGTGGTGCTGTGGACATGTGAGAGATGAACAGATTCTAGATAGATTCTGAAAGTCTTGTTGACAGGATTTATTGACTGAAAAGTCAGTATGAGAGACTGCAATGATGCCAAGGTTTTGGGTGTTAATAGCTATTAATAGAAAAGTAACATTGCCAACAACTTGAGATGGGGAAGACTGGGCAGAGCAGGTTGTCAAGGAGGACTTACCAAGGTAAGTCTGAAATGCTGTTAAGTTTGAAATGCTATCCAACATCTAAGTAGAGTTAGTGAGTCTGGAGTTATAAATTTGGGAGTAGCTAACATGCTGGTATTAAAGCCATGAGCTTAGATGAGGTCACCCAGAGAGTGAGCATAGATGGAAGAAGGGCTCCAGCACTGAGCCCTGAAACTTAGCATGTAAACGTGTGAGGTAAATATCCTTGTAGTTAGAATGAACTTTTTCAAAACTCCAATTGCAAACTTGGCCAAATATTTTAGAAGTTATAAATCTGATGCAGACCGTGTATTTTCCTGGAATAAAGGTACTAAATTAGAGCAAAAGTTTTACAACAGATAGGCCAAATATTCAACACACCAGATATAGTTGGTTTTGTCAATAAAAGCTTAGATAAAATTTAATATAAATTGGCTTTAGGAAGTTTTTCTTACCCTTAAGATGGAGAAATTCATGGTATTGTTTTGTGATATATAACAAAGAGCCTTGGAATGCTCCTCCTTTACTGGCATTTGGGATGATAGTTCGTTTTGCACTACCTATCTAATCTTGTTATTTTTTCTAGGAACAATATTTTTCTTTTCAATAAGCAGTTTTGAGACTATGTATACACTTGTCCTTTTGATCCAATAACTTAATCAAATTGCTGATCAATTCTGTGGGATAAAAAAGTCAAATGACTGTTTTGGTGAATTATGACTAGTTGCTTAACTAAATAATGGGTCATTTTGAAGCAGCCTCATTGTCTGGGGTAAATACCAAAGTTCTTGTTCTCAAGGACAAGGAGATCTGGGTCATGGACACACACAGACAGAGTGAGTTTAGAGCAGGAGTTTAGTAGATAGTGCAAAAGGAAAGAACACCTCTCCATCACAGAGAAGGGTCCCGAGTGGGTTGCCAATTTGTAGTAAAGATGTCAGGGTTTTTATAAATGGGCTAGCGAGGAGGGAGCTTGTAAGGAGGGGATATCTTATCCTCCTGATGGTTTAGTTGGAACCAGGTGTGCTATCTGTACAGAGCAGAGTTTTTTTTATCAGCTCTGTCTCATTCCGTAACCACATAGGCTGACTGTTAGTCTGTGTTTCTTTGTCCTGCTTATCTGGGAGGGAGAGTTTGTGTTTGTTGCCATCTTCTTGCAGCTGTAGGCACCCCCTCTAGTCTGCTTTTAGCTTCTCTATCTTAGTGTGTCCAAAGGGAAAAGAATGTGCTTATTAAGGCCCACTGTTTTATTGGGGGGCCCATTGTACAAGTGTGGAGTTTGGTAATTACCCAGGAGACCTTCCCCCCTCCTTCTGTGCCGAAGCTGTCTTATCTGTGTTTCACTGTCTGCTCTTTCAGGCTGCTTGTTGTTAGAAGAGAAGTGATTTCCTTGAACTGCCTGGGGTTAGAAAAGGAGCTATCTTTGAGCTGCGTTTTTAAAAAGGAAAGTTTTCTGCTGGGGACTTGCTTTACCCTAACTGTCTATCTAAATAATTTCTTTCTGCCTCCTATAAGAATTTTAGTACAGCTGAATCATCTGAACTACTGCATAAAAGTAGCATCTTGTTTTTTCCTCAGAAGTTAAATCTCTAATATGTATATGGTTCTTTCATATTACTTTTAGGCTCTTTGGTTGTTGCCACTACTTTTGTTACACTGTGGATAATCAAATTGCCTCTAGGCATCATTTTTAAAAAGGTATGTTATACTGATGCGGTGGCTCACGCTTGTGATCCCAGCACTTTGGGAGGCTGAGGCAGGAGGATTCTTTCAGCCCAGGAGTCTGAGACTGGCCTGGGCAATGTAGCAAGACCCTATCTCCAAAAAAAAATCATTTTTTTTTAATTAGCTGGGCATGGTGGCATGTGCCTGTAGTGCTAGCTATTTGGGAGGCTGAGATGGAAGGATCCCTGAAGCCCAGGAGTTCAAGGTTACAGTGAGGTTACTGATTGCGCCACTGCACTCCAGCCTGGGAGACAGAGGGAGACCCAACCCTGTCTCAAAAAAAAAAAAAAAAGGAAAATAAAAAATAAAGTAAAATTTTTAAAGGTATGCTTTATAAATTTAAAAATGAAAAGGACTATGAAATGTTTTAGTAGGAAAAGATTTAGAAAATGCCTTCCTCACAATTACTAATATTTACTTTAGTTTCCTTTAGGTCAGATCAAACTCTGGGAGGCTAAAGTGGAAGAGGTTGACAGATCTTGTGATTCAGATGAAGATTATGAAGCCAGTGGACGAAGTCTGTTATCCACACATTATACTATCGTTATCCATCCCAAAGACCAAGGTCCAACTTACCTCCTAATTGGATCCAAGCATGAAAAGGTATTCAAAGACTTATTGGTTGATTTAGAATGATGTAGACTAATATTATTCAGATATTGGTAATAATTATCAAATCAATTTAATGGAAATAAGGAAGAAAATTTTGCTATAGACTTTCACCTCTGTTTTCAGAGATTCTTTACCTCCCTGGAAATGAGCCTCGTTCAAATATGTCATTTTCTAATCCTGTTGGTAAGAGTGGTATCAAGGCTGAAATTAGTGCGTGGAAGTGGAGGGCTAAAGGAACTTATGTTAAAAATGTGGATCTCTCAGATTGAACATTTTTTGGTAAATCTAAGGACTCTGTTTTATATTTTTGACTAATTTTTAATAAAATTTGGCCTTAGATACAGTAGAAAATTAATTATTTTATGTATTATATGTACATGTAGTCATTTATGATAAAGGAGGTATCACAAATTAATGGGGAAGTAATATATCATTCAATACATATGATTATGTATTTCTTATATATTGAGGAAATTGGCTACTTAGGAAACATTAGTTTTTCATCTCATACAGATAGCAAAATAATTTCCAGATTATTATTTTCATCTCATACAGATAGCAAAATAATTTCCAGAATTTAAAGAGTTAAAAGAATTCAATGAAATTATTTTTTAAAAAGGCCTTTATCTGAGTTCTGAATCAGAAGTACTTTCTAAGAAAACAAAAGGGCGGGCTGGGTGCGGTGACTCACGTCTGTAATCCCAGCACTTCGGGAGGCCGAGGCGGGTGGATCACAAGGTCAGGAAGATCGAGACCATCTTGGCCAACATGGTGAAACTCTGTCTCTACTAAAATACAAAAATTAGCCAGGCGAGGTGGCGTGTGCCTGTAATCCCAGCTACTTGGGAGGCTGAGGCAGGGGAATCGCTTGAACCCAGGAGGTAGAGGTTGCAGTGAGCTGAGATCGCACCACTGCACTCCAGCCTGGCGACAGAGCGAGACTCCGTCTCAAAAAAAAAAAGAACAAAAACAAAAAGGCAGTGTAAGAAATCAGAGTGCAAATGGTTGATAGATTTGACTATACAAAATTGAAATAATTATTTATGTCAAATATTATCATAAATATGACTAAAAAGATAATACAGAAAACAAAATATTTCATGGATGGCTACTGTATCCTTAACATATAAACAACTCTTTATAGATTATTATTGTTACTATTGATCATTGTTTTTGAGCACATGTATCAGGCCAAGTGCTAAGTATATCTCTTCTTCATCCTTCCAATTACCCTCTGTGGGAGGTGACCTTATTCCCATTTATAGATGGAAAGACTGAAGCACTTTCCTGTGGTCACACATCTGGCAAGAGGCAGAGTTGATATTAGACCCCTATCTCTAACCACAGAGCCTGTGTTCCTGAACACTTGCCTCTGCTACCTCTCATATGATTTGAAAAGGACTATGTTTCTAGTAGAAAAATGGAAAGAGGGCCTGATGAACAACTTACTGAGGAATTTAATGGCTAATGAATGCTTACGCTCATCTGTAATCAAAGATGCGCACATTTAAAAATGATAAAGCTTTTATTGTCTCTGAGATTATCAAAGATTTAAAAAATTATGCTAGTGAAGCTATGAGGAGGGAAGCACTCCTATATACCACTGGTGAGAATAGAAATTAGTGTAAATGCTTTGGAAAGTACTTTGAAAATATGTTTCAAGAGTTCCTAAAAGTTTTCTCGCCCTAGTAATGACTCATAATTCTATTTCAAAAAATATATACTAAGAAAATGTTGGCCAGGCACTGTGTCTCACGCCTGTAATCCCAGCACTTTGGGAGGCCGAGGCAGGTGGATCACCTGAGGTCAGGAGTTCGAGACCAGCCTGGCCAATGTGGTGAAACTCCATCTCTACTAAAAATACAAAAAGTAGCTGGACGTGGTGACAGGTTCCTGTAATCCCAGCTACTTGGGAGGCTGAGGCAGGAGAATCACTTGAACCTGGAGGCAGAGGTTGCAGTGAATCGAGATCGCGCCATTGCACTCCAGCCTGGGTGACAGAGCAAGACTCTGTCTCAAAAAAAAAAAAAAAAAAGAAAGAAAAAGAAAATGTTAGTAAATGTAGCCAAAAATTTATGTATAGTTTGTTCAACACAATACTCTTTTTTTTTTTTTTTTTAAAACAGAGTTTCACTCTGTTGCCCAGGCTGGAGTGCAGTGGCGTGATCTCGGCTCACTGCAACCTCCGCCTCCTGGGTTCAAGAGATTCTTCTGCCTCAGCCTCCCGAACAGCTGGGACTACAGGCATGCACCACCATGCCCAGCTAATTTTTGTATTTTTAGTAGAGACGGCGTTTCACCATGTTGGCCAGGCTGGTCTCAAACCCCTGACCTCAGATGATCCACCCGGCTTGGCCTCTCAAAGTGCTGGGATTACAGGCATGAGCCACCGTGCCCGGCCTACAATACTCTTTTTAAAATAATTTTATTTTTGAAGTATTTTAAAGATGGAAAATATAACATTTCCTTTTCAGTTAACAGATGATAGCTGTCACAGTATTTTTTATCAGTGAGAAGTTAGTAACCATCATAATGTTCAGCAATAAGAAATTGATTAAATAAATATGGTGTGTCCATATGTGTAGTAGAATATCCTGCAGCCATTAAAACTTGTTTATAAAGAATTTCTAGCAACAAGGGAGTGCTTGTACTATATTACTAAAATTCAGAAATTATCCTCTACTTTCAGAATAATTCAACTATGTAAAAATTTAATCTACATATATATTATCATAGAGAAAAAAAGACCAGGAATCTTTGGTGAATGGGATAAGACGGGTATTATGTTTTCTTTAAATTTTCTGGATTTCCAAAATATTCTGTATGTATCACTCTGGGAGCCAGATTTTTAATTTAATAGAATTTATTTATTTTGTAAAAGAATATCAGCTGGTTGTATTTAGTCTCTTAACATGTGTTACTCGTCTTAATTTTGTCATGCTTTTCTAAAATGCATCTGAATAAGAAAAGTGTAAATAATGGGAAAAGGTAATATAAACACAGTTCAAGTGAGCATGCCTCAGAATTGTTTGAATAAATGGCTTTTCATTATTATTTAAAAATTAAAGCAAGTGGTTCATTTCCATCTCAAAGTTTTCTACTGTTTATGCAAGTTGTTTTTTTTTCTTTAATCAAAACTGTGTCTTAACATTTAATTAATATGTTCTGGTTTTAAGGACACTTGGCTTTATCATCTGACTGTTGCAGCTGGAAGCAACAATGTAAACGTTGGATCTGAATTTGAACAACTGGTTTGCAAATTGCTAAATATAGACGGGGAGCCTTGTAAGTTCATAAACATATAAATAAAGCTTTATGGTTAATGAAATGGACCTCAACCCGCTTAGCCTAATGGAGTTTTCACTTAATGGGTTCCTGTTTCCCTGAAATATACCCACCTTTTCATTGCCTTTGCTCATCATGGGAGAGAATTCTGTCTGTGGCTCTTTGGCTGCAGGGACACCATCATTCCTCATTAGTCTGTGTCAGGTCACCTCCCTCTGCCTTTGCTTCCACTGCTCCTCTGCTTGGAATGCCCCCTTCGTTGGCAGTCCTCACCAACATAATGAAACCCCACCTAGCCTTAGGAGATCCCCCAGCCAGCCCTCTGCAGCTCAGCATCTGGCTCATAAAAGGTGCTTCATCAATGTTAAAATTATGTCCTAATGCGTTTTGTCACTTAATTCTTTTATAGCAAGCTTGGCCAACCTGCAACCCACAGGTGGCCTGTGGCCCCAGATGGCTTTGAATGTGGCCCAACACAAATTCATAAACTTTCTTAAAACATTACAAAATTTCTTTGTGAGTTTTTTGTTTTTAAGCTCATCAGCTATCATTAGTGTTTATATATTTTATGTGTGGCCCAAGACAATTCTTCTTCCAGTGTGGCCCAGGGAAGCCAAAAGATTTATAGCATTTGTAGTTTTGCATTGAAATTAAGTTTTTGTTTTGTTTTTGAGACGGAGTCTCACTCTGTCACCCAGGCTGGAGTGCAGTGGCATGATCTCCGCTCACTGCAACCTCTGCCTCCTGGGCTCAAGCAATCCTCCTGCCTCAGCCTCCTGAGTAGCTGGGACCACAGGCATGCACCACCATGCCCGACTAATTTTTGTATCATTGGCAGAGATGGGGTTTCTTCATGTTGCACAGGTTGGTCTCGAACTCCTGAGCTCAAGTAATCCACCCACCTCAGCCTCCCAAAGTGCTGGCATTACAGGCATGAGCCACTGTGCCTGGCCTGAAATGAATTTTTATGGCTAAGGTTCCCCCACTGAGAGACTAGATTCTATCCTATGCTTTATACGCTAAGAGAGACCACATTTTATTTGCTGTGTCCAACACAGGAATTTAATAAATGTTGATTTTAGGAATGCCTTCAAGTTCCTCTTTATCTTTATATCTCTTTCTACTTTGGCTTCTCCTCTCTAGAGAAGTTCTAGATCTTTCCCCAGCTCTTTCTCATATATAGTCATGCCCCCTACCTAGGTCACCAATCTTTAGCACATTTAAGCAACGTGATAGTGCCCTGGTAGACTTATTGCAGCCTAGTAAATTAGGACCCAACTCTTCTAGATTATCCAAAACAGGAACATGTCTCACTCATAAATGGGAGCTAAACTGTGAGGATGCAAAGGCATAAGAATGACACAATAGACTTTGGGGACTGAGGGAAAGGGTGGGAAGGGGGTGAGGCAAATCAGTTTCAGTATATACTGCTTGGGTGATGGGTGCACCAAAATCTCACAAATCACTAAAGAACTTACTCATGTAACCACATACCACCTATTCCCCAAAAACCTATGGAAATTTTTAAAATTAAAAAAAACAAAACACAAAAAACAGTAACATGAGAATCCCAATGACCTGGCTACCAAAATAAAATAATGTTGCCAAAGAGTTTTTTTCTGACCTTTGTGACTTAAAGTTGTGAGCCAAGCCTGAATGAGCTAATGTCTAAAGGATTAATTTAATAAGAGGCCACAATAAGTGGTTTATTCAGTTTTCTGTTCATATTTTATTCTGCATTTAGCCTCTCAGATATGGAGACACCCCACTTTGTGTCACAGTAAAGAAGGAATCATTTCCCCTCTGACAACTCTACCTTCCGAAGCCCTGCAGACAGAAGCTATTAAATTATTTAAGGTAAAATATTTATATGTTGTTAAATGATTTAAGGTAAAATACTTATATGTTGTTAAATAATTGGAAAAAAATTAAAAATAACATTTTGGGTTACAAAATTTTACTCCAAGAAAATTCAAAATGTGTTTATTATTAAGAATATCATTGAAATAAAATTAGGTGAATTTCATATGCTTTCTTAGTGAGGATTTGGGATTTACTGAAATAAACTATTAATGTGTATGGTTTGGGCAATGTGAAATACTTGGTATCAGATGAATCATTTCCCCTTTAACCTCTAATTTTCCACATCACACCAGGCACAGCAATGGGAGAGGGGTCAGCACTCTCTCTCCTCTCTAGTGTTACTCTCAATTTCTTATTCCTCAATCTCTATTAGAAATCCCTAATCACTCAAAACTTGCCATGCAACTTCGCACTCTTTATCCTTCTATCCCTATCATCAGTTACCTTCCAGTAACTCTTCAGATTTCTTTAAGGGCCAGGTGTGGTGGCTTACTCCTGTAATCCCAGCACTTTGGGAGGCCGAGGAGGGTGGATCACCTGAGGTCAGGAGTTCAAGACCAGCCTGGCCAACATGGTGAAACCCCATCTCTACTAAAAACACAAAATTAAATGGGCATGGAGGCACATACCTGTAATCCCAGCTACTTGGGAGGCTGAGTCAGGAGAATTGCTTGAACCCAGGAGATGGAGGTTGCAGTGAGCTGAGATCACGCCACTGCACTCCAGCCTGGGCAACAAGAGTGAAAATAAGTCTCAAAAAAAAAAAATTATCAAAGAATTTTAGCTCCCAACTCACATTCTCTACCTGAAGTCTTGCAAATGACTCTTATCACTTCACTCACCAATGCCATGATTTTAAGTTTCTTGACCTTCTAAATTCCAGTAAGCTTCACCTCTGGCCTCCTTCATCATCCCATTTTCCATGTCCACACCTGACTTCACCATTCCTCACAAGTACGTCACATCTAAAAGCTTCAATTCGAACATCTCTTTCTTTAACCAGAATCCTAGCCTACAAGCTCTTATATTTTTTTACTCTTCCACTTTTTCTTCATCTCTAAGACCTTTGTTTTGAACCATTAGCTTTTTTTAAGATCATGATAACTGCGTCCTGGCTTTTCTTCCTTCCTTATCTAGTCTGGTTTGTTTCTATTAATTCTTGTAGTTCCTTGGGACCCATAATTCCATGTACTCTTCAGCCAGATCCCAACCTAGATCAGTGCTATGTTTTCTGCTGCCAGTATAACCAGATGTGCAATGCTGCAGAGCATCAAACAGCCATGTAGTCTGACGCCAATAAAAATTCAGGGTCTTCCTCTCTCACAGCCAACTTTCTGCCTTGTGCTTGTCTTTGGTCACATCCCCCTCAAACTCTCTACTTAAGAATACAGCAGAGAAACTTACCTTCTATTTCACTGAGAAAATTAGAGGACATCAGACATGACATGACCACCTCAAAGCCCTCCCCTTGCAGCCGGGCGCAGTGGCTCACGCCTGTAATCCCAGCACTTTGGAAGGCCGAGGCGGGCAGATCATGAGGTCAGGAGATCGAGACCATCCTGGCTAACACCATGAAACCCTGTCTCTACTTAAAAAATACAAAAATTAGCCGAGTGTGATGGCATGCGCCTATAGTCCCAGCTACTTGGGAGGCTGAGGCAGGAGAATCACTTGAACCTAGGAAATGGAGGTTGCACTGAGCCGAGATCGCACCAGTGCACTCCATCCTGGGCAACAGAGCAAGACTCCATCTCAAAAAAAAAAAAAAAAAAAAATCCCTCCACTTAATAGACAACCCTTTCTCCTCCACTCCTCCAGCCTCAGATAACGGTGGACCTTCTGTGTTTCCAAGTCTGGACTCTACACCAGGATCTTGGTACTTCATTTTTCCCTAGTCTCTTGGAGCTCCATCTCTTTCTTTTGGCTTTGTCTTGCCTAAGTTTCTCCCATCTCAAAAAATCTATTTGTTTATTAGATAATATGGAATTATTGTTATTTGTGGGGTCATGGATGGCTATAGAAAAAATCTTTATCAACTGGAGATCCAGCCTGAAGTATTTATTGGTAAAGTAGTATGATATACATTAAAATACTCCAGAGGAGAAAAAAGTAGAGGTGGGGAGGTGGTGAAGTTTGGAAAAATGCTGATAATTATTGACACTGGGTGATGGGTACATGGGTGATTATTATGCTGTTCTCTCTACTTTTATACATTTTTAAAATTTCTATAATGGAATGTTTAAAAATACCCACCTGTAGAGTACACCAATACCTAAAGCAAGAAAGACTATACAAGTATATTTGAAAATCTAGATGATGTGGTCAATTTTATAAGAAAATATAAATGACCAAAATTGATTCCACAGGAAAATGAAAATCTAAACAGAGGAGTTTACCAAACTTTACGTGTAGATAATTTCAATGCTGTTTAAATTGTCCCAAAGCATAGAAAAAGAAGGAACTTTTCTAAATTCAATTTTTTCTTTTACTTTTTACTTGGGACAATTTCCAACATATATGAGTAGAGAGAATATTACAATGAGGCCTAAAGTACTCATCTTTCAGATCTACAGTCATCAACACATGGCCAATTTTGTTTTATTCTCCCATTTCCCACTGCACCCTAACTTTGGATTATTTTGAAGCAATCCTCAGTCATTATATCACTATATTCTCTTTGTTAAATAAGTATTGCTTTCATATGAGAATGCAGCAAAGATTGAACAAAAATAATAAAATATTAGCAATTAGAATCCAGCATCATTTAAAGAATATTAAATCATTCAACTCAATAGCAAAAAACAAATAATCCAATTTTAAAATGGGCAAAAGATCTCAATAGACATTTCTCAAAAGAAGACATACAAATGGCCAACAAGTATATGAATAAATGCTAAGCATCGCTAATCATCAGGGAAATGCAAATCAGCATCGTAATGAAATATCATCTCACCCCAGTTAAAATGGCTGTTATCGAAAAGGCAGAAAATAACGAATGCTGTGAAGGATGCAGAGAAAGAGGAAAACTCATACACCATCGGTGGGAATGTAAATTAGTACAGCAACTTTGAAAAACAGTATGGAGGTTCCTCAAAAAACTAAAAATAGAACTACCATGTGATCCAGCAGTCTCACTGGGAGTATATCCAAATGAAAGTAAGTCAGTATATTGAAGAGATATCGGGATTCCTATATTTATTATAGCACTGTTCACAAGAACCGATATATGGAATCAACCTAAGTGTTCATCAGTAGATGAATGGATAATGATGGGCCGGGCCAGTGGCTCAGGCCTGTAATCCCAGCACTTTGGGAGGCCAAGGCAGCCAGGTCACTTGAGGCCAGGAGTTTGAGACCAGCCTGGCTAACATGGGGAGGCTGGTCTCTACTAAAAATACAAAATTTATTTTGTCTCTACTAAAAATACAAAAATTAACTGGGCGTAGTGGTGCATTCCTGTAATCCCAGCTACTAGGGAGGCTGAGGCACAAGAATCGCTTGAACCTGGGAGGTGGAGGTTGTAGTGAGCCGAGAGTGTGCCACTGCACTCCAGCCTGGGTGACAGAGCAAGACTCTGTCTCAAAAAAAAGAAAAAAATGTAGTATATATACACAATGGAATATTATTCAGCCATTACGAAAAACAAAGCCCTGTCATTTGCAACAACATAGATGGAACTGGAGAACATTATATTAAGTAAAATAAGCCAAGCACAGAAAGACAAATATCTTATGTTTTCACTCATAGGTGGGAGCTAAAAAAGTGGATCTCATAGAGGTAGATGGTAAAATAGAATGGTGGTTACCAGAGGCTGGGTAGTAGGGGGTGGAGGGATGAAAGGAGGTTGGTTAATGGGTACAAAAATACATTTATTTAAGAAGAATAAGTTCTAGTGTTCAACAGCACAGTAGGGCAACTATAGCTGACAAGGACTTAGAGTATATTTCAAAATACTTAGAAGAGAAGATTTGGAATGTTCCCAACACAAAGAAATTACAAATGTTAGAGGTAGTGGGTATCCCAATTCCCTTGATTTGATTATTACATGTTGCAGGCATGTATCAAAAAATTCATATGCTCCAATAATATATGCAGCTATTATGTGTCAATAACATTTTTTAATGTTAGAAAATATTAAATTATGACTGAAAGGGATTTATTCTAGGAAATCAAGGATGGCTAAGTATTGGGATATCTATTAATATTACTTATTATTAGGGAGATAATCATATCTGTAGATGCCGAAAAGGCATTTGACAAATTTAACATTTATAGAATAGCAATACATAGATACTTCAACATGATAAAATATTCTTGTTTTAGCTAAAAGCAAGCATCATGCTTTATGGAGAAATTTTAGAAACATTTCCACTAAAGTGAGAAAAAGACAAAGATATGCCCCATTATTTTTTAAATTTTTCAATTAAAGTATAAATTACATAAAGTTTGTTATTATTATTATTATTTAACATTCTGTTAGGGAACTAACCGATGTTATTAGGCAATAAATGAAAATATTTACAGATGGTATATTTGTATACCCAGAAAACCCAAAAGAACAAACTAAAAAACTACTACAAACAAAAAGAGAATTTGATAAGATAGTGAGAGGTACAAAATAAGCAAAAAACAAACGCTTTTATGTGTGCAAGCAACAACCAGTTAGAAGATAAAAAGGAAGAACTACTTTGGGCCATGATGGAGCCACAGGGACTGGATTTGCCCTGCCAGTGGTTTTCAGATGTTGAATGTAGGCAGTGTAGGACAGATTCTTCGGAAAAAACTAATGACATACGCCCTGTGATTGCTGCAGCTTACTGTCTGGAGAGATTCAAGACTGCTGTGCAGAGAGGGAGCACCCAAATAGAGCCTGGCAGTCTTCCTGAGTCACGGAGACAGAGTTCAGAATTTGAGAAGGCCAAGGTAGTTAGACTTCACAGGGCTGATCGGGCGCGGTGGCTCACCCTGTAACCCCAGCACTTTGGGAGGCTGAGGTGGGTGTATCACCTGAGATCAGGAGTTCGAGACCAGCCTGGCCAACAGGGGGAAACCCTGTCTCTACTAAAAATAAAAAAATTAGCGAGTTGTGGTGGTTGGTGCCTGTAATCTCACTACTTGGGAGGCTGACGCAGGAGAATCACTTGAACCCAGGAGGCAGAAGTTGCGCTGAGCTCTGTTCTCCAGCCTGGGCAACAGAGCAAGACTCCGTCTAAAAAATAAATAAATCAATCAATCACAGGGCTGAGAGGAGAGAGCTAAAGAGAGGGAGGGAGGGAGAGCTCCAGAGATTCGTGTTTTCATCTGAGAACTGATAAGCATGTGTGTATGTGCGGAAAGTACCTGAGGCTGAGGACAGAAAGACACAGGCAAAAAAATTCCAGCTCACACAGAGCTGGAAACAGTTTTCCCATCTTCTAGAATGGAAAAATCTTTGATACATTGGACATCAAATAGAGTGCACAGAAGGTGATTGCCTCTGGAATGGGGCCCAGATAGTCCTAAATGTAAGGCTGTTTTGGTCCACCCTAAGAAACTTAAAACAGACCTTGGAAGAACCGAACCATTTCCAAGTAATTTAACTGTCATCTCAGAGCAAAGCTAAAAAATGTTTAAAGCATACCAAAAAGTCCAGTGCCCAAGAGTATAACATTCACAACGTCTGCATCCAGTCAAAGATCACCAGGCATACAGAGAATCGGGTCAAGTATGACAATACAATGGGTAAGAAAAAGTAATCATAGAAACATATCTAGAAATGATGCAGGTGATGGTAGATAAGGACATTTCTGTGTATCTGTTGTCTACTGTTACATTTAAAATTTCCCCAACACTTAGTGACTTACAACATTTGCTATTTCACACAGTTTTGAAGGGTCAGGAATCTAGAAGCAGTTTAGCTGGGTGGTTCTGACTCATAGTCTCCTGGCGGTACCATCAAGCTGTCAGCGGGGGTAGCAGGCATCTGAAGATTGGAATGGGGCTGGAGGATTCCAAACTCTCTCACGTGGCTGTTGGCAAAGAAGCCTCAGTACCTCACTACATGGGCCTCTCCAAATGACTGCTCAAGACATGGCAGCTACCTTCCCCAGAGGAAATGATCTAACGGGGAAAGAGAGAGAGTGACCAAGATGGAAGTGCATTGTTTTTTATAAGCTAATCTTAGAAATGGCGTGCCACATGCTACCAGTCACACAGACCAACCCTGGTAGAATACAGGAGGGAATTAACTATGGATCTGAATGTCAGGATGTGGAGATCACGGAGGACCACTTTGGAGATTGGCCACCACACTTCACATGTTCAGGAAGGTAAAGGAAAGCATGAGCATTTTAAGAAGAGTAAGAGAAGATATTAAAAAGACCCAAATTGAATTTTTAGAGATGAAAAATGCAGTGACTAAAATGAAAAATATGCTGGATGAGATTCACATGTATTCTGAAGCTCTGTTATTAAGTATGTAGATGTTTAGGATTGTTATGTCTTCTAGATGAACTGACCCCTTTATCATTATAAAATGACCCTCTTTATCTCTGGCAGAATTCCTTGCTCTGAAATCTGCTTTGTCTGCTATTATTGTGGCGATTCCAGATTTCTTTTGATTAGTGTTATCATAATATATCCTTTTCCATCATTTTAAACAAAAACTACTGCTGAAAAGATATTCGATATAATTCATGCAGAATAAATCTAATCACTCCTCACCTTGAATATATCTTTTTTTGTTTAATTCAGACCTGCCAGCTTTTTATAAATGCTGCAGTTGACTCTCCTGCAATTGATTACCACATATCTTTAGCCCAGAGTGCTTTGCAAATCTGCCTGACACATCCTGAGCTGCAGAATGAAATTTGCTGTCAGCTTATTAAACAGACAAGACGAAGACAGCCACAGAATCAACCAGGACCATTGCAGGTAGATATTAATATTGATACATATACATGCAATTTAAAGTGTTTTTTTTTCTGATTGTAAGAATGATACACATTCAGCATAGACATTTGGAGAATACAAAAAGTGCAGAAGGAAAAATAGGTATTAATATTTTGATGTCTACCTTTTTGGTTTATTTATATGTTTATATATAAATGTGTGTATGTTGGTGTGTGTACACTCACAGTTTTTTATATTGCTGGAGTTACAGTGTGCATACTACTTTTTTAAACTATAGAAAATAATCGTTTCCCCTATATCCTTAGACATTCTTCAAAACATTAATGGTCATGTTAACATTAAGTACGATACATTTCTATATTTTTTCCTATAATAAATACCTCTGCAGTAGACATCTTTGAACCTAAATGAGATGGAGTTTCGCTCTTGTTGCCCAGGCTGGAGTGCAATGGCACAATGTCGGCTCACTGGAACCTCCGCCTCCCGGGTTCAAGCAATTCTCCTGCCTCAGCCTCCCAAGTAGCTGAGATTACAGGCATGTGCCAACACTCCCGGCTAATTTTGCATTTTTAGCAGAGATGGGGTTTCACCATGTTGGTCAGGCTGGCCTCGAACTCCTGATCTCAGGTGATCCGCCCGCTCTGGCCTCCCAAAGTACTGGGATTACAGGTGTGAGCCACCGCGCCCACCAGGAACCTAAATCTTGTGGACAGGTCCAGCGAATTCCTTTGAATTCATTTTTAGAATTTTCCTATATCTTCAACAACATTCAGTATATTTTAAATTCTTACCAGGCAAAAAAAAATATTTCACTATTGACTCAGGATGCGTTTCTTTATTAGTGCAGTTGAATATATTTTTCAGGTGTTTGGTAGTCATCTGTGTTTACTCTTCAATGAACACCTGTTTTTATCTTTGTGTATTGACTGCCTGTTAGCCACAGGATAAATCAGAAATTTCTTACCTTAGCATATAGGACTGTCGGGGTTGGATCTAGGTTTTGTGAGACCGAAGCTTATACAGTTTGGGAAATGCTCTTTAAGACAAAGACTTGAAAATGGATTACTTTTGCACATTTTAGAAATCATATGACCATGTAAACACAGTTAATAAGCCTTTCCCAGGACCTGTGCCCAAGAGGGAATCTGAAGCTTAAGCTTCATCTGCATCAAGAACACTTTGTCATCTGGCTCCACTGGCCCGCTCTTTCTCCACTTCCTGCCTCCAGCAGACAGTGAATGAATAAATTCGCCCCATCCTTCAAACACACTCCACCTTTGCAATATTCTCCACCATGCACCTGATGGTATTCCTGTTACCTGGATCCCTCCTCTTCCTTCCCTTCCGTAGACTTTATAGTCCAGCCTAAGCAACATATTCCCTGTGATGCCTTCCTTGACTCCACAAGAAGTTAGTCATTCCTTCCATTGGTTATGCTTTAAAAAGTTAATACGTGGTATTACCATGTTGTATTATAATTTACTGTTTAAATATATAACTGTCTCCTACTAGACTGTAGGTTCCTTAAGGGCAGGGACAATGCCTATTTCTCCCTCTTTTTTAATATAACGTTTTAAAAATGGCTGAAAATTATACATAGGAAACAAGGGCAAATAAGATCTCTATCCAACTTTTTTAATATAACGTTTTAAAAATGACTGAAAAATTATATATAACAAACAAGGGCAAATGAGATCTCTATCCTACTTTTACATTTATTTACTCTAATGAGTTTGTCTAATGCTTAACATTTTTTAACAAATGCAGTGTTTTATAGGATAAAGAAATTAAAAAAATTTTTTTGTTGTTTGAAGACTTTTTGTACCTTGTTTAGTGGTTGAGCATTAACCACCATGTTCTTCAGAAGAGAATTCTGCTGTAACATGTTTTATACTTCCTTGAAAAAATATAGAAAGGAGAATACAGAACAGAGCGAAGGAAAAATAAAAATCACATATATTGCTGCTACCTAAAGATAACCTCTGTTAATATTTTTATACTTGTCCCTTATTTAGGTATGTAGATACATACGTGTGTGTAGGTAGATTGGTTTTGATTTAGGGCATGTGTTTTCTACTGTTCTGCAATCTGCGTTTCTCAAAACTATTACTTGTATTTCAAGGAATGAGTAAATACGTAAGTGAAAAAAAAGAAACAATGTTCCTAATCTTTGAGTGTAACGTCAAAAAGGAGCACCTTGTCTGCTTGTGCCTTGGTTCCTCAGTTGTAGATAACCATACACACAACTAGATGGATCATAGATCTGACCCAATGTAGAGTTTTTTGTTTTTAACCTATGATAAATGCTGTAAACAGATCATGCATATGTGAAAGAAGCAAAACGTTTTTGGGTTAAGAGAGACTGTCATCAGCCCATTGCACTCACTCAGATGTGGATCTCTGACTGGCACGTGGTATCTAACCTGTGGTGCTTCTCCCTGCCCAGGGCTGGCAGCTCTTGGCACTCTGCGTTGGGCTCTTCCTTCCCCATCATCCTTTCCTGTGGCTCCTCAGGCTTCACCTAAAGAGGAATGCAGATTCCAGGTGTGCAGAATACTAGCCAGCTGAACTGTTTATGTGGCCTCTGAAAGTCTACGATAAATCATAAGTATTTAACGATCTGCCAGGTACATTTTCAGAAGAATGTATGAAACAAATATTGGTACAGGAAGCCTTTGGTTATCATTGATGTGGAGCTAGGAAAATATTTCCTTTGTTATGTTAAATCTCTTAGGGAAGATTGCAATAAATACTTGAAAAACTGACAGAGAATATTTTTAAGTGAAAAGTGCATTTGCATTTCAAGTATGAATGACTTAGCATTAGTGGGTGTTCATTCAATAAAAGCAACTATTTTGTTTCCTTAGTTTTCCCTTTTACTATTTCTCTGCACATTGAATTCTTTTATGTGAAAAATTTCCCCCATGGTCTTCCCTCCTTTTCTAATTGTATGTATTTGAATTACTTCAGAATTGTTACTCCTTTGAAAAACACATTTAAAGTTCAACTTCCAGAATGGCTTTCTTACATTGGGACCCAGGTCACTCAGCCAAGGCTTATCCAGGGTCATTTTGTCCACCAAGAGGTTTGTGTCAGGTTGCTTAAACTCTTGGACTAAAGCAAACACAGTAAAAGAAACAAACAAATAAACAAACCCAACTTGGAAGCAATAGGAAAATATTCTACAGTTCATAATACATTGTGGGGCCTCTGTGATCAAGGTCATCTGTGACCAAGGTCAGGTAATTTCAGTTGCAGTCACTGAGGAGCCCCGAGACCAAGGATCTGCCTACAGGGCACTTGAATACAAACATATTTGACAGGTGTTATCAATCTGCTTGAATAAGCAGTAAAATTTATGTATAACAAACAAGGACAAATAAGATTTCTATCCAACTTTTACATTTATTTATTCTAATGAGTTTTTCTAATGCTTAACAGTTTTTCACAAATGCAGTGTTTTTTATAGAATAAAGAAAGAAAACATATTTTTATTTTTGTTTGAAGATTTTTTTTTTTGAGGCAGGGTCTCACTCTGTCACCTAGGTTGGAGTGCAGTGGCATGTTCTTGGCTCACTGCAACCTCCACCTCCAAGGTCCAAGTGATTCTCCTGCCTCAACCTCCCAAGTAGCTGGGACTACAAGCGTGCGCCACCACCCCCGGCTAATTTTTTGTATTTTCAATAGAGACAGGTTTTCACCATGTTGACCAGGTTGGTCTTGAACTCTCGACCTCAGGTGATCTGCCCACTTCAGCCTCCCAAAGTGCTGGGATTACAGGCATGAGCCACCATGCCTGGCCTGAAGACATTTTTTTTTTTTTACCTTGTTTAGTGGTCAAGCGTTAACCACCATGTTCTTCAGAAGAGAATTCTGCTGTAACATGTTTTTATAAGTTACTCTGTACTATTCTTCATGCAATTGCTTTCTTTATATTTGTTAATATTAAATCACTGTATATTGACTTGTGACTGGTAATTTTAAATTCAGCTTGTGACTATAATAATACAGTAAAGATGAAGAATGCTTTGTGGGGAGGTTTGAGTGAGGCAGTTACAAAAATAAAGAAGTTGGAATTTGAGGAAAGTTACAGCAGTTTAGTATTATCATTCAAAAAAAGTTACTGTCAAAATTAGCCTAATACATTGTGATAATGTACACGGATGCTTTCTTAATGGTTGCACATATTAGGTTGTCAATTAAATTTATTCTTAGATTTTATCTTAAGTTTTGTATTACAGGACAGAATTTGGAAAATATGCCATTTACTGCCAGCGTTGTGTAGAAAGAACGCAACAAAATGGTGACAGAGAAGCAAGACCCTCAAGGATGGAAATTCTTTCAACTCTTCTCCGAAACCCTTATCACCATTCTTTGCCCTTTAGTATACCTGTGCACTTCATGAATGGGATATACCAGGTAGGTTACCTGATGAAAATATGCTTAGCCAACAATCCTATGTACAACCTCTGTTATAGGGAACAGAGACTTCTCTGCTTACTTTTGTCAGCACCTGGCAGTGACAAACATGCAAATATATTAGATTTACTATCAGAACAGCTGAGTTTTGAAACAGTTTTGCTATAAAGGATTCACACTAATAACAAATCCATACTGAACCAAATAAGGGATGGGCTTCACTGCCATTATGATTCTGATGGACAGAAAAATAAAAAACACTTCGGTTGGGGCTTTTTCCCATCAGTACACCTCCTAGGTGTGGAAATAATTACTGATACTGGGTGTGTACAATTTTAGTCTCTTTTAAAATCTCCAAATCTCAGAAATTATCTGGGAAAACTTCACTGGGCCCTTCCAGTTCTCAGATCTAGATGCCTGCTTATTAATTGAAGCAAACATGTTCCCAAACTAGCAATTAGTCTTTGTAGCCATATGCCTTTTATCACAGAATTCAGATACTTAACTGCCTATTAAAGAAACAAACATTAAATACATAAAGGTGTTCATTTATTTAAACATATTTCTTGTTTATTTTCCATTTGATTAAAGATTGCATATTGTACTATAGTTCTTGGTTTGCTTCTAATGGGTAAGCATAATATCTTTGCAAAATATTTATAGCTGTCAACTGATCATTCTATTTTGGATTCATGTCTGTTGGCTGAAGCTGAGATTTTTGAGTTCTTCAGCAAGCTAATTTATGAGGTAACTTTGTTAATTTTCTCCAGAGGAGCTTTGGGAAAAAAAGTTGAAGCACCTAGAAAAATATGTTATCATTAATCATGCATCAAGTATGCTCTGTTTCATCCTTAAAATCTCAGTTTGAAACTATATATTTCTTATTAAGAGAACTGCTTTGTTATTTCTGTCTAGGTAGTTGGTTTTGACGCATCTACCACAGTGGAAGAATTTTTGAATACTTTGAACCAGGACACAGGAATGAGGAAACCAGCGCAGTCTGGATTTGCGTTGTTCACTGACGATCCTTCTGGCAGAGATTTAGAGCATTGTCTTCAAGGAAACATCAAGGTGAAACCAAGTCCTTTTCAGGAGCCAAGCCCAACGAACAGCAAAGAAGCTACTCTTTACAAGAAGAGTAAACTTTGCAAGAAGTTTAATTCAGGAGTTTTCCAAAACTTTAACCAATCTAATCTCCACGATAAGAAAAAAAAAATGCAGGACTTTGTTAAACCCATAGAATTCTTAATACACAATCTCTACATATACACATTCCATATTAAAGAGAGGAAAGGTGTTAGTAATGGAAATGATACTCTAAGTATTAGGATAATAAGGGTAGATATGTAGAAGTGCTAATAAAATGGCTTTCCATTTTTTTCCATTTATTCAGCAATACTTACTAAGCTATTTTATTGTATCCCAGGGGCTGGCTGGACTCTGTGGGGAATACAAAAGGACCAGAAATAGTCCCTGCCCACAGTGAACTTAAAATTTGCTTACGGAAGAGCAGCTTTATACACAGATAACCTTGAACTAGGGTTGAAAGTGATGAAAGTTTTGAGAGTGCTGTGAACTTTGCACAGAAAGAGAGAGTTTAAGTTCAGCATTGGGAGTTAGGGAAGGCCTGAGCTGGAAATGAAAAATGGTTTAGGAAACAGACCTGTGTCCGGGTGCAGTGGCTTACGCCTGTAATCCAAGCACTTTGGGAGGCCGGGTCAGGTGGATCATTTGAGGCCAGGAGTTTGAGACCAGCCTGGGCAGCATGGCAAAAACCCATCTCTACTAAAAATACAAAAATTAGCCAGGCATGGTGCCACACACCTGTAGTCCCAGCTACTCTGGAAGCTGAGGCACTAGAATCTCTTGAGCCCATGAGGTCGAGGCTGCAGTGAGCCGTGATCACGCCACTGCACTCCAGCCTGGGTGACAGAGCAAGACTGTCTCACAAAAAAAAAAAAAAAAAAAAGAAAAAGAAAAGAAAGGAAGAAAGAAAGAAAACAGACCTGTGGAAATGAAAAGGGAGGGATTTTAAAAGAATCTTTTCCAGATCATAGTAAAATAACTTTAATAGAGCTTCCATTTAGTAATGGCAATAATATATATAGAACTAGGCCGGGTGTGGTGGCTCACGCCTGTAATCCCAGCACTTTGGGAGGCCAAGGCAGGCAGATCATTTGAGGTCAGGAGTTCAAGACCAGCCTGATCAATGTGGTGAAACGCCATTTCTACTAAAAATACAAAAAAATTAGCCAGGCATGGCGGCGGGTGCCTGTAGTCTCAGCTACTCGGGAGACTGAGGCAGGAGAATCACTTGAACCCAGGAGGCGGAGGTTGTAGTGAGCTGAGATCGTGCCACTGTACTTCAGCCTGGGTGACAGAGTGAGACCCCATCTCAATTTGAAAAATAAAAAAATAAATAGAATTACAGAACCACAAGGGACCTTAGAGAAATAATGCACTTATTTTGCAAATGAGAAAGCTGAGGCCTAGAGAGGGAAATGAGTTACCCAAAATCAAATAGCTAGACCTGGGTCTAGACTCTTTCCATAAATTATATGTCAAATTTCTTTGGTATAACTTTAGTTATTAAAATCTTTTTGAACTCGGAAGGTGAAAAACTTGCTTCTTCAGTGACCAAATCATGGAAAAATCCCTGGAATCTTCTTGTTTCCAGTTTCAGGCAGTCCTACATTACAGTTCCTTTTTGAGTAAAAAATGCGTGGCCACAGTCCAAAGTTAATGTGTGTCCAAAAGGATAAGTGGACCAAATAGCAATTTATAATTACATACTAAACTCAGAGCCGCACAGAGGCTGAAAACAAAAAGCTTGAGTATATTTGGTTTGATCATATTAATTGAAAAATTTCAGTCTGCAGCACACTTGTCTTCAAAAAATGTTGATTTGAAAAGTACTGTAAATCTCAGTTTTCCACTTCCTTTCTAGATTTGTGACATTATTTCCAAATGGGAACAGGCTTCCAAAGAACAGCAGCCTGGAAAATGTGAAGGTACAAGGACTGTTCGTCTGACATACAAAAACAGGTGTGTAATACTGCATCCAGATGCCAAAGTATGAGTATACAATATGTTCTAATAATGCACCTACTATTTACCTTTCTATTGAATGCCTTAAAAGTTATTTATTTGTAAGTTTGTCTTTCTATAAATGATAACTCTGTTTCTATAGGAAAAAAACCTTGTCACATAAAATTTTGTTTCTAATTCTAGTCTCTTAATGTCATAAAGAATTATATTTTATGAAAATATGCTTTTAGACAAACATCAGAAACACTAGGTCTCAGCTGAGCACGGTGGCTCACGCCTATAATCCCAGCACTTTGGGAGGCCAAGGTGGGCAGATCACCTGAGGTCAGGAGTTCAAGACCAACACTTTGGGAGCCAACATGGCAAAACCCCGCCTCTACTAAAAATACAAAAAATTAGCCAGGCATGGTGGCATGTGCCTGTAATCTCAGCTACTCAGACAGCTGAGGTGGGAGAATCACCTGAGCCCAGGAGGTTGAGACTGCAGTGAGCCGTGATTGTGCCACTGCACTCTACACTCCAGCCTGGGCAACAGAGTGAAACCCTGTCTCAAAACAAACAAAAAATACACACACACACACACACGCACACAATCAGAAAAACTACAGAAAAAAATAGTTGCTCTCTTAGAGTAGTTGATACAAGGATGCATTTTTCACTTTCATAATTTCCTTTAACAGTATTATTACATTTTTCATAAAGACTGAATACTTCAATACCCTACTACAGATCTGTAGTAAGAAGAGATACCTATGTTTCTTTGGGAGGCCGAGGCAGGTGGATCACGAGGTCAGGAGATCGAGACCATCCTGGCCAATATGGTGAAACCCCATCTCTACTAAAAATACAAAAAATTAGCCAGGCGTGGTGGCGGGCACCTGTAGTCCCAGCTACTTGGGAGGCTGAGGCAGGCGAATGGCATGAACCCGGGAGGCGGAGCTTGCAGTGAGCCAAGATCGCACCACTGCACTCCAGCCTGGACGACAAAGCGAGACTCTGTCTCAAAAAAAAAAAAGAGGAGATACCTATGTCCTATGTTTGCCTCAGTCTTTTGGAAGTCATATATTCTTTATACTCATATTTATTCCTTCTCAGTCTTTCATTCTCATTTTTCTCTTTCTTTCTGTCTCTCTCTCTCTCTCCCTCTCTCTCTCTCTCTCTCTCTCTCGGTGTTCACCGAGCTTCAACTGTAAGGCCTATCACTTAGCTGGATGCTATAAATAAAATTGTAATAAATACAGACAGACCCAGTTCCTGATCTTTTGGAATCTACGGGTTAGTGAGGAAGACTATTGTTGGGCATATCCTCACTCTAATGAGTGTGTAATGACACAGTATGTTCTCTGAAGAGAGAGAGAGGTACTGTGAGGGCACACAACAGTGAGCCTGACCTAGACGGGAGACCTCGGGAGGCTTCTTTGAGGAAATGATGTTTATACCAAGTTCAGAGGGAGATGGAAGTGGGAACATCAAAATGCATAGAAAAGAATGTTCAAAGGCCTGTAGATGGAGGCTGCTTAGCTTGTGTCAAGAATTGAGAAAATGCCGGAGACTCCGGAGCACACACCTTCTCTACAGATAAAATGGTAATGTACTTTGGCATGTAGTCAGGAACCAGATTTCCTTTCTTTCTTTTTAAATATTTTCATTTCTTTCATGTATTAGCAAAAGGTAGTACTTAATAAACACTGTTAACTGACCAGCTCACATTAATTATAACAAAATAATGGTATTTTGCTGGTTTTATTTGAGTCTTATACCCTGTAAATTAAGGAATCTATAAAATGTCAGACCCAGAGCCTGGTGGAATTATTGGAGTGGTACTCAGAGGTCTCTTTTTGGAAGATGTTCAGACTTAAAATTGGAATGTAAGAATTGAAGGCACTGTACAACATAAAGAATGTAATTTTGATCCACTTTAAAATTTCTTGTTCTAATAGTCTATCCCACAGAAATATGCAGATAAGTGGGCAGAGTATTCCAGTATGTCACAGTATCTTCCTTGTCATGTTTTTGTCATATTCTTTGTCAATGTTTTTGTTAAAAACTTGGGACAGACACTCACATGTTTATTACTAGGGAGAACAGTTAAATAAATATGGCACATTCATATTTTGGGCTCTTCTCTCATCCAGTTGGCCACTTAAAGGGCCACCCAGTATTTGAACAGACTCTGTTGATCTGAATAAATGGTGGTTGTGAACACTGGAGCTTCTTTATTCAGGGGCTCATGAGCTGTGATGATTTGCCAGAGGTTCAAGTAATAAGAAAGTGACTATTAATCTTTGGTGTCTAAGATTTTAAAATCATGCATTCCTAGAGATAAGCAATATTGCATAGATATTGGAAATCTAATAGGCTTCATCCCTGGAGGGACCTGTTTCCCTTGAGGGCAAACTTTATCAAGGTATCAGTGGCCCTTTGGTGACTGGGAAGGACAGCAGGCTAGAATATTTGGACCTTCTAGATTATTATTGTAGTTCTGTTTAATCTGGAGCAGTAGTTCCCAACGTGGGCCCAACACTAGCAGCCTCAGGACCACGTGGAACATGTTAGAAATGCAAATCATTAGGCCCCACTTCAGACCCACTGAGTCAGAATTTCCGGGGGTGGAGCCCAGGAGTCCCTGTTTTGACAGCTCTCCAGATAATTCTTACACGTGCTGGGTTTTGAGAAGCACTGACCTAACGGTCCTCATTGCTGCCCCTGCCTCTTGGCCTCAGCCTTTGTGGAAGGAGCCAGCTCCTGGACCTGGCCTGCCAAAGACATTTATGGAGAAGAGGTTCAGGCATTCTTTTTTTTTTTTTGAGACAGAACTTCACCCTTGCTGCCCAGGCTGGAGTGCAATGGCACGATCTCAGCTTACTGCAACCTTTGCCTCCCAGGTTCAAGCGATTTTCCTGCTTCAGCCTCCCAGATAGCTGGGATTACAGGCGCCTGCCACCATGCCCAGCTAATTTTTGTATTTTTAGTAGAGACTGGTTTTCACCATGTTGGCCAGGCTGGTATCAAACTCCTGACCTCAGGTGATCTGCCCGCCTCGGCCTCCCAAAGTGCTGGGATTACAGGCATGAGCCACTGCGCCCAGCCAAGACTATTCCTAATAATCTAAACCTTATGAATGCTTAATACATACCAACTCTGAGTATGATGGCTATGATTGGAACTGAAGTGAAATTTGGATAAAATTTGGATATGAAAGACAGGTAAAAATAATGCTTCAAGTCTAACAAACATCACAAGGAAGGACAAAGAGAGTCGTGAATAAAAATTTTTTGGTTGACAGTTGGTTGAGTTTATCCAAAGACCTGGAATCAATAGAAAGGAATGTCTGGGTTGCCATAAGAGGTTGTGGAGTCTTCACTTCAAGTTGTTCTGCCTTCCTAGACCAAACCAATAGATTTCTTAAGTTATTTGATTGAAGTCTCAGCCTCCGTAAAATGCGTAAAACCAAGCAGCTCCCCGACCACCTTGGGTACATGTTCTCAGGACCTCCTGAGGGCTGTGTCACAGGCCATGGTCACACATATTTGGCTCAGAATAAATCTCTTCAAAAATTTTTTTTTAAAAGAGAGAATTGTGAATAACAGATGATGATTACCTTGTTTAAAAGTAAAACCTCATGACAATGTCTTTGACAGCAGGAAAAAAATTAACTCAACTGAAAGGCTTGATTTTTAACAGAACTCTGAAATGGCTGGATAGCCACAGCTATGAGAAAGTAATGTTTCTAAACATGGCCGTGCTTTGCCGGTGTTTATAAGTAGCTTAGACAATGAGCCCTAATTTCTAGTGATACAGTTAGGAGGGAACCTTGCTGTGACCTGTCACACAGCCAAGGACCTGATTCTTCATCTGCCAAGCAGCAGGGTAACAAACAAAGCTAAAATATCAATTCTCTTTATCATGGAATTTTAAATGGATACTTAACAAGTGATGGAATTTTAATTATTTAGATTCAGGTATGAAAGATCTAATTAACAGGTTTTGAACTTGTTCTCATAGACAACCGTTGGCAACTAACATTTAAATTCTATTCATAGTTAAGCTTCTTATTTAATTTGATTTCTCACTGTGTTTTTGAAGTTGTAAGAGCCAAGGCATGTTTTTAACAAAAGAAAACTGGCCATAGCCAGAAGTTTAAGCCAAGAAATGGAGTTTATCCCATTTCTCCTAGCTATGTTCACACCAAAAAAAATTCCAGGATCAAGAGACTCTCATGTGGACCAGGCACCGTGGCTCACGCCTGTAATCCCAGCACTTTGGGATCCTAGGCAGGCGGATCACCTGAGGTGAGGAGTTCAAGACCAGCCTGGCCAACATGGTGAAACCCCGTCTCTACTAAAAATACAAAAATTAGCTGGGCATGGTGGCATGCGCCTGTAGTCCCGGCTACATGGGAGGCTGGGGCAGGAGAATCGCATGAACCCAGGAGGCAGAGGTTGCAGTGAGCCAAATCGTGCCACTGCATGCCACTGCACTCCAGTCTGGGTGACAGAGCGAGACTCTGTCTCAAAAAAAAAAAAAGAGAGAGAGAGACTCTCATGATTCCAGAGACCTCTGGGGAATACTACTACTGGTACTCCTACTACTACTAACCCTCATTTGTTGAACATTTACCTAACATCAGGCCTTATTCTTAACTCTTTGTATGCATTCTTACATAATCCTTACAACCCTTTGAGGTACTATTATTATTTCCATCTCACAGATGAGGTAACTGAAGCTTTAGAGAGTTAAGTCACTTGCCTAAGACTATGAAAGGGAATTCTTCAGGATTTTTGGCAAATAATTCCTGTACTTAGCAATTCTCACGTACCATTTATTTGTCCATTCATGCCATCTACCAGTGCCAAGACTTGTTTGAAGCCTTGGGAATTCCAAGGTGAATAGAGTTTCCTTGCCCTTTAGAATCTTCCAGTTTATAGGGAGAGGCAGACATGAAGTCTTAGCAATGCAATCAGTGCTGTAACAGGAAGAATGTAGCACAGGAGTGAAGAACATGGGCTGGAGACAGGCTGCCTGGGTTAGAATCCTGGCTCTACCACTTACTATGTGGCCCTGAGCAAGTCACTTAACATCTCTGTGCCTCAGGTACCCTGTATGTGAAACGGAGGTCAAAATGACTCCCACCTCTAGGGTTGTCTGAAGGATTAAATGTTGGCAATTGTAAAGCACTTGGTTCAGAGCCTGCCACATAGTAAATGCTTTGTAGATATTTGTCGTTACCATGAGTATGACGCATACGTACAAGAGGTTGTAGGGACATAGAGGAAGACTTTGCAGAGTGGTGACTTCTGAGCAGATGACTGGAAGTTGGACGCCACTGAGGCAGGAAGAGAACAATTGCAGTTTTAGTAGAGTATAACCAGTAGACCATGGTGGACTGAGGAGTGAAGGAAGGGTGAACAGAGAGAGATTGCAGGCTTTCCCCCCAGTAAGTTTACAAGAGGATGGGAAGGGCAACAGTAGGAAATAAATGCTCTGAAGAATGAATATGGATCCAGTTGAGGGCAAGCAAAAGGATCGCCCAGTGGTGCTGAGAGCCCTGCTGAATTTGGAAGCAGTATATTTGCGTAGTGGTACTGGTCCACAGTGACGCAATTTCCATCCCACAGTATTCAGCTTCCTGGGTGTCCAATGAGGAGGTGGAGATTTGGGAATACCCCCGCGAGCTAATCTAAGCCTTGCCTGCTGTCATGGAAGCCCATTCTGTCTGCTGCAGGCCTCTTTAGGATTTGGAAGCAGCTGAAAGCTGGCCATATTGTGAGAGGCTTAGATCACATTCCTCTAGTGCCTTTCCTATTCAAGCTCCATGGATTTGATTTTTATGACTTCTTGGTCATTTTTGTTCCTCTTCAAATTCTCCCCAAATCCCTGGATAGCTATTGGAGCCAAAACTGTTTCATTAGGGATTTGAGCCCATGGTTCATGTCCAGTATTGTTTCTCTCTCTCTCTCTTTTTTTTTTTTTTTGCTAGTGATACTTCCTTTTCCCCTGTCAGGCTCAATTGTGTTGCCTGCTGGGAATAAGAGAAAATGCACTTAAGCTCTTCTTGCCTGTAACCATTTGGTTCTTTTTCTCCCCTTAGCCATATTACCAAACCTTCCAGTGGTAACACTTAGCTAAACTCTAATGGATTACAGTGATGAGTATGATATACTTCCTAACTTCAAGTAGGGAGAATAAGCTATGCATACAAATGTAAGCATGCCAAAAAGAAAGGCTTTCATCTTAAATTTTCTTCTCTTTGTTTCATACGGCTTTGCTGATATCATTTTGGATTTGTCATCTGTTTCTGTTGCCCAGCCATATTCTACTACCAGTTTAACAATATAATCCTGCATTATTTGTCTTTGTGTAGTCATCATAGATTAAAATGGAGCTTAGGATTTTTCTGATTTGTAAACTGGGTAAAGAGGAAAGAATGAATAGAATCATGGGGTAGGAGGAGCTTTTCAAAGTATACCCACCCATGCTTGCCCAGAGATTCAGACCTGCTGCCCTCCCCTTCCCTGCTATTTGAGAGAATTACTGGGAGAGATACTGTAAATGATAGGGGTGTGTCCTCTCCCACAAGTGTGTAGGGGGAAGAAAAGGCTGAAAATGCAAAGTTATAGCCAAACTGAGCACACACCTAACAGTTACTGTATCTAAATCTCTCTTTTCCAGCCACTGTGTTGTCATGGCAGTATTCAGGTGTGTCAAGATGTTGCTCACCCACCCCATTGTCACAGCATTTAGAGCCGTTACAGCACCTGTGCCTGATCTGCAGCCTGAAGTCAGAGCCCCACAAATCTCACATATGAATAAATGACACAGTGAATAAATAAAGAGAGTCACTGATTTGATGAAGACCCCCCTAGGCAGACAAAAGCCATGTTGTGTTTCAGTGAGTAATAGTGATAACATGTAAACTATTTTTGAGCCCCTAAAGCTGCTTATCAGATTGTGGCCAAAAAGTCAAAACACACTTAAATCTATAAATATTATCTTTCAGATTCCCAGAGAAAACTCACCTTCTCCCCCTCCCCTTATTTGATGTTGATTTGGGGGTAGTTTTGAGTTGAAACCTTCACTTCCTTTTCTGTGCTGTGTCCAAGGTATTCAGGAAGGATCATGAGGGTTTTGAAGACTGGGTTTATACAGCCCATTGAAATAAAGGCCTGTATCATACATTCCTTGCAAGAGAGGGCATATTTAATTTCGCTTGATGTCTTAGGTCCTTCCTCAGGAACATTTAAGGATTTGGTGTTTCAAGGCCTAGAAAATTGCTTCATCCCTTTACTTCTACTTATATATTTTTATTTATATTTAAAGTGGATTTCTTATAAGCGCCATATAGTTGGGTTTTATATTTTATCAACTATGACAATCTCTGTCTTTTCATTGGTGTATTTAGACAATTGACATTTAATGTGATTCAGCGCCACCTCCAGCACTTCTCAACCTCAACCTCAAAGCAGTTTTTTCTTATTTTGCGGAAAGTACTAAATAGAACAGAAACAGAAGTCATTGACAGTAGTAGTCTAAGTTCATACCACTTAGAGTACTGTGTTAAAACAACCCCATCTCAGTCCTCTGGATTTATCTTTACTTTATTTCCTTGTAAGAATATAATTTAATGAGAAATTTACTCTTTTTTTTTACAGACTATATTTCTCAGTGCAAGCTCGTGGAGAGACTGATAGAGAAAAGTTGCTGTTAATGTATCAGACAAATGATCAAATCATAAATGGACTTTTTCCTCTGAACAAAGATCTGGCATTAGAAATGGCAGCTCTTTTATCTCAGGTAACTTCCATGTTATATGGAGTAATATATTGAAATAATATGATACTAATTTCTACACTGAATTAAACGTAAAATAATATACTTCAATAATTCTTTACATTCGTTTTGCTACAATTAGCACCTTAAAAATTACAGGCACTATAATTATAGTTTGCCTCTAAACTGCTGACAATTGCAATGATGTAGAATGAGACAGTATTCCATAAAGAGAACCCAGTTTCTTAATTATTTTGAAAATATATCTCTAGGCTTTGTATTTAATAAAGGAATTGGAGTGTAGAGCTGTGGGCTTGAAGATGTCATGCTGAAATCGCTTGGTAGTCTAATAGGAGTAAGTCCTTGAAAAGGCTAGAGCACTTTCTTTTATTTGCCTATTGTATCAGCTAGGATTAAGTTCAATCTTCTACACACACACACACACACACACACACACACACACACACACAAAATTAATACTGACTTAATCAGAATAGAAGTATATTTAGCGCTCACATAGAGAGCGAGGCATCCTGGCACCTCTGTGAAGCCATTAGGGTCATGGGCTTTATCCTGTTCTCTCTTCTGCCATCCCTAGGGTGTCATCACCATGGTCCTGGGAGTCTGCCAGAGTGCCAGCTAATGTCAGTGTTCCGGGCTTCAGGGTGGGGGAAGGGCTGAAAAGGGCATGCTCTCCCGCACTTGAGAAAACTTCTCAGCAGCTGCATAGAACGCCTCCATTCATGTCTCTCCCATCAGAATTTAGTCACATGGCCTTGCCTACTACCTACCAGGGAGTCCGGGGAATGTGGTCTCAGCGGGGTGGCAGTGTGCCCAGCTAAATTTAAGGTTTTTCTTAAGAAGGAGAGAATGGTCATAAGATGCAACCCATAGTCTCAACCACACCCAAGTCTTTGCCTAGGTTAATTAAGGAAAATGTTAAAGCAACTCTGCCATATGGCATCTGGACCAAGGCTTAGATTCCCCAGGGTCTTTGGCCTATGGCTCTTCACGCTACACTCTGTCCCAGGACATCTCAATCATTCTTTTTATTCTATGCACCACCTATGCCAGTGTTTCCCAGATCTTTTTTCTTCAGTTCGTAGTTTTTTTATGGGCTCCTTAAAATCAACTTTTTTTTTTTTTTTTTTTTTGAGACAGAGTTTCCCTCTTTTGCCCAAGCTGGAGTGAAGTGGCACAATCTTGGCTCACTGTAACCCCCACCTCCCGGGTTCAAGCGATTCTCCTGCCTCAGCCTCCCTAGTAGCTGGAATTATAGGCACTCACCACCATGCTCTGCTAATTTTCGTATTTTTAGTAGAGACGGGGTTTCACCATGTTGGCCAGGCTAGTCTCGAACTCCTGACCTCAAGTGATCCACCTGCCTTGGCCTCCCAAAGTGCTAGGATTACAGGCGTGAGCCACCGCGCCCAGCCAAAATCAGCATATTGAAAACCAAACTAATCATCGTCCCTCCTCTGTGTTCACATTCTGTCTCCTCTTTATGATACTGCCTCCACCCGGTCCCCCAAACAAGCTTCACACCTGGGAATTATCATGACTCTTCCCTCACTTTGGCCCTTTTCCACCAGTCACCACATCCTGCGAATGTGAACTCTTAGGGATGTTTTAGTCTGTTCTCTCCTCTGTATGCTGACTTCTGTTGCTAAGGTTCGGATCATTGTCTCATACTGCCTGCTGTCCTGCAGCAGGCTCCTAAGTAGTGTGCCTTTCTCTGGTCTGGTCCCTCACAAATTTATCCTTCACACAAATGCTAGAGGGATTTTTTCCACTTATCTATTGCTACATAACTAATGACTCCAAAACTCAGCTACTTAAGACAGTAATTTGGGCAGGGATGTGAAGGGACAGTGTGTGTCTCTGCTTCCGGTGGTATCAGCTGACATAGCTTGAGAGCCAGTTGTCACTCTATGGCTGAGGGCTGGAATCATTTGAAGGCTCCTTCAGTCATGTCTGGTGGCTGATTGATGCCGGCTGTTTGTGGGGACTTCTGCTGGGACTGTCAGCTGGAGCACCTTACACGTGGTCTCTTCATGTATATGACTGCTTGTGCTTCCTCCAAGAATGGTGAATGGGTGACAGCAACAATGTCCCAGAAGATAGACAAGAAGTGGAAACTGCTGTTTTCTTAAGGGCTGAGCCTGGAAACTGGCACAATGTCACCTGTGCATGGAGCTTTATTAGGCAGCACTAGTAACTGGGATAGAGATACAGCAAAAATGTGAATCTAGCTCTGTCATTCCTTTTTTACATGCAAGGACTTTCAAGATCTGAACTCTGCCTGCCCCTCCAGCCTCAACATTCCCTTAATACTCCCTACCTTGAACTTCATGCTCCAATAAAGTATAAATTGTGGTTCCGAACACAACTGTATATCCTGGGAAGGACTCTATTCCCGGGATTAATGCTAGTAGAATGAGAGTATGAACACAATAACATGGAGAAAATCTAGGAACAAAGTAATGAGAATATGGTTCTTGCTCCCATTACATTCAGGAGAGACCCTCAAAAAGTCCAACTAATAGTTTTTTGAAATTTCTTATAACTTTTTTTTTTGAGATGGAGTCTTGCTCTGTCACCCAGGCTGGGCAATGGCATGATCTCGGCTGACTGCAACCTCCGCCTCCTGGGTTCAAGCGATTCTTCTGCCTCAGCCTCCCGAGTAGCTGGGATTACAGGTGCCTGCCACCACACCCGTCTGTTGCCTTTTATTTTTAACATCTATTTCATCTTATTATCAGCAATTAAAATAGTGCCTTAAAAATGAAAAATTGTCCTTGCAGACAATAACAAAGTAGTGACCTTTAGCAAGTACTACTAGATGGTGATAGTAAACTAGGAAGGTTAATGTAGAAATGGAACTCAAATGTTTAAATTACAGATTTTTTTCAAAATTAGAATTCAAGCCAGGCGGTGGCTCTGGCTCACGCTTGCAATCCCAACACTTTGGTAGGCCAAGGTAGGCGGATCACTTGAGGTCAGGAGTTCGAGACCAGCCTGGCCAACATGGTGAAACCCCCGTCTCTACAAAAAGCACAAAAATTAGCCAAGCGTGGTGGTATATGCCTGTAGTCCCAGCTATTCAGGAGGCTGAGGCAGGAGAATCAATTGAACCTGGGAGGCAGAGGTTGCAATGAGCCTGGGTGACAGAGTGAGACTCCGTCTCAAAAAAAAAATTATAATTCAAATGTAATTTATAAAAATTCCTACATATGATTATGAAGTTCATAATCACATAATCATGACAAATAGATTTATGTATTATGTGTTAAAAAAGAATGTTTAGAAAAAATAAAACTAACTGATTTTCTGTCTTAAAACTCTTTTCAATATATTTTCACTTTTGTGGATTTCCAATTAGGTAGAGATTGGAGATTTTGAAAGACCTTTCTCAACTCCAGCAGGGCATGTTACCAATCAGTGCAAAGTGAATCAAACTCTAAAGCAAGTCATAGAGAAATTTTATCCTAAAAGGTATAGAGATGGCTGTTCTGAAGAGCAGTTAAGGTAAGGAAATCTTTGTAACTCTTTATAGGGTAGGGTCATACTAGTTTTTTGGTAATATTTTTGTGTTCAAATTTTAAAGGTGAAAAACATTTGGACAGCTTTCTCAAGATTTTTTTAACATGATTGAGCCACAGGAGATTATAGATTTTTTTTCTTTCTTTTTTTTTTTTTTTGAGACGGAGTCTCGCTCTGTCGCCCAGGCTGGAGTGCAGTGGCCCAATCTCGGCTCACTGCAAGCTCCGCCTCCCGGGTACAGCCATTCTCATGCCTCAGCCTCCCAAGTAGCTGGGACTACAGGCGCCCGCCACCACACCCAGCTAATTTATTGTATTTTTAGTAGAGATGGGGTTTCACCGTGTTAGCCAGGATGGTCTCGATCTCCTGACCTCATGAACTGCCTGTCTCAGCCTCCCAAAGTGCTGGGATTAGAGGCGTGAGCCACTGTGCCCAGCCAATATTTTTATTTAAGATAAGCCCAGAAGCTTTAGAATCTATATTTAAACTTTCTTTAATTAAAAAAAAAGGCTTTAGATGTACTTTTTAATTGATCTTTTTCATTCTTGTCCAGAACAACCCTGATAATAAATAAGAGAAAAAAATTGGCCAATAATATGTTTAATTTTATGAAGTACATACCAAAAAATTATATTTTGTATATTCTATTATGAATAAGTTGAAATAAAAATAAACTATCTTCTTACAAAAGACTTTTTAATATAAAAGTTTCTAATTTACCTCAATTTGGAGTTTCAATTTCAGAGAATATATAAAGAGAAGCTGATTAGATTTAGAAATAGAGGCAAATCCAATTTATCGTGAGCTTTTCCAAAATAGAAACATTTAAGATCAGCCTTTTGTCTATGTAGAATAAGTGCTTGCCTTTGTAATTTGATTTGACAAGTTTCACCTTGCATCTAACATCTCTCCAAGCCAGGGGTGGGAGGACCTAAAATTCTACCATCAGGGATTCATCTTTGGGCTCTACTACTTGTTTTTGTTTTTGTTTAAGACAGAGTCTTGCTCTGCCACCCAGGCTGTAGTGCAATGGGGTGATCTCGGCTCGCTGCAACCTCCACCTCCCGGGTTCAAGTGATTCTCCCACCTCAGCCTCCCGAGTAGCTGGGATTACAGGCACCCGCCATCATGCCTGGCTTATTTTTGTATTTTTAGTAGAGACGGGGTTTCACCACGTTGGCCAGGCTGGTCTTAAACACCTGACCCCAGGTGATCCTCCCGCCTCGGCCTCCCAACGTGCTGGGATTACAGGCGTGAGCCACTGCACCGGGCCTGTACTTTTCTTTTAAAATGAAAATATTCCCATGAGAAATTATCTTTTAAACTAATTTACGCTAAGTTTTGATGGTAGATATTCAGATTTTAAAAATGGACCTGCTGTGGGTACCTAGTTCATGCCGAAAACACGAATAGTATGAGAATTTGGTGAAAGGAATATTCCAGAAAGGACAAGTGATGGACAGTGGTGTGATGAGAGTCACAAAATCTTTACCTGGGTTATGCCTAGGGATCACAGTTATGCTTAGGATTGGCTCAAGGAGAGTTTTATCTTAAGACTATGACACACTGTTTATGTTTTTGCTTTAGTGTTTTTGTTTTTGTTCTTTTCTTTTTTTTTAGGCAGCTTTGCCAGCGACTTTCAACCAGATGGATGGCCCTCCGGGGACACAGTGCTGCTGACTGTGTGCGCATTTATTTGACAGTAGCCAGGAAGTGGCCATTCTTTGGTGCCAAGTTGTTTCTTGCAAAAGTAAGAAAGAATGGGAGAGAGATGCATAATGAAAACCTTTGTGTACATAGTTGACCAGATTTACCCCAGACTTAGTATCCTTGGCTTTTGTAAAAAATGAAGAAATATCCAATAATGTAAAGAAAACAATGAAGAGACACTAGAGAAAGGGCAGAAAAGCTTCTCTATCTTTTCCTCTCTGCCCAACTTTTCCCACCCTAAATCATTTCTTGGACTCATTAGGTGAATCATGAGTCCTAAACCACAGCTGAACTCTGCATTCTTCTGTTCATTCATTCATCCATGCACATGTTTACTCTGTCACTCATTTGCTCATTAGTATTTACTAAGTTCTGTCTGCTAAACATTGAGCTAAGCTCTAGGGATACATAACCTATTGTTTCAGATGGATTGTACATGAACTTCCAGGACTATTTTACTTTGTAACAACAGGCCTATAAACAAACCACTGTATGGCAAATATCACTATGAGTCACATGAACAGACTGCTGCAGGAACACTGAGGAAGGAGACCCACCCTGCCCAGGGATGGCCAGCCCTTTCCCCAAGGGAAAAATTATGCCTTTTGATTCCTTTTCTTTCTGTTGAAACATGTCTCTTTGTACTTTCTCAGGCTCTTAAGATACATCTTGCCTTGTGTTATATTTTTCTGTGTGTTTGTTTTATACTCACTATTAAATTGCATGCTCCTTGAAACTATAAACTCACTGATCCTAAAATCTTCCTCTTGTACCTACTGTAGTGCTTTGCACGTAATTAATAATTATCACTTAATAAATATTGCTGAATAGCTGTGCAACTTTGGGCAAGTCAGGTTACCTCTCTGGACCTCACTTTTCCTCATCTGTTAATGAAATACTTAGATTAGAAAAGTAAAATCTAAGGTATCTTCTAACTCTGATTCTATGAGTGACTATATTATTGATAGGTGAGAATTAATTTTTTTCTAGTGGAACTGAAAGCTGTATACTAATTAAGAAAAAGATGATAAAGTTAGTATTCTTAAACATCTATAAAATTAATGTACTTACGGGAAGTTGAACGTTACTTTTTAAAATTACAAGGAATAGATTTGAACTGTAGAGCAGCATGGATTTTAATTCTAACTTCAGCATTGGAAGTAATATTAAATACCCTTTTCTGTTCTGATAAAATGTGCTTGCTGGCACAAAATATTATTAAATAATAATATTGCTTTTCAAATTACGTGACAAGCATCTTTTTTGCTCACTTTTCTTTCTTTATAACAAGCGACACCTCCTTTGTTGCTTCATGGCATCCTGTTTTCTGTGTGTGGTAAAATACACATAATGAAATTTACCCTTTAACCTTTTTTTTTTTTTTTTTTTTTGAGACGGAGTCTCACTCTGTCACCCAGACTGGAGTGCAGTGGTGCAATCTTGACTCACTGCAACCTCCGCCTCCCAGGTTCAAGCGATTCTCACGCTTCAGCCTTCCAAGTAGCTGGGATTACAGGCGCACACCACCACGCTCAGCTAATTTTTATATTTTTGGTAGAGACAGGGTTTCACCATTTTGGCCAGACTAGTCTCGAACTCCTGATCTGAAGTGATCCACCCGCCTCGGCCTCCCAAAGTGCTGGGATTACAGGCGTGAGCCACCGCATCTGGCCCATTGTAACCATTTTTAAGTGTATAGTTCTGTGGCATTAAGTACATTCTCATTGTTGTGTTGCTGTCACCACCATTCATCTAAACACTTTTTTATTTTCCCAAACTGAAACTGTACCTAACTCCCCAGTCCTCCCTCCTCCTCCCAGCCCTGGCAACTGCCACTCTACTTTCTGTCTCTATGCATTTGACTACTTTAGGAACTTCAGGTAAGAGAAATCATATAATATTTGTGCTTTTGTTATTGGCTTATTTCACTTAGTGTAATGTCTTCAAGGTTCATCCATGTTGTAACATGTGTCAAAATTTCCTTCCCTTTTGAGGCAGAATAACATTCCACTGTAGGTATATATATACCACATTTTGTTTATCCATTCACCTGTCAGTGGACACTAGAGTTGAAGGGCATCCTTTTGAATTGAATTCTCCCTATCCTTTGCAAATCAGCCCTCAGTAGACAGTTTCTAACTCAGGGTTTTGTATATATGAGATGCTAGCAAGTTTTATTATATAAAATAACCCAACATTCATTCCAGTTTTATATCTATAGTCTTGACATTGTTTTGTAAAATTTAAGGGAAATAGTTAAGATTTTTTTTAGGATTTCATTTGTTAATGGAACCAAACAAGCATCATTAATTGCTCAAAAACATTCATGGGTTTCAGTTGGGTTCTAGTGGTAGGAGATTCTTTTTATTAATATAATTTCATAGCTTTTTTTTTCTATGAGAACCAGGAGTAGCTTTTAGCTTTTTTTTTTTTTTTTTTTAGATGAAGTCTCACTCTGTCACACAGGCTGGAGTGCAGTGGCACTATCTCAGCTCACTGCAGCCTGCGCCTCCCAGGTTCCAGCTGTTCTCCTGTCTCAGCCTCCCAAGTAGATCGGATTACAGGCGTGCACCACCATGCCCAGCTGATTTTTGTGTCTTTGGCAGAGATGGGGTTTCGTCATGTTGCACAGGCTGGTCTCGAACTCCTGGCCTCAGATGATCCACCCACCTCGGCTTCCCAAGGTGCTAGGATTACAGGCGAGAGCCACAACACCCAGTCAATTTCGTAGCTTTTACAATAAAAAATTCGGTGGAAATTTTCATATTTCTCATTACTATTGATTACACAGTTTCATATTTTCTTGTTATTGTGTTTTTATTACACATTGAATATCAGATTTAATAAACTTTCAGGAAAGGTGTGCAATTATAATAATAATCTTTTACCTTGTAATAGCACTACACAACTTATCAAGCATATCAGTATATTTTGCTTCATTAGGATTTTGGTCATCATAGAAACCCTAAAAACTTGTTGACTATTAACGTCTTAACGCAGAAGAAAAGTAAAATATAAACATTATTGTTCCTATGCTAAAGATGAGGAAATTGAGCCTCAAACAGATTCAGTAGTTTATCCAAATGCATACATTAATATATGGCAGGTTTGGGTCTCAAAGCTAGGTCTCCTAATATCGAATTCACTCTTAGCTCCGGTATACCACCCTGCCTCTTTCCTAGGCGAGATTTTTAATAAATTTTTGTTGTTATTATTGTTGTTTAATGGCAAATGTTACATGACATTTAGACTGAAAAATATTCCTGTAATTTTGCTTAGTATTTATAATATAGTGTATTTTCACCTCTTCATAGCCCATAACTCCATCATCACTTGGAAGTACTTTCTTGTGGCTGGCTGTACATGAGGATGGTTTAAGCCTCTTAGAATACAACTCCATGGTAAGTTTAAACGCTCAAGTTTTGCATTAAGTCAACTGTTTCCATTGCTCAGTGTACCGTAAACAGAAAGTAATGATATCTTAATCTGATTTTTCTCTTACCCAGGAAACATTCTTCCTAATACTATGTCATGAACAGTCATTTTACAAATACAGCTATGATTATAATTTAACCTTTTAAAACAAGATAAGACAGGTCGTTTATTGTGTATGAGAAAAATCTTGATACCATGACTAAATTGTGATCATGGTTACATTCATGAAATGATTATTTTTTAAAAGTGTTAAGAAGATTGTTTCCTGTGTAAAATAAAAATCTGTAAGAAATCATTAAGGTGGGAACTTTAATTACCAAAGTTTAAGTTCACTTTCACTAAGGCTTCTTTAACAATTTCTATAATTTCCTATAATGTCATTTATATAGCATCTTAGCACTTTTCACATAGTTTAAATTCAAACTATGATATCTATATGTGTTCATTTATTTACCCGAAATTTACATTTTTTATCATATTTCATGTGTCTAATTATTTAATACAATTTTATTCTCTTTTTTGTTTAATCTGGTGAGCAGGAATTACTAAATTCACCTGGCAGGTCTAATCCTGTGGCTATAATCAGAAGATCACTGAAAATTTTCTGGAAACCAAACTATTCTTTTGTGTTATAGTCACTGTTTCCCCTTATAATTGCTTAAAAAACAAACACACACACACTTTTTTTCAAGGGGTTATATTTTCTGAGTGCCTTTTAGTTTTTAAATGGATAACTTGAAGATATTATAAAATCAGTGACTTAAAGTAAAAACAAACAAACCAAAAAACCTATACACCAGTACTAAGTTACCTTAGTTCAGAAAACTAGCTCCCTAGCTCCCAGGAGGTAGCCAGACAGGCCAGGAAGCACACACAGGTGGGTCTGAGGCATTCAGTCCTGGAATGGTCTGCTCAGTCTTGCAAGGTAATCATTAGATATGCAGAGTCCTTTCAGGCTGTATATTAGTTACATTTTATTTTATTTTATTTTATTGATTTATTGATTTTTTTTTGAGGCAGGGTCTTATTCTGTCGCCCAGACTGAAGTGCGGTGGTGTGATCACTGCTCCCTGCATCCTTGACCTCCTGGGCTCAAGCAGTCCTCCTGCCTCAGCCTCCCAAGTAGCTGGGACCACAAGCATGTACTACCATGCCCGGCTAATTTTTTTTTTTTTTTTTTTCATAGAAACTGGGTCTCCCTATGTTGCCCAGGCTAGGCTCAAGTGATCCTCCCACCTCAGCCTCAGGCGTGAGCCATCAGGCCCGGCCTAAGTTATATTTTTACATTGTTTTGGAAACACATTAGAAAAAAATATTTGCTGCATATGTGACAAAGGGTTAATACGTGATACTGTTTCTGTTTATGGATTTCAAAATCCATCTATCTAGGTGAACTATGTAGATTTACCAATACTTGACCATTTTGACCATGAAAAGTATCAGTAATATGGCTTAACCTAACATAAATATAAGAGATATATGAAAGGGCATATAAAAAATATTAACAGTGGCTTTCCACTAGATGCTGGAATATAGATGCTTTTTATTTTTTTCTTATATTTTCTCATTTTTCTGCAGTGACTTGTTTCGGACTCAACATTGTAAAGGTAGATGATGCCTAAATAAAATTAGTACCACTACTATCTATTTTGGATCATAATACATTTTATTTTAGAAAATAATTTTGTATTATACCATAATTGATTAATATCTGCCTTTTAATGGAGATATATTATTAATTATTTTCCATCTCTCCTTGGAAGTAAGAGCATATAACATATATACTTTTTCTTATCTTTAAAGAGGTTAATAGTCAGCTATGTGTACAAGAGTCTAATGACCTTTGGAGGCTATCAAGATGATTTTATGGTAGTCATTAACAATACACATTCAAAGGACAAACCAACAGAGAAATTACTTTTTGCCATGGCAAAACCCAAGGTGAGTAGAAGCCTTTCTGCCAACTTTTTTGTCCTAGTTGTTTTCACTTAGTCTTAGCCAGAAGGCCAAAAAGCAATGCTAATTGTTTTCATATTAAAACATTTATTCAGCAAAGACTGCATTCCAGATGGGAAAACAGACGTTATTTATAGTCAAACAAACATGGGTCCAACTTACATCATCTTTCCAAGCTCTGGTTTCTTTGTCTAAAAATATGGTAACATACTCCCTACTTCTTTTGGCTTAAAAATTAAATGAAGGAAGTTTGTAGGGTACTTAGCCCAATGCCAGGTATATAGAAGATTCAAAATAAATAGTTGTGGCATTAAGTTATTGCTGCCTGGTACTTTATACACATTATCTTATTCACTTGAGGTTATTTGCTTTATGGACTCATTAGAGGAAAGACTGGGATTTTATAATTAAAACATACTTGCTCCTTTACGACTTTTAACAAACTGTGTAGTTTTAACATCTCTAAGTAAAAGCAATAAATAAATGGATTACATTCTAACATGTAATTCTAATTGAAAGTGATTTTCCTACAACTTTAGCTGTCTTAATGTTATCAGATAAAAGAAATTACTTCTTCGGAATCTGAAGCTTTTTTTACAAAATAGATGTCTTTCTTAATTAAGCCTATACTTAAGTGAAAGCAGCTAACCATTAAGTGCAGATCAGGGAGCTCAGTCTTTAGTGAAAATAGAGAGTTCTTATGACACTAACTTTCTTAATTCATATATTCACTAATGTGGCTTTATGATAATTTGATAGAGTTCTACTACTGACTGTCACATTTCCTAAGAATGCCACTCAATTTGATTGTTTTTGAGATTCACTCTTTCTGCTGGTTTAAGTAATGAAAAAACGTGTGGCTGCCTTGATGGTGCTGGACATGTAAGCACTTCATTGTTTGATCTAGAGAGAAGGGAATTCTGGTAGCCTGGGCACTTGCAAATGGAGCTCACCTGTGGCCAACACTTTACTCTCTTCTGGAAGTGATGAGAACTTCTAAGGAGCAAAACAATTCTGTTTTCCTTGTTTTAGATTCTTGAAATCACTCTTTTGATCGCCAGTTACATAAACAACTTCCATCAGCAAAAGGCAGCATTTCACCACCTCTCTGCTCCAGCACTGCTCTCAGCCCAGACCCGGGGACCCCAAGCCAGAATGATGGGAAGCCAGCCTCTTCTGTCAAGCAGCAGACCGACCAAAGGCCCCACCTTACTCTGAAAGCTGGGGAGCCTGAACATTCACTCCTTGTCCTCCATGCTGTGGCTGTATCAGCTCCCTACAAGTTCGTTTACACCTGGCAGCACGGCAGCCACACACCGGTATTCCAAACCTTAACAATGAAGGGGGTTAGTCTCTTTTATTTGATTCTTAAATATTCAAATAAATATTAACAGTAAAACATAAACACAAAATTTGCCAACACACTAATTTTCTTATAGAGTAAATGAGTAAGAATTCATCATTTTTTCCATCTCCCTTCTCCCTTGTCATCAGACACATTGTGCAATGTGGCTTTTCTTTTCTTTTCTTTTTTTCCCCTTTTTAATATTCTGGCAATCTTTAGAAAGGGAGATTCCAAACTCCCATTTGGTAAACCAGTTGATTATTTGGAAATGTTCACTGCCAAAATAGTAAGTGCTATAACTAAATGCGCTTTTAATTAATGATATAGTGTTTGGAAAGGAGTAGAACATGCAGCATAAGAAACTGCTGCAGAGTGGTGCGAGGAGTACATTTTCAGAGCAGGTGCAGTACATCTTCCGGCTCTATGAATCATTATGTGAGAAAGCAGGATAACATTAGGTAACCTGAGCCTCCTGTGTGGTATTAGAAAGTATACCGTCACCTTTTCACATCACTGGAGTGTAAAATTTAAAACAAGATGGTGATTCCTGACATTCCTTGGCTGTCAGTGCTGCCCAGATTCAGAAGAATATTGCCCACATTTCACTGTATTTGGTGCTGGGTCATTTTGACCTTGCTTTGTTAATAATATCTTTAAAAACAAAGACAATCCTTAAAGCTTTGCTCCTCACACATTACCTTCTAATTATAGTTTGAAAATAGATTCCCTACACATACATACATATGTATGCACAGATAGGGTCTTGCTATGTTGCCCAGGCTGGTCTTGAACTCCTGGCCTCAAGCAATCCTCTCTCCTCAGCCTCCCAAAGTGCTGGGATTACAAGTGTGAGCCACCACACCTGGCTCCAGAAATTTTATTTTATTTTTTTGAGGCAGGGTCTCACTCTGGTTGCCCAGGCTGGAGTGCAGTGGTGCCATCATAGCTCACTGTAGCCTCGACCTTCCGGGATCAAGCAATCCCACTTCAGCCTCTTGAATAGCTGGGACTAGAAGCATGCACCACCATGCCCATCTAATATTTGTATTTTTAGTAGAGACAGGATCTCCCTATGTTGTCCAGCCTAGTCTCAAACTCCTGGGTTCAAGCAATCCTCCCACCTCGGCCTCCCAAAGTGCTGGGATTGCAGGCATGAGCCACCGTGCCCAGCCTCAAAAATATTTTTTAAAAGAAAAGAGAAAATAATTCTTCTGTCAAAGGAGGTTAAATTTTAGTTGATAGAGTACTTAAATGCATTACTTTATTAGGTTATGTAAGTGGTCAGTGCATTCCAGTATGTGTCACAACAGTGTAGTTCATATTCATGATAAAAATGAAACTGTGATAAGACATGAAAATTATATTATTAAAATGTTCAATTGTAATGGTAATCATGAGTATACTTAATTTTATTTATGTATAGAATATTTGTATTTATTTTTTGGACATATATTTATCACTTTGTCATTTTTTTTAACCAATTTGAGAAATGTTAGCTGCTGAATTAATTTGTTGCCCGAGCCTTCATATTTTCTTCTTTGCTGCCTTCTCCCTGTGGCAATGTACTGTTCTCACATTAAGCCTTTTAAAAATGTTCCATACTGTATTAGCATCCTTAGAAGGGACAGAACTAAGAAATACATTGCTCAAATAATATTTTACTTTATTGATAATGACAAAAAGAATATTTTTTAAACCCCATCAAAATAGATTTCAATTGACTGTTTCCCCTACATCTTTTGAGCCACAGTCGCCCATCGAATAAGCAAATTTGTTTTTGAGAATAAACTGGTAACCAGTTTGTGATGACTCTCAGAAGCCTTTTGGCTGGGTTACAGAAGAGTTTCTAAGTTCCTAGAGAGCCATTTAATAATTAGTTGGTGAGCCAGAGGCTTGACAGAGCTGTTACTTATGTGTGAGGGCTTTATTCTCAGGCAGTAGTTTATTCATCATTTGGTAAGCCCCTCCCCACACTCCTCTAATTTAAACAAGTAGTGAAGGCTTATCTTAAACTGTGTAGTACCTTAGACTTGGCATTTATTTTTGATAGAGCAGAGATAAAATATTTTGATGGAAGGAAATCAATTTTCTGTAACTGATGATGTGAAAATTTTATTTTCTGGGAAATTATATAGCCATTCAAAAATTCAAAGTATGTTATTATGATTGGTTACAAGAGAATAATGTTACATGTTTAATTGTAATATTTGTCTCCTATCATTTTCTTCCCTTTCAGTCATAATAAATGATTTACAAAACCCATTTTGAGCATTATCTTTTGAATAATCTTCAAGAAATACCTAATGTTTTCATTGTCAAAGCTGAGGTGTAGTACCAGTGAAAATGGTAGTTATTACCTCCTTCTCTTGCATTCATGCTTTGTCTTCAGTGTTGCTTTGTTTTATCCATATAAAAGGGAGCTGTTTTGGAGAATTGTAATTTTAATCCATATGTGTGCATATTGACACACAATATGTAAATAGGTAAATAGATAGAAATATTGGTTCTCCCATGATTTCATATTTCATATAGGTGAGTTGAATGGATTGTGTTCCAAAAATTTGTCTTAAATGTTCTGGATTGTGTGTGTGTGCCCTTAAAATCAAATACTATCACAGCTTAGAAATGACTTTAACTCTCAATTTACAAGAGAAGTTAGTCACAACTTATAAAGACTCTTTGTTTAAAAATGTGTTTAGTAGTTTGTTGTTTGGATTTTTTTTTCATTAAAAAGAAATACATGTGCTTACATCTACCTGCCAATTAAAAAAAATACACAGTGATCAAGTTCCTAGAACAATACATTTAACCCTTAATTGTGCGTGAAGCATGATCCTGAAGAAGTAACCACCATGGATAACCATATTTCTCTAGAAAAAGGCTTTACCTGTTGGTGGGATGCCAAGAACATATTTCCCCCACCCACTCATCCCCCCTGCAGCTGATTTCTAGGGAGGGACAGCTCCAGTAATTTGAAAATTGAGGAAGAGAAGTGACAAGCAAGAAGAAGTGGACACAGCAGTTTCCCTGCTGCCCACCTGATTTATGCAGAAATGACATCTCCTCTCACATTTCCCCCCATTCTCTTTTCCCTAAAAGAAGAAAGGGATGGCTGGGCATGGTGGCTCACGCCTGTAATTCCAGCATTTTGGGAGGCCGAGGCGAGTGGATCATGAGGTCAGGAGTTCAAGACCAACCTGGCCAAGATGGTGAAACCCCGTCTCTACTAGAAATACAAAAATTAGCCGAGTGTGATGGTGGGCGCCTGTAATCCCAGCTACTTGGGAGGCCGAGGCAGAGAAGTGCTTGAACCCGGGATGCAGAGGATGCAGACAGCTGAGATCACGCCACTGCACTCCAGCCTGGGTGACAGAGTGAGACTCTGTCTCAAAAAAAAAAAAAGAAGAAGAAGAAAGGGATTTAACTGCAACAAAAAGAACTTTTTCTCCTTTAAATTCCAAATTAAGATAAGTCCGCATGTAGATGTTCAGGGTGAAGCAAGATTTATCTATATTTCAGTGGGACCAACATACAGGCTTTTCTTGGGTGTTTTTTTTTTTCTTCAATATCTTTATGACACTCAATTATTGGGGATTTAAGTGGGAAGATCAGTCCTACAAAGAAGAGTTGGTGGGTCTGGGCAGAGGCTGTGGGGAGGAGACAAGGTAAGCATTTACTTTATATTGTGATTTTATTTGTTGGATTTAATTTGACCTAAATTGTACATAGTCACAGTGACTCTGGATTATAATTCGCATCATTCCAAAAAACTTTATCGTATGCTTTATATTATTTTGCAGTCCAGTAATAGGAAAGGAATACCAACTTTACTAGGGAAAGGTCTATTAGCAAATAACTCCAAAATAGGACACAAATGTTCAGCAACGCACTTGAATACTGAGTACCCTTCCTTCCTGTGCTTTGCCAACATCATTTTCTTTCTTTTTTTTTTTCTGTCGCCCAGTCTGGAGTGCAGTGGCGCAATCTCCACTCACTGCAAGCTCCGCCCTCCGGGTTCATGCCATTCTCCGGCCTCAGCCTCCCGAGTAGCTGGGACTACGGGCGTCCGCTACCACTGGCTAATTTTTTGTATTTTTAGTAGAGACGGGGTTTCACCATGTTAGCCAGGATGGTCTCGATCTCCTGACCTTGTGATCCGCCCTCCCCGGCCTCCCAAAGTGCTGGGATTACAGGCGTGAGCCACCGCGCCCGGTCCATTTTCTTTTATTTTTTTTGAGACGGGGTTTTGCTCTTGTTGCCCATGCTGGAGTGCAATGGCGCGATCTCGGCTCACTGCAACCTCTGCCTCCCGGGTTCAAGCAGTTCTCCTTCCTCAGCCTCCTGAGTAGCTGAGATTACAGGCACCTGCCACCATGCTCAGCTAATTTTTTTTTTTTTCTTTTGAGAGGAGTCTCGCTCTGTCGCCCACACTGGAGTGCAGTGGCGCCATCTCGGCTCATGTAAGCTCCGCCTCCCGGGTTCACGCCATTCTCCCGCCTCAGCCTCTGCAGTAGCTGGGACTACAGGCGCCTGCCACCACGCCCGGCTAATTTTTTGTATTTTTAGTAGAGACGGGGTTTCACCATGTTGGTCAGGCTGGTCTTGAACTCCTGATCTCAGATGATCTGCCCGCCTTGTCCTCCCAAAGTGCTGGGATTACAGGCGTTAGCCACCGTGCCCGGCCTGCCAACATAATTTTCTAATAAACAGAGTGGGGGTGGGAGGGGAAGGGCCGCTCTTTCTGAACGTGCTGCTAGGTTATACTGTGGTTTTATGAAAATCAAACAACTCTTCTTTAGCAGTGGCAGTGGCAAAAGAAGGCTAATTCCCTCTCTCACTATGTGGCTCTAATGAATTCCCAGGAGCTCCTAGGAACTGAATATTGGGTGATACCAGAGGAAATGGCTTAGATGTTATTAACTTCTTGAGTTTCTGGAAAATGCTATCAAACCCAATAAGAGTTGCCTTTTATGAGAGAAAAGTTTACAGAAAGTGTAACCTTAGGAAAGCTTGTGGAGAGTTCTTGGGTTTTGGATCATGTACAGATTATAAGATGTTCCACTCAGGGATAGGGTATCATCAACACTGCTTTCATGTACTGACTATTCTATCGAAACATCTTCACATGAGGTTATCACTGACCACTTAACTGCCAAGTCCAGCAGACCCCAAATGGTCCAACTGTCTGCTGGACGATATCTCAAACTCACCATGTCCTCTAAACCTGCTTCTCCTGCTCTGTGCCCCTTAAAATTGGTTAAGAGGATCACCAGTTCATCCATCAAGAAGGAAACATTGACTTTTCTCCCTTTTACCAACGTCTTACTTTCTACTGTCTAGTAATTGTATTAGATAGAACTCTTTTTGCTGTAAATTCCAAAATTCAACTTGAACTAGCTTAGACAAAAATGAGAAATTGTATTACAAGGATATTAGGATGTCTCATATAATCAAAGAGCAAGCTGAACAACCAAGCCATAAGAAAGGTGAGGACACAGGCAAGCCTTAGGGACAATTAGAACCATGAGACATATGCCAGCACTTTCCCTTCATATTGATGTGTGTCTGATGTGTGCTCACTAACTACAAAATAATTCATTTAGCATAAAATATGCTAATTTCCTCTAGAGGTAGAGTGACTTACTTTTCCCAATTCTAGTTTGAAAAATTTCAGGGAAGGACTGTGATTAACCCAGCTCATGTTAGGTGTTCACTCTGAACCACCCCAAATGTACTCAACATTAGGAGAATGCTTAAGTACATTACGAAAAATCTATGCAGTGAAATATTCTGCAACCATCAAAGTTATGTTTATGATGCAGTTTTAAAATTTGATATGGTGCATTTTTAAAATTTGATATGGGGAAATACATGTTAAAATCAGGACATTAATTAACTTTACAATTAATCTCAACTTTGTAAGAAAAAAGATTAGAATGAAACATATCAAATGTATTTCCAAAATACCTAATAGTTACTACTTCTGGCTTATGCTTATTTTACCCTCTTAATTTTCTGTGCATACGTTTTTTCCCCTACAATTAGCTTATATAACTTTGAAAACAAGGGAAAAAATTTTAAAACTCTGCCTGTCACTTTCCTAGCTATTGTTAATAGCCTCCGCATGGTCTTCTAGATGCCAAACCACCCTTCACACAACTGCAAAAAATTATCTCACTGAAATTCATGTCTAATCATGGCACACTCCTATTTTTAAACCCTATTTGGTTTCTCATAACCAACACAGTAAAGTCTAGACTACAGCATCCTTCACAGTAGCCCCATCTACCTGCCCAGTTTGCTCTTCCACTGTAGCTCCACCAGGCACTTTATATGATCGCAACCCAAACTATTCAGTTTCCCAAATACATCCTGCACACGCCTTTACCCTTCTGCACTGTTGCTCATTCCATCCAGAAAGCAGCATAAAATTGTCTCCTTCTCCTTCCATTCTTACCTTAAGAACAATCTTCATCTACCCAGGAAAGTCACTTTCTTTGCCCAAGTATGAAGGCCTCAAGAGGAATGAGGGAAGAAAGGGGAACTCACCTGCTCAGTCAGATCAACTGAATCAACCCTGAATCAATGCTGCTGATCAGGGCCCAGCCGGATCACCTTCACTTTCCTGGTTACCAAGCTCCCTCCTTCAAACACCTCTCCCCGTTATTCAAACAAGTGTACTTTTGAAGTACTCGTACTGAGTATTGTGCCCAGTACATAGCAAGCACTTGGCAAAAATGTTAGCTGTCGTTATTGCTATCAATATCAACAGGCCTTCCTAACTAGCATGCAAAAGTATTCTGAAGTTCTAGAACCCAAATCATTACAATTCATTACAATCTGTCCCATATCAGTTTGTGAGCTTAAAGTCTGGCTTAGCACCAGGCTATAGCTGTTGATTCAATGACAGATGTATAAGCCTCCTTTGAAAAATCATCCTTTCTTCGGTGAGCTCTACTCCCATTAATTCCCTTCCTATGTGCAGCTTAGTGTTCTTTACGTCTCCAAAATATACCTAGGTGTTGGGAGGATTTTGTTCCCAATGACTTTATTTGAAATAAACACCCTTTTATCAACCATCAGCCTTGTTTCCAGGAATGTGTTCCTTGTGTTTCTTTGTTCGAAGTTGCTGACCAGCAGCTTATCACACAATAATAACAAGCATTAAGCAGTTATAATGTGTCAGACACCCACGTAAGTTATGTTTTACCTACATTTATCTCATTTAAGATTCACAATCTTTCCCGCTTTACAGGATCAGAAATTCAGTGATTTACCCGATGTGGCAATGTGACAACTTAGCCAGCGTGGCCAAGTCAGAACTTGAACCTAGGTCCATCTCACGCCAAAGCCCATGTACTTGAACATCGCACCATAGAAATCAAGCCGAATAGTAGAGGACTGGAGGGAGGGTATCTCCTTCAAATATTCAGGGCATCTTAGGCTAGAAAGCCTGAGTCTACTCAGCATTCAATACAGACCAAATACTATCAGTGCCATGGTTTCACCATCTCCTTCAGGCATAATTGGTCACTTGCCCTCATGCAATTTTTGTACCTCTATACAATAGTTTAGATCACTCACTTCCTTAGGTGCTTATAATTAGCTGAGTGTGTGTCTTTCTTAAGGGCAGCGATCTTTTCTTACTCATCTCTTTATTCCTTATTCTGTGTAGCATAGGGCCTTGCATATTCAATGATTGTTATTTATTTCAATGCTCGTTATTTATTTGGACACTCCTGCAGATCTATAAAGAGACCACAAAGTTCCAAAAGAAAATAATCTACATTCACAAAGTAAATGAAGTATGTAGGAGATGCACTTGCTTCATTAATTTATTAATAAATACACAATGTGCTATTGAATAAAACTTGAAACAACTAAACATCTAGAAAGTTGGAAAATATTAAAATTACGTGCCTTATTTTAAATTTTAAAGTCCGAATATTCCTTGCTTCTAGTAAATTAGCAGAAAACAGCTCAAGAGATTGTTACACCCTCTATTCCTAAATCATGGCGATTGGGAAGAAAAAAGTGAAAGATGAGAGAGAGAGAGAGCAGAGACCCTTGGCATATAGTTGACACCCAGTAAAAAAATTTTAAAATAAAAGAAAATTGCTTTTAGATCCCAGGTTTGTAACCCCTTATCATCTCGTTCTAGGAGGTAACAAGGAGTTACTAACTTGGGATCTAAAAGCAATCCTAAGGCTTGAGGCCGAGAATGAGATGTAAAAGGACTCCTGAAAACTACATTTCCCATGATGCCCGTCTCCCCACGCAACCGCGGCCGCGACGTCGCTCCCATGGCAACCCAGAAGGCCTCACTCCCAGACTCCTTGCGGAGCTCGCCGCCTGATTCTAGGCTGGTCACTACTCCGAGCCTGTGACGTTTGCGGCAGCCAGGCCGTCGACGATGCCCAGGTATTCCCTGAACCCGGCTTGCGTGGGAAAGGCTACTGAGAGTATTCCTGGAGAGAGGAAGCCCAGGCGGGACCAGCTGTTGGAAGATTGTGGGGGTGGCTACTTGCCACCAGGATATGCAGGGTCGGGGACCTAGGAATCAGCCTTGAGCATAAAGATTCTGCCGCAAACAGGAAAGAAAAGAAAGTTCCCTAGGTAGAAAAGTGAGAGATTTGGAAAGATCAGCAACTCCACCCATTCAATGATTGAATAAAAGTTTCTTGCAGGCCAGAGACTACTTCCGGAGCAGGACATTCGGCGATGAGCTAGACCACAAAGCCTCCTCTCCCCAGGGGCCTCCCCTCCTGGTGCGGGGGTTCGCAGTAATAAGCGAGGGGAAACTTGGAAGGCACTGTGGAAAGTATAACATCACTTTTAAGGGGGGAAACGGGAGAGGGTTTGTAAACTATATTCTAGCTGTTCAATTCTATGATATTCATTTTAATTACCTGTTCACAAGATATTCCTAAACCTTTTCTCAACAATTTATGCTTAAGCACGTCGGGGAGAGGGGTCAGGGAGTGCATCACAGAGCAGGATAAATCTTTTTCTCTCCTTGGGATAGTGTGGAGAATTGTCAGCTTTCCATCAAGGGATAATTGGTTAGTTATAAAGCTATGGTTATACTTCCCGATTTCCGCAGGTGTCGTGGCTGACTGCAGCACCTCCGTCTTTCCTCTCTGCTAGGTATTTGGAAAGCAGATCCTCATATTTTGAAAGAATGTTGTGTAAATGAAGAGCAAACAGCCCGAAACTGAGTTCTGAAGGCTCACCTGTGAAATAAATGCATGAATTTTAGTGCAAACATTTAAGGACTCCTGTTTTGACCCTTTTTCTTATTCCTGGTTCTTGAATAGTATAATTACAAGCCCTCAATAATTTTTGTAATTGTATAGGCCATGCCCTAAACTACATATATATTTTAACAATTATGACAATCCTATAAAGCTGATACTCTTTTTTATTGGCTTTTTAGAGATAGAGAAACAATTGAGCCTGGGGAATAGCACAGAGGATTGCATATATTAGGTGCTCAATAAATATTTGTTTAATTAATAAAGGAATGAAGGATTTAAAGAGGTTAGGTAGTTTTCCCAAGTTCACATACATAGGAAGTAGCAGAATCAGGCTAGGACCTATCAGGTCTTGCCCATGGTTAGTTTTTAGTTTAATATTCCATTTTCACTTAGGCTTTAATTAATATATATATGATTTTATCGTGTAAAGTTATATATCTGTGTAAAGAAATCAATGAAAGGATTGTTTTCAAAATGTTTGTGGTTTTAGGGTTTTTTTTTCTTTCTTTCTTTATGGTTTTTTTTTGGCGGGGGGAGACAAGGTCTTGCTGTGTCACCCAGGCTGGAGTGCAGTGATGTCAACATGCTTACTGCAGCCTCGACCTCCAGGGCTCAGGCAATCCTCCTGCCTCAGCCTCCCTAGTAGCTGGGACCACGAGTGCATGTCACCACACCCAGCTAATTTCTTTTCTTTTTCTTTTTTTATTTTCTTTTTTTTTTTTTTAGACAGAGTCTCGCTCTGTTGCCCAGGCTGGAGTGCAGTGGCACGATCTTGGCTCAATACAACATCCACCTCCTGAGTTCAGGTGATTCTCATGCCTCAGCCTCCTGAGTAGCTGGAGTTACAGACACCCGCCACCACACCTGGCCAATTTTTTTTTTTTTTTTTTTTTTTTTTTTTTAGTAGAGATGGGGTTTTACCATGTTGGCCAGGCTGGTCTTGAACTCCTGACCTCAAGTGATCCACCCACCTTGGCCTCCTAAAGTGCTGGGATTACAGGTGTGAACCACCACTCCCAGCCTCAGCCAATTTTTTTTGTTTGTTTTCTTTTCTTCTTCTTCTTTTTTTATACTTTAAGTTCTAGGATACATGTGCACAACGTGCAGGTTTGTTACATATGTATACATGTGCCATGTTGGTTTGCTGCACCCATTAATTCATCATTTACATTAGGTATTTCTCCTAATGCTATCCCTCCCCCATGCTAATTTATTAGTAGTAGTAGTAGTAGTAGCAGTAGTAGAGATGGGATCTTCCTGTATTGCCTAGGCTGATCTCAAGTGATCCTCCTGCCTCAGCCTCCCATATACTTTTATATTAAACAAAATTTTTTTTTACCTAAAAACATAATCTAAAACACAAAAAAGAAATGTTTCAGGGAGGAAAGATTATTTGATACACTGGTTTTGTACTTTTCCCATCTTCCTAGGTGACTTAAATGTTTGTGGTTTTCAAGTTGTACATTCCCAAAGTCATTGTACCTCCATATGTGTCTGAGAAGCTGACATACACAGCTATGAACCGTAGGGGAAGACCCAAATGTGACAGCCTCAAATCCTGGCAATAAAGGCTCTGCTTATCAATTTCAGTATTCTTCAGAGAACTAGTTCAAAGCAACAAAAGAAAAATAAAATCATAGAATGACTAATCCTCAGATGTTTTACCAGATTATTGTTCCTCAGAAAATAATGTTCATTTGTTTCATAAATTATACTGAAATAAAATTTCTCTGAGCTTGAAATAAATATTTGAAAGAATTCTTTTTCCCTCAATTTTGTTTTTTCTGCCTCTCATGTAGTGAAACTCTCTGGGAAATTGCAAAAGCTGAAGTGGAAAAAAGGGGAATTAATGGAAGTGAAGGTGATGGAGCTGAAATTGCAGAAAAATTTGTTTTCTTCATTGGCAGTAAAAATGGGGTAATGCTTTCTTTTTTTCAATTATTGTGATGATTTAACAACCATTGGTAAAATATCTGTTAATACTTTGATTAAAATGTAGATACTTCAACACTTTAACCAGATGACCAATCTGGTTTAGCATGAATTAAAAAGTGCTTATTATTAATCTAGGAAAAACTATAATAGTAAACAAAATTTTAGAAAAATATATTTAAACTATTTTTTATTTCATGATTTGAAAATATTCAGGTCTTCTACCACAATTGAGTGTAAAAGCTAGGATTCATGTAAATATCTAAGTCAGTCTCTAAATCAGTAAGTCAGTATCTTAACAATTTTATATTTTAGATTGTTACTTTACTTTTAGAAATCTCATTAAAGGAATAATTGAACTGTGTCAATGATATTTGTTACAGGGTTATTAATTATTTTGAAATATCTGGGGAAAATATGGCAGCATTTCCAGTGGACCACTGATTGGTAGGAAGGGACCCCTCCCCACTTGTTGTAAGTCTCTGTTTTACTTGGCCAAGCATACAGAAAGGCGTGGAAGTGGCCACACAGTGTAGGAACATATGCATCATATCTTCATGCAACTTTGCCTGGCCCACAAAGTTCCTGCCAGGAAGGCAAAATGACTGGTGACACAAAAAGGTCAAGGCTTGCCAGATGCAAGATGCTGAAATTCATGTAGTGCCATAGCTCATTTCTGTGTGGGGTTCAAATTCCTGTTCACTTTCTGTGCTCCATGCTTCCACTTAAGCGCATTGACAAATACGAAGCTTTCAGAAACTACACTCTGCATCAGCAGGGCTACGTGTTCACTGGGCAACGTCAGCGCCCAGGCAGCCTGAGCACCCGTCTTGTCTCCAGATGAGTCCCAGAAGGCCCTCTCTGCACAACCGGACACCCTCCATTGGGGGTTTTATATACAACATTAAGATTACATATATTGGGAGAAATACCTGTACAACCATGAAAAAGGTTTTAGTGATGTAAGAATATAATCTGAATTAAAAAAGCAGGACACAAGTGTCATACATGACATGATCCCAATTATACAAATACGTAAATAAAAAATTCTGATAAAAATTAGAAATATGGATAGTAAAATTCTAATCACTTAATGTTTTTATTTTGTTTTTAATTTTTTTATTTTCCAGAGTTTTCATATTGGCCCACTTTTTAAAATTCAAACTTAATTCTTTAAAATAAAATTATCGTAGAGATCATTTATATTTTAAAATTTTAACCCAACTATATAAGTATATATTTTATAAGCATGTTATTTCTTTTTTTGAGACAGGGTCTCGCTCTGGTTGCCCAGGCTAGAGTGCAGTGGTGCGATCTCAGCACCCTGCAGCCTTGACTTCCCTGGCTCGGGTGATTTTACCTCAAGTAGCTGGGATTACAGGCATGCGCCACCACACCCGGCTAATTTTTTGTATTTTTAATAGAGATGGGGTTTCACTGCGTTGCCCAGGCTGACCTCAAACTCCTGGACTCAAGCAATCCACCCATCTCAGCCTCCTAGAATGCTGGGATTACAGGCATGAGTCACCGCCCCTGGCTACGCATTATTTCACGAGTTTACTATTATGATGCACGTGATTTTCATATTAGGCATAGTACTTAACAGTTTCCTACATTGTATCTTACTGCCATGTAGGTACATACATGGATTTAAATAAATGAGTAAATAACTAGTACTAGTCTTATGGTACAAATACATTTCTATTACAGAAAACATTCTGTACACAGAATATTAGATAGAATGGCTTATACTAATGGTACTGATTACTGACTCCATCATACAAATGCTTACATACAAAATACCCCTACCAGTATCCTCTTAGCGCTCTCTGTAACAGTTATTCTTGACTCCCTTGTAGTCATGATACCCTGTTTTGTCTTGTTTTGTTTTGTTTTTTTGTTACTTGTGAAACCACCCCTTTTTCTTGATGGCAATATGTGGCATATACAAACTGTTTTTTGTTTTTAGTAATAAAAGTAATTTTGTTTCTGATGATTTGGGAACTCCCTTGATATCTAAAACTTTTGAGGGTATTATTCTTTAAAAAGTCTGTGATTCTGCTGAGTGCAGTAGCTCATGCTTGTAATCCCAGGACTTTGGGAGGCTGAGGCAGATGGATTGCTTGAGCCCAGGAGTTCGAGACCAACCTAGGCAACGTGGCAAAACCCAGTCTCCCCCCAAAAAAATAAAACAATTAGCCGGGTGTGGTGGCACTCACCTGTATGTAGTCCCAGCTACGTGGAAGACTGAGGTGAGAGGATCACTTGAGCCCAGAAGGTTAAGGCTGCCGTGAGCCATCGTGATTGTGCCACTACACTCTAGCCTGGGCAACAGAGGGAGACCTTGTTTCAAAAAAGAAAGAAAAAAGTATCTGATTCTGCTTCATGGAGAACATTATTTTGGAAGATAAAGAGAAGCGATTAATGCTTCTATTGTTCAATTAATAGTAATCACCCTTTACCAAAGAAGCCCACTGCCCTGCTGCCTTCTCTTTCTCCTTCCAACCATCTGTTCATCCATTCGGTTGACATTGATCGAACATCTTTTATATGCTAAGCATCCTGCTAGACACTGTGGAAACAGGAATGAAAGGCATTCTCCCTGGGAAGCAACTTGTGTATCAGGACTTGTACACCAACAATGACAATACCATGAGACAAATGCTGTGGTGGAAAACAGAGAGGGCACTTAACTCACCCCAGAAAGTTGGGAGACTAGGAAAGCCTCCTGAAGAGAGTGATGGCTAAAGCTTGAAGGTGAGAAGTAAGGAAAGAGAAGTAATTCAGGTGAAGAGTGTGGAGTATTCTAAGATGATCAAGAAAAATGTATGAAACAGATATTCCAACAAATGGGAGAAAGATCATACTAGAGGAATGTAATAGGATTTTCAGTCATTGTTGACTGCCATTTTGATGATGGATGTTAGTTTGATACTAATCTGCCCAGAGTACATGGTTTTTCTCCACCATCACTCACTTGCATGGGTGCAGGCATGGAGGAGGAAGGTGATTACCTGGGGCAGTCTTTGCTGGTTGGGTACAGTGCAAAGTGAGGGAGCTCAGGGCATGAATGGTATTTAACAGAGATGATTGTAATGATAAACTATGGGCTCTGAGATGGAAAAGGAGAAAAGTGAAGGTAGGAAGAGGCTGATGGAGTAGGAGCGACTGTTAGTGGGGGGAAGAGGGGTGTCAATGGACATTTGAGACCTTTCACTAAGGTCAAAGAGTTATTACTGTGGGGATGCCTGAAGAAGTGGTTAGAGAATGTGTTGTTTGTACATGTGATTTTGGAAGCAGTGCAGTTTCCAGTGAAACTGGAAAGCTTCAAGATGTAACCTTGGAAGTGACCATGGCAGAAGCAGAGTGAGGGAAAAGGCCTCCATTGGGAGGCAAATGCACTGAGAGCTCCGGATGTCAGGTGGATTGCCAAGACCCATGTGGGTGTGAAGAAGATTCATGACAGTAGCTGAAAAGGTAAGGGAGATTGTGAGCCAGAAGAGATGACAACAACCCTGGTGGTAAACTGATACGAGCCTCTGAGGTTTTTTCAAGAGGAGGGAGGTAGAGTAGTTGTTTATAGGTGGCACTGGGGAGCAAGGAGGACCCTAATGTATGTAGGGTAGTGAGAATAAATAGCTTCGTTTAACAAGGCTGCAGAGGAAGGGGTTCAGGGTAAGTCATATTTTAGTTAAGGCCAACATGTGGAGAGAATATTCTGAAAAGGCTGAGATATTGGGGAGTTTGCCAGTCATGGAGCTGAAGTCATAGAGTGGAAGGATTTTAGAGGAAGGGAAGACAGAAGGGGATTATTGGGCCAGATTAAGGGATGTTTACAGAGTTAGGAAATTCAGAGTTCCAGGGATAATGGGTCAGAGGAGAGGGCTGGACATCTGGGGCGATTGAGGCAATGGGAGGGAAGATGGGATTCATTTTGATGGTCTCTAAATGAACTTGTACTAGGTCAATGTTTCTTGAATTAGGAAACCCACAAGACTACAGCCACATGCTCAGGGGACCAGAGTGTACTAATGAATTTTTAAATTTTGGATTGTAATTTTAATGATAATCTAAAACTTGATTTCAGTTCCCAGATTAGTTTATGTTAATTTGGAATTGTTACCATATAGTGCTATACATTTATATGAAATAATAATAAAAGTGATTTAAGGCCAGGCGTGGTGGCTCAAGACTGTAATCCCAGCACTTTGGAAGGCTGAGGTGGGAAGATCACTTGAGGCCAGGAGTTCAAGACCAGCCTGACCAACATAGTGAAACCCCATCTCAACTAAAAAATACAAAAAGTTACCTGCACGTGGTGGTGCATACTGGTAATCCCAGCTACTCCGGAGGCTGAGGCCTAAGAATCACTTGAACCCAGAGGCAGAGGTTTCATGAGCCAAGATGGTGCCACTGCACTCCAGCCTATGCAACAGAGGGAGACTCTGTCTCAAAAAAAAAAACAAAAAAGGCGAGGGGGAGTGATTTAAATCAATGAATACTAGTGTACCATGAAAATTTGAGGAAATTGGCTAGATATTATTTAAAATTCCTTCCAATTCTTATTCTACTTTCTTGCAGAGTACATTACTTTTTGGGTAATGTAGCCCTTATTAATTTAGAACTTTTACAGCATACTACATATGATACAAGTTCATTGTAGGAAAATTAGAAAATCCTGATTTTCTTTTTCTTTTTTTTTTTTTGAGACAGAGTCTCGCTCTGTCGCCTAGGTTCGAGTGCAGTGGTGTGATCTCGGCTCACTGCAGCCTCTGCCTCCTGGGTTCACACCATTCTCCTGCCTCAGCCTCCCAAGTTGCTGGGACTGCAGGTGCCCACGACCACGCCTGGTAATTTTTTTGTATTTTTAGTAGAGTTGGGGTTTCGCCATGTTAGCCAGGATGGTCTTGATATCCTGACCTCGTGATCCACCCGCCTCGGCCTCCCAAAGTGCTGGGATTACAGGCGTGAGCCACCATGCCTGGCAGAAAATCCTGATTTTCTTAAAAACTTTAATTACCTTCAAATCCTTCAGCTAGAAATAATCATTATTAACATAGTGATGTCCCCCTACATTTGTGTGTTTGTTTCTGTCTATGTGTGTGTGTGTGTGTGTGTGTGTACTTCAAGGAAGCAGGAAAAGTATTTTTTAATTGAAAACAGAGACATGCTGATCTATTATGAATGTTTTACTATGTCAGTAAGTATATTTCTACATTGTCATTCATAATAGCTGTATATTATTCTATTATATGGTTTACCATAATTAATTTAGCCAGTAGGGGACATGTAGGTTGTTTTTAGTTTTTCAGTTTGATGTAACACTGGCCAATAAACATCCTTCAATAATATACATTTTTATATTGTACAATTCCAGTTATTTTTTAATATATCTCATTACAAAAAATTTACTCAATTTGATCGTATTCCAGATATAATCTGGAGTAATTATCTTTTTTGTCAAAAACTATAGGTTTTTTTAGTAAAAACAAAAACACATATAATAAGTGTTCTGTGTTTTTGGCAATCCAGAGTTTTCCAAATTATTTTCTTTAGAGCCTGAAGGTTTCCTCCAGTGGAGCTTGTCCTGCTGTTTCTCTTTTATCTGTTTCCTTGCAAGGGGTCTTTTCTTTAAAAAAAAAAAAAAAAAAAGGATTTTACTATTTTTTAAAAATGATATAAACCACTGAGCTAATCCCTGGCTAAGCTGTGAAGTTAAGTTGCCTGACTAGTGGTAGGAATTAGGCCAGAACTTGTATTTCCTTACTCCTAAAAAGAAACTTGGGGTTGGGCATGGTGGCTCACACCTGTAATCCCAGCACTTTGAGAGGCTGAGGTGGGCAGATTAGATGAGGCCAGGAGTTCAAGACCAGCCTAGCCAACATGGCAAAACCTTGTTTCTACTAAAAATACAAAAATTACCCAGGCATGGTGGTGTGCACCTGTAATCCCAGCTACTTGAGAGGGTGAGGCACGAGAATCACTTGAGCCCAGGAGGCAGAGGTTGCAGTGAGCCAAGATCATGCCACTGCACTCCAGCCTTGGCAACAGAGTGAGACTCTGTCTCAAAAATAAAATAAAATAAAATAAAAATAAACAGAAACTTGGAATAAGTACATCCTCTGGACTTAAAACAAATTACTCTAATGCAGTATCTGAATTGCTTACTTTGAACATATTTACAATGTGTCCTTTATTTGTATGTTACCTTTTTCTTTATTTCCACTTCAACAATTGGAATTAAAACATTTTAAAAGACACTAAGCATCGGCTTAACCAGTAATTAACATTGATGAGTAGAGAAAAAATTTAAGACAGCTGCCAAGTTGACCACTTAAGTGAGGTATGATTTGCTAGTATTTGTCATCTGTGGGACTTTATAATTATAATAATAGCAGTGTAGTTACACTGTGATGGAAAGTTGACAGTTAACTTTTTCCACTTATCAAACTTTAGAACAATTCCGAAAGTTTCTAGTTTTTAGTTTCCAGGTAATTTATCATTCAATTGATTAAAAATCTATTTTGGGCCACAATTACGAACAATAATACAATTTTTACATATGAGTGACATTAACGCAGTGTTCCTTCTTTTTTAATTTCCAGGGAAAGACTACTATTATTCTAAGGTGTCTTGACAGGTAAGTGTTATGTTAACCTTTAAACTATATTTATGCTTATTCTAGTTGTATAGGGCAAGTTAGCTCTAAAAGACATAAGGAAGGGGAACGATTTTGAGACCCAAACAAAATATTTAATTCTTAGCAAATCCTTAGTATAACCTTTAAGAGCGCCTTTAAATATAAAACTAACAATAAGCCAAAAATTATATGAGACTAATACTGGATTTCCCTATTTGAGGGAGAAATGTTACCATAATTACCCAACCTACAATAGTATTTACCTTCTTTTTGGCTATGCTACTCTGATATTTAAATTATTTTTGTTCTACCTAATCTACAATTATTTGAACATTCATTGTAAGCTTTAGTTGCTCAGGGGTACATTTTTGAAGCACAGTGTTGGTCCTCAAACTGGATATTTTATCATTTATTTTATATATTTCCTAACGTATACTGTAGAAGCAGGCCATCAGATTAAGATTTAGCAGTATGATTGGTAGATGTTTCAGGAAGCTGATGAGGAAAGCCTTCAGTCATTTTTGGAAGATATTTCTCTGTTCCCTTCATTTGAATACATATATCTTATAACTTCTCCAAAATCATCAAAAGAGATGGAATTTGGTGTTAAGGTCACATTAAAGAAACATCACTCATTTGAAAAATATTTTTAAAGGATACAAATAATAAATTCCTGCTTTTGTGTAATTCCTTTCACCAACAATATTGTTTCTCAGAGGAACTATCAACAGTAACACCTGTATTATCTTTCCATATCCAGGAATCATGGGTCTTTTTAGACCACATTTAGACGTTTCCTGTCATAAACAAATCATCTAATACAACACCAGCTTAGGATAAAATACTACAAAATAGTACATTGAGTTGAAAAGTATTAATTTCTTTCTTTCTTTTTTTTTTTTGAGATGGAGTTTCGCTCTTGTTGCCCAGGCTGGAGTGCAATGGCGCCATCTCGGCTCACTGCAACCTCCGCCTCCTGGGTTCAAGCGATTCTCCTGCCTCAGCCTCCCGCTGGGATTACAGGCATGTGCCACCACGCCGAGCTAATTTTGTATTTTTAGTAGAGACAGGGTTTCTCCATGTTGGTCAGGCTGGTCTCGAACTCACGATGTCAGGTGATCCGCCTGCCACGGCCTCCCAAAGTACTGGGAATCCAGGTGTGAGCCACCACGCCTGGCCCTGAAAAGTATTAATTTCAATTCCTCAATAGTCTACTTAGGAAAAGGTTAATTTTCTAAAATATAGGTTAAATATCAGATCTTATGAATTTTGTCTTAAAAGTGGCATTTGGCTTGATAAAATTTCTATCTTTTGGGACATATAACCGAATATTACTCTCTATATAACGTATTCAAAAGATGTATGCAGGGGTGATATTCAGAATATTCAATAAACATAATTATGTAAGTCACAAATTTAAAAATCATTTCTCTTTCTTCTCCAGTCTAAGGATAGATATGGGACCGGGTGCAGTGGCTCATGCCTGTAATCCTAGCACTTTGGGAGGGCAAGGCAGGCGGATCGCTTGAACTCAGGAGTTCAAGACCAGCTTGGCCAACATAGTGAGAACTCGTCTGTACCAAAAGATACAAAAATTAGCTGGGCATGGTGGTGCATACCTGTAGTCCCAGCTACTCAGGAAGCTGAGGTGGGAGGATTACTTGAGCCCGAGAGGTTGAGGCTGCAGTGAGCTGTGATCGCGCCACTGCATTCTAGCCTGCATGACAGAGTGAGACCCTGTCTCAATAAAATAAAATAGGAAAGTAAAATAAAGATATGTAGCAACATAATTTGGCCTTAAAAAGGAAGGAAATTCTGTCACATGCTACAACATGGATGAACCTTGAGGCATTATGCTAAGTTAAATGAGCCAGAAACAAAAAAAACACAAATATTGGGGTGGGTGCAGTGGCTCACACCTGTAATCCCAGCACTCTGGGAGGCCGAGGCGGGCATATCATTTGAGGTCAGGAGTTCGAGATCAGCCTGGCCAACATAGTGAAACCTCATCTCTACTAAAAATACAAAAATTGGCCAAGCGTGGTGGCGGGCCCCTGTAATCCCAGGTCCTTGGGAGGCTGAGGCATGGGAATCACTTGAACCTGGGAGGCAGAGGTTGCAGTGACCCAAGATTGTGCCACTGCAAAAAAAATAAATAAATAAAATAAAATAAAATATATATAGTATGATTCCACTTATATGAGATATCTAAAATAATCAAACTCAGAAACAAAAAGTAGAATGGTAGTTACCAAGGACTAGGGGGAAGGGAAAATGAGAAGTTGTTTAATGGGTATGGAGTTTCAGTTTTGTGAGATGAAAAAGTTCTGAATATTAGTTACATAACAACGTGAATAAATTTAATACTACTGAATTGTACACTTAAAAATAGGTAAGATAAATTCTATTTTATGTGTTCTTTACCATAATAAAAAATTAAATATATATACACCATAAAACTGCTTACCAGCAATATAAGCTATAGTATAAATAATTCAGCAAATTGTTTTAATATTTTCCTAATCATTACTGATTTTAAGGACTTGTTGATATAATTTATTAACTATCATTATCTAAATGATGCCCATGTTTGGGCTGTGATTTAAGATAAAGAACTGCTAGAGAACTGCGTTAAAGTCTTGCATTGTTTTTGTTTTTTTGTGAGACAGGGTGCCTCTCTGTCACCCAGGCTGGAGTGCAGTGGCATGATCTCGGCTTACTGCAGCCTCAACTTCCCAGGCTCAAGTGATTCTCCCACCTCAGCCTCCTGAGTAGTTGGGACTACAGACATGTGCTACCTTTTTTTTTGTAGAGACAGGGTTTTGCCATGTTGCCCAGGCCAGTCTTAAACTCATGGACTCAAGCAATTTACTCGCCTCAGCCTCCCAAAGTGCTAGGATTACAGGCGTGAGCTACCATGCCTGGCCAAGTCTTGCATTGATGTTTTAAATTGACAGTCATTAGGTTCCTCACATCAGGGCTGAGTATAAACCCAGTGTCACTTTGGGAGGCCGAGGCGGGCGGATCACGAGGTCAGGAGATCGAGACCATCCTGGTCAGGAGATCTAGACCATCCTGGCTAACGTAGTGAAACCCTGTCTTTACTAAAAATACAAAAAAAATTAGCTGGGCCTGGTGGCGGGTGCTTGTAGTCCCAGCTACTCGGGAGGCTGAGGCAGGAGAATGGCGTGAACCCAGGAGGCGGAGCTTGCAGTGAGCCAAGATCGTGCCACTGCACTCCAGCCTGGGCGACAAAGCAAGACTCCATCTCAAAAAAACAAAAACAAAACAAAAAAAAACACCCAGTGTCAGTGCTTCCTGCATGGCCTGGATGTAGAGATCTTGTGCCCAGCGTGGCCATCCACGCTGCCAGCCTCAACACATTCTCTACTTTGCCCCAGCAGTGCCTTTAGGGGCTACCACATGCATGTGCTGTTAAAATCCACTAAGACGGTGTTTTGCAGGTTTATTTCTTTTGTGAATATAATTTATTTCAACGCTATTATACAAGGTAACTTCTCTACTAATAAAGTTTTCAAGAGGAAGGAAAAATGAATCAGGTAAGGTGATAGCATAAGAAACTAATACCACCTACAATGATAATACTATCGGCCTTTATTATACAGAGATGAACCACCAAAACCAACCTTAGCTTTGGAATATACATATGGAAGAAGAGCAAAAGGGCACAACACAGTAAGTGTCTTTTAAAGTGACATTGCTATGCCCATAGATGGGAAAGTAATGCTGCTGACTTTGTTTTACATTTTCCATCTCATCTGTAATCAATAAACATACCCAGTTGTACACTTCGTAGCTGTCTACCATTAAACTTCAAATGCAGTGTGGCAGATAGAAGCCAACCCAAACTGTGAAAACATTTTAGCCTTCTCATTTATTATGTCTTAAAATGCTAGAATAAGATACCTTTTTAACTTTATTGTACAGTTCATGAGAATAGTGTTGTGAGTTATTTTCTGTCTCTCAAAAAATCTGCTAAAATATAGGTTTGACCTGTGGAATATTTATGAAAATATACTGTTTAAAATCTAAATTATTAGCATTTAAAAATGCATCTTGAAGTTGATAGTACTAGTTGAGGTCATATGCCCTGCTTGATTATAATCCTATTTTCACTTGTTTTAATGTCTCTTTAGAGGAACATGATAAACTCTTCAGGATAGAAGAAGGGTTCATAGTATATGCTGGCAGGGGGTGGGGTGGGGAATTCCTAAATAGAATCTTTTTGGAGTTGTCACCTGAAAAGAGATCATTTCTTAAAGTTAAGTGTGTAGAAGGACAATCTAGAATGGAGCATCCCGCTACTCTGCTAACACAGGCACATTTTTATACACTGACTTAGTCCAAATATTTCCTCATTAGACAGTGTATAAAGAGATAAAACTGCCTATTGTTGCTTCCAGGATTCACCAATGAAAGTGGGTTATTAAAACTGAAATTTAAAGAAAAAAACATAATATATAGAGATACAGGAGAACTTCATTTTTGTGAGTCACTTGAATTTTGACATGAGTAATAAGCCTAGAAATGTAATTATGCTTTTCATTGGAAACTTTGAGACAGCTCTCATAAGCTTAACTTTTGAGAAGAGCTCTAAAAGCTTCCCTTTATCAAATTGTGAATGGAGGGAGATTTTCCAGGGAAGAATTGTTTTTCCCACAAAAATTAATGATTCAAATATGAACAGCCAAACAATTGTAGAGATTACAGGATGAAATTTTGTCAAAAATCCAAAATAATATATATTCACCTAAAACTTATTTTATTGACAATCTGTCTCTTCCAGGCTCATGGGAGCAGATACGTAAAAACTTGTGTAATTTTTTTTCTAAACTGTGTACTATCAAGTGGGATATTTCCATATTCATTCTGGAAGCATCATGTCTTTCTCAGATTTAATTCCCTAGGAGTCCTAAATAGAAGCACTTTGTCAGCTCCTCACAATTTCAGTGACCTGAAGTGTCTTCAGTGTCAGGACAGAAGCAGAAATGCCATTAGCCAACAGTCTAGGAACGTCTTATGGAATCAGTGGTCCTTTTTCTTTTCTTTTCTTTTTCTTTCGGAGACAAGGTCTCACTTTGTTTCCCAGGCTGGAGTACAGTGGCAGGATCATAGCTCATGGCAGCCTCAAACTCCTGGGCTCAAAGAATCCTCCCGCATTAGCCTCCCAAGTAAACTGTCACCACAAATTCACTACAAGCATGTACCACCACACTCAGCTAATTTAAAAAAATTGTTTATAGTGATGGAGTCTCACTGTGTTGGCCAGACTGACCTTGAACTCCTGGCTTCAAGTGATCCTCCAGCCTTGGCCTCCCAAAGTGCTGGGGTTTACAGGTGTGAACCACTGCACCCAACCCTAGATGATCTTATTTCTGAACTTCTTGGCTGCCTAGCCCTGTCAGTTTCCTATTATTTTGAGGGTCCTATGAAAAGAGAAGCAGTTGTTTGAACTCTTGTTCCCCCACCTACCGTGTATTATTGTCAGTGGTAGCCTGTCAGATTCTCCACAGGAATCAGGAACAAATCGTCTGCTTATACTTTTGCTCAAGTAATCTTGATCCGCAGCCAGGATTGCCATTTGTTTGTCCCTTTTCTTCATGCTTTACGTGTGTCTAATTCATTCTGCGAGCTTCTGTCTTCCTAAATAGGAATGTTTTCCTATTCACCTGTTTTATTTCTATCTAGAATTATAAATGTTTTCCAAAAGATAATACGAAATTTGTTGAACGGGTTAATTTTTATCTAAAATCTGCATAAGTATATGCTACATATGTTATTTACAAGATTGACGCACTGTTGATGTCTTCTGTTTAGGTATTACTAGAATTAGGGCATTTGTGTACACATATAAACAATTCTGAATAGTTCATCATTTTTCTTTAGAGTAGGTGCTTTGATGCATTTTGAGGGATGGGATAAAGGAAAAAATTTTGACTGCCAAGAAAGGGTTGATTAAGGACTGCAATATTTTGTATGTATAATTATTACTGGGAAGTGCTAATGACATATAAGAAGTACTTAAACTTCAAAAAATCAAAAATTTTTGTTTTTCAGCCAAAAGATATCGCTCACTTTTGGGAACTCGGTGGAGGAACCTCTTTATTGGACTTAATCAGCATACCCATCACAGGTGACACCTTACGGTAAGTGAGCCAGCTCCAGGAAAACCTGTAAGTACACAGGAGTGTCCCTAGGAGGAATATGAGTTGGCTTTTCTCAGTCAGAATTTTGGGGCACAGTTTTATGTTGCTGAAGGCTTATGCCCACTTCCTTTCTAAATGCCTAACCTGTAATGCTTTCAAAGAAGTTTTAAAAGAACCAAGATTTTGGCCCGTGCTGAACTGAGATAGCTGACATTCCCCCCAGTAACATATTTTGCAAGCTGAAAACAAACAAACAAAAATACATCAAATTACACTTGGGCAGTGAATTCATTTTGTAAAAATAAATTTGAAAAGCCTAATTCTTTCTGTTATCCATCTCAGTATGAGTTAATTCGGCTCTGAGTTTTTTCTTCAGCTGAGTATTATAAGCTACCTTTGAATTTAGTGCTAATTAATATTCTTGAAGCTTCATTTAAAGGAAGACTATATGTCGGAGAAGAGAGAAAGTCTCTCCGTTTGCTGACCTTAGAGAAATAGAACTTAGAGGAAAACCTCAAAACGCTTGAGTGATGTTTTCCTGACAGTAACTCCCACATGTTGGCCAAATATGTGGAAAATTGTGACATTTCTTAGTGTTCCTGGGAACTGGTCTTAGCTAAGAAAAACAATTTTTTTTAATCTGAAATATTTTGTTCTTAGAGTTTAACATAAACCATTGCTGCTGCCTGGATCAAATACAAAGGGCTTGACAATTAGTTGTTACATGTTGGTCATTAAGCTCCTTGGAGGATTGAATTATTTCTTGTTAATGGGACCGTTGTTTTTCTAGAACTGGCTGGATACGGTTGGTTTTATTTGGTCTTTTTTTTTTTCCTTTTAGTGAAATATGATTTACTTTCTTTCACTTATTAGAAAAGTAATATATGCGCTTACAGAAAACTTGTAAAAATACTGAAAGACACAAAGTAAAAGGAACCAGAATCACATTAAAAAATAACCACTTTAACATGTTGAGGTATTTCAGCCTTTTCAATGTCTGTAAATAGACTTCGTACAGGTTTGGGATATTTTATATACATATTTAGATCTTGCTTTTCCACTTTTGAACACTTTTCTCTATGATTTTATTTTTCAGGAACATGGAATTTTACAGTTATATAGTTTTTCATTTGTCTTTCTTTAATGGTGACAAATAAGTGAAGCTGCCTGGGAATAGTGCCTAGTGGTGTGGTTGAGAAGAGATGGTGAGGGGCCAGGTGCGGTGGCTCAGGCCTGTAATCTCAGCACTTTGAGAGGCCAGAGCCAGTGGATCACTTGAGGTCTGGAGTTCAAGACCAGCCTGGGCAACATAGTGAGACCCCATCTCTACAAAAAAATTAAAAAATAAAATTAGCCAGGCATCATAGCAAGCCTCTGTAGTACCAGCTACACAGGTGGCTGAGGCAGGAGGATTGCGTGAGCCAGGGAGTTCAAGGCTGCAGTAAGCTATGATCATACCACTGTACTCCAGCCTGAGTGACAGAGTGAGACATTGTCTCTTTAAAAAAGAGAGAGAGAGAGATAGGGTGGGAGGAGCTTCCAGTTACAGTGGCCAGAGGCTGAAAGGGTGAAAATACAGGAGGTGGCTCTTACCTGGGTTGGGAGTCGCCTCCTATTCAACTGACTTGTTTTATTACCTCACTCCCCTTCTTGAAGCCCAAAAGGTTTTGGCCTGCTGGGGTTGTGGAAATTCTAGGTTCTGCAGGAAGCCAGATCATCCCAAGGGTTAATACCTCATTTGTGAGGTCTTGGGCTTCCTTTCCCTGGAGCCCCATGACAGCTGGGACCTGCTTTAGGAGAGAGGAAGGGTCAGGGTTATGATCAACAGAGGGAAAGGGAAAGGGAGCCATAGGCTTGGGTCTAAAGTAGGTTGCTGGGTGGTTAAATAATTCATGGAAAAACATTTCATTCACCATGTCAAAAACACTCAAACTGTTTTTGACTGGAATTAGTTTGACACATAATTTCCTTGTGTTGGATGAAGTCTCACAACTTGAGAAAACAATATTGCCAAATACTGTTAGATACTGTTTATCTTTGAAATAACTGTTTATAGAATTATAAATGCATTGAACATTTCCACACACTTTAGACAATTTGTAATAGAACATTTCCTGTAGTCTGAATCTCTGTTTTAGGAGTTTATGTAAAAAAATTTTTTGGCTATCATTTGCTATGAAATAGGTAAAAAGTAACAAAAGTATTTCTAATATACTGTAAACAAAAATTTTAATCTTAGAAAAAATTTGAGTAATTTATTTTTCTTTTGCTTAGAATAATTTTTCATTTGAAAAAATAATAAATTTTATGTTATATCCATTTCATCACAATGAAAAAATGTTAAATCATAGTTGAAACACAACCATACCAAAACCCTGAAAATGAAATTAGTACAATTAAAAATGTATATACTATTTTTACACTTAAGCAAAACTGCTTATGAGCTTATTAAAATGACATAAATATAATTGCCTAGACAATGTAATAGCACAATAATTTTTAGAAAATTTGATAATTAATGTGTAAAAGACTACTTTCTGAATTTAGACCAACAGAATTGTTACTGTTTTGCTTGAATTATACAAAATAGCCTGTTTACTTGAACTAAACAAAATAATTAAATAACATATTATAATTTTGTGCTATGTCTTCTAGCAGAATGTTTGCTGTGTTGATCAAGGATATATTGGTTATATTGGATATAATCCTAAACCATCAAGGATTATGGTTCTACATACTTATTATAACCATTTTTAAAAATACTCCTAGATTTACAAATGTTTAGTTTTTATTGTCGTAAAATATACATAGCGTAAAATTTTAGTCATTTTTAACTGTGCAGTTCAGTAACATCAAGTATATTCTCATCACCATACATCTCCAGAACTTTTTGATCTTCTCAAACTGAAACTCTTTACCTATTAAACAATAACTCCTTGTTTTTCCTTCCCCAGCTCCTGGCAACTATCATCCCTACTGCCTGTCTCTATGAATTTGACCACTCCAGTACCTCATATAAATGAAATCATTCATTATTTGTCCTTTTGTTATTTATTTCATTTAGCATAACGTCTTCAGGGTTCTTCCGTTTGTAGTATGTGTCAGGATTTCCCTCACTTCTAAGGCTAAATAATGTTCCATTGTGTAAACAAATACCACAGTTCAGTTATCCGTTAATCCATGCAGAACATTTGGGTTGTTTTCATCTTTTGACTATTGTGAGTAATGCTGGTATGAACATTGGTGTACATTATCTGTTTAAATCTCTTCCTTCAGTTCTTTTGGGTTTAGACTCAGAAGTGGAATTGCTGGATCATCTGGTAATTCTATGGTGAATTTTTTGAGGAATCACTATACTATTTTACACAGTGGCTGCACCATTTTACATTCCCATAAGCAATGTACAGGGGTTCTAATTTCTCTGTATCCTCACTAATACTTGTTATCTTCTCATTTAAAAAAATGTTTTAGGCCAGGAGTGGTGGCTTACACCTGTAATCCCAACACTTTGGGAGGCTGAGGTGGGTAGATCACCTGAGGTCAGGAGTTCGAGACCAGCCTGGGCAACATGGTGAAACCTCGTCTCTACTAAAAATACAAAAATTAGCCGGATGTGGTGGTGCATGCCTGTGATCCCAGCTACTTGGGAGGCTGAGGCAGGAGAATGGCTTGAACCCGGGAGGCAGAGGTTGCAGTGAGCTGAGATCATGCCACTGTACTCCAGCCTGGACAATAGAGACTCCTCCTCCAAAAACAACAACAAAAAAATGTTTTGACAATAGCTAGCCTAATGGATAGGAAGTTGGACATCTTTTCATGTGTTAATTGGCCATCTGTATATCTTCTTTGGCGAAATGTCTATTTGAGTCTTTTGCCTTCTTTTTTTTTTTTTTTAATATAGTTGAGTTGGGGTCTCACTATGTTGCCCAGGCTGGTCTTGAACTCCTGGCCTCAAGTGATCCTCCTGCCTCAGCTTCCCAAAGCTCTAGAATTACAGACATGAGCCACCATCCCTGGCCTCTTTGCCCATTTTTGAACAGGAATGTTTGTTTTTGTTGCCGAGTCTAGGTTTATGTTTGATGGGCATGAACAGAATACAAGTGCATGTGGTGATGGTGGTCATGTATCTGGTGGTCAGGAGTGTGCTTTCAGAGAGACAGAATGGTATTGCAGAAAAACGTGTAACTTTGGATCTAAATACCAGTTCTACAATTTACTAATTATATAAATCTGTGCCTCAGACTTCTAATCTATAAAATGGACATTATAACATCTTCTGGAGAGGGTTATTGTGGAGATTAACTAGGTAGTTCCCTAGCAAGGTCCACCCATATATCTATTTTCTTCTCCTTTACCTGATTATTGTGTTACTGTTTTTGCTTCTTTTATTATTTTTGCTTCCCTTTTTTGGAGCACACAGTAAAACTGGATGTAAACGTGGCATTGTCGATGCAAATGCTTGGAGCTTCTCTATTTGAACTAAACTACTTTTAATTTTAGTTCAAACAGAAACTTAGTTCCACTATTGTAACACTTAAATATTACTAGAGGAAAGTATTGGAATAAATAAGGCTATGACTTTGGTTTTTTGTTTTTGGGAGTCTTAGAATAATGCTACGGTTTTTTTTTCCCCTTAAGGTATATTTTAGTTATTCTTAGATAAATTTCAGTACATTAGGATTTCAAAATGGTAATTATTTTGAGTCTTTTTTGAAAAGTGTTTTTATTTCTTTAGGACGTTTTCTCTTGTTCTCGTTCTGGATCTTTCAAAACCTAATGATCTCTGGCCCACCATGGAAAATCTCTTGCAAGCCACAAAAAGCCATGTAGACAAAGTGATAATGAAACTGGGAAAGACAAATGCTAAAGCAGTTTCTGAAATGAGACAGAAGATCTGGAATAATATGCCGAAGGATCATCCTGTGAGTTGCTGTTTGGGATTATTACTGGAATCCTTAGTCCCATTTATAGTTAATGATAACATCACAAACAACTTCTTTAGATTTTTATGCATGACTTGAAATTCATTTGATGTAGATGAACCTGTTCACTGGAAAATTACAGCAATTTATTAAAACCTCAGTAAGAGCAAAACAAGGAAGAAGATTCCTTATATCTTCTTGTTAGACATCTTCTGTGATTGTTATGGCATATTACACCAATCAGAGAAATAGAGTTTTAAAGTAGTGGTTTGATATTGATTTTATAATCTCTGTAAAAATGAAGATAAAAAGCCAGATTGTACAAAAGTCACCTGACAAAGACTAGATGAAGCTACAACTTTAAGCAAGGGGTAGAGTTGTAATAGCCTTCACCATCACTCTGTATTTTACATTCATTTCGTTTCTGTCACTTATTCAGTATCTTTTTATCATCTGACAGCTAATTAAATTATAAAGTTGCTATGATGGTAACACAAGTTCTTCAAATACAATAATAAATATCATCATCTGGAAAACTGAGAGCAGCATTTTATATTATCCAGAGTTTATAAGAAAGTGTAGCAGGGTGCGATGGCTCATGCTTGTAATCCCAGCACTTTGGGTGGCCGAGGCGGGCGGATCACGACGTCAAGAGATCAAGACCATCCTGGCCGACATGGTGAAACCCCGTCTCTACTTAAGATACTAAAATTAGCTGGGTGTGGTGGTACATGCCTGTAGTCCCAGCTACTTGGGAGGCTGAGGCAGGAGAATCGCTTGAACCTGGGAAGTGGAGGTTGCAGTGAGCCGAGATCGCGCCACTACACTCCAGCCTGACTCCAGAGGGAGACTCTGCCTCAAAAGAAAAAAAAAGAGAGGAAGTGTTTTTCATAGGAAATAATGGAACAAAACAAATCTATGCTGGATAAATGCTGTTCCAACAGTCAACATAAAATAGAATAAAAAAAAACCAGGAAGGTAATATGTTATATAAGGAAATAAAAGGGTAGAAAAAGGAAAATAATAAATATCATAGTAATTTAGGGAATTGCCATTTCTAGTTTTACACTTATGAAATATAGCTTAGGAAGTGAAAGTTAAATATTAGAACAAATTCTATGTCAAGCAAATTAAGTAAACATCTATGAAGAGACTGAAAATGGAATGTTTTTGGAAGTAAATAGAAATTGCTAAGCACCTAGCAATAAAGAATTACAACAACTCAAGGAAATATGTTTATTAGCAGGATCATGAATTAATTGACCCATTTCCGGTACCTCTGGTCATAATTGGAAGTAAATATGATGTTTTTCAGGTAAGCTCTTCCGCTTCTAGCTGAGTTTGTTGTACATATATGGCTGTGCTTTTTATGAGGGAGGTACAAAAATAATATCAAAATAAGAAAAATAATTATTGAAGGAATCGGTTAAGTCATGCATCTTAAAGATTTTGGAAAAGACATAGTTGGGACAGAAAAAAATAGGTAAAGAAAATAAATGCAGTGATTAGAATGGGGATAAGGCAGATTTAGAAAATGAATCTTGCCGGGCACAGTGGCTTATGCCAGTAGTCCCAGCACTTTGGGAGGCTGAAGGGGGAGGATCAATTGAGCCCAGGAATTTGAGGTTACAGTGAGCTGTAATCACACCACTATACTCCAGCCTGGGTTACACAGTGAGACACTTGTCTCAAAAAAAAAAAAAAAAGTCTTCAACCCAGTCACTGGGGAATATGACTTACTTCCCAACTTTTAAATGGAAGAAAGTAGAAAATTAGTTCCTTCTTATCTTTGCTTGTCAGAGAATCGTTAGAATTCCACACTATGAAATGTGTGCTTATATCTAAATTCTATTGAGCTAAGTATTTAAACAAAGAAAGATCTGTTAGCTGTAGTTCTAAGAAGGCTGCAGCTATTGTTCAACTCTCTATGAAATAAATATCAAGGTAATGGAATCCTATTCCTGAAAGTGAGTTTAAAAAAATAAGAAATAATCTATTCTACATTTAATAATTTGAATCTTCCTGCTATAGATATTTGGTTATCTTGACTTTTTAAAATAACATATTTCTACAGGATTTTGAGTCTGAGAAGAGAAAGGTAATATGCAAGACACTTCGATTTGTTGCACATTATTATGGAGCATCATTAATGGTTTGTACATTTCTTGTCCTTTGGGCTTGAATGGACAGTACCAAATTTGGGGAAATCAGCAACTTGATGCACAGCTACGAGGAATAAATGCTTTTGCTAATGCACATGGTCCCGTTGCTTTCCCACTGCTGAAGACCTCTCCTTACAGAGTGTTTGATAATGCATCTGTTGAACATGCACTGCTAGATGGTCTCCCCCTTCTTTGGAACAAAAGTTCTAAATTGCTTATATCCATAAATCCCAACCAAGTTTAAAGAGATAAGTTGATGATCTATTTATTCATTTTTGGTATCCCCTTAAGAATTAGAATCTATATTCCCCTAAAAGAAAAACAAAAATCAACTCTATCAGTGTGTGTATTGGGGATGGGGGCTCTTTAAAAAAGTGCTGTTTGTTGTAAAAGTTAAAAACATGAAATCTGAAGTCATGCTCCCTGGGTTCGAATCTCAGAGTGACCATTTATTAGACGTGTGATCTTCGGCAAGTCACTTAATTTCACTTAAGCCTCATTGTCCTCCAGGGTAAAATGGAGAAAAACAGTACCTTCTTCATAGGGTTGTTGTGAGGATTCAAAGAGGGAGTACATGTGAAATGCTTAGCACAGGGCCTAGAACAGAATATTACTCAATAAATGTTGGTTATTATATCACTGTTATCATTATCTCCCATAGCAGGACTAAACTTTACTAAATGTCCTTTAATGCAATAAAATATAACAACTTTTTTTTTTTTTTTTTTTTTTTTGAGACAGTCTCACTCCGTCACCCAGGCTGGAGTATAATAGCATGGTCTCGGCTCACTGCAACCTCTATCTCCTGGGTTCAAGTGATTCTCCTGCCTCAGCCTCCTGAGTAGCTGGGACTACAGGCACGTGCCACCACACCTGGCTAATTTTTGTATTTTTAATAGAGATGGGGTTTCACTATGTTGGCCAGGCTGGTCTTGAACTCCTGACCTCATGATCGACCCTCCTCGGCCTCCCAAACTGCTGGGATTACAAGCGTGAGCCACCATGCCTGGCCAAAACATTTTTATTTAAAAAATTTCCAGCTGGGTGCAGTGGCTCACACCTGTAGTCCTAACACTTTGGGAGGCTAAGGCGAGAGGATCATTTGAGCTCAGGAGTTTCAGACCAGCCTGGGCAACATGGTGAGAACCTGTCTCTACAAAAAATTTTAAAAATTAGCTGGCCATGGTGGCACACACCAGTTGTCTCAGCTACTTGGGAGGCTGAGGTGGGAGGATCACATGAGCTCAGGAGGTCAAGGCTGCAGTGAACCAAAATCACACCACTGCACTCCAGACTGGGCTTGTCTCAAAAAAAAAAAAATTTCCTTTACATTTGAATAATTATTTAATGGTCTCTTTTTTCCTCCAAATTAAAGCACTCAGAGGAACCTAGAGACAACATGGTCTAGCCGCTTGCTTTCATGGCTAGAATATTTTAACTGAAAGTAATATGTACAAAATATGTATTGTCAGTTTTTATACCTTTCAAAACATTACACATTTCATTATGTATTTTCTTAAAAATGATCACCTTTTATGTTTGAATCGTATTTGCTTACGTATTAGGTTGACACAGTACTTTGGGAAATGTTCTTTACTATTTTGAGAGGATATGGGGAATTTAAAGTGAATGGCTCATCGAGGGTACAGAGGTAAAGATCTTGCAGTTACTTATTTTTGCCACTAGAGAGGGTCACACATTTAATTCTGGTTATAAAGTTAGCTGAGGGAAATCCCTGTATTTCTTTAGGAACAGATTACATTTGATGGAGGGTCCAGTCTGGTCTCATGGGTACAAATTTAGATGAAGTCAGGTCAACGCAGTCCACAGCAAGCCTGGGATTAACCATGGCCCAGGAGATCAAACAAGATCAGGGACCAGGGAATGACTTTGAGAATGGCTTCATCTCAGCTTTTAATAAGCCTAAAGGAACAGGGTTTGGGTTAGTGGAGTACTTCTGGACCACCAAAGGAACCATAAGGCCTTTCAGGAAGAATGTAGCCAAAGTGATCAAAGCCTCATCTTTCAGTTTCACATCTCTTCTTACCCTCTGCCCCATTTAAGGAAGAAAGTTGGGTACTGCTTTGCAAAATTCCATGAAATTTAGCAGGGTTTTTTTTTTTTCCAACACTATAGTTGATCCTATATAGTGCAGTTGAGAATATTGATTCAATATTATGAACAATCTAATTAAGTTAATAAAAACAAAACACAGGCCAGGTGTGGTAGCTCTTGCCTCTAATCTCAACACTTGGAGGGTGAGGTGGGAAGATCAGTTGAGGCCAGAAGTTCAAGACCAGCCTGGGCAACAAAATGAGACCTTGTCTTGACAAAAAATTTTTTTAATTAGCCAGTCATCATAGTGCATGCCTGTGATCCTAGCTACTTAGGAGGCTGAGGCAGGGACGATTGCCTGAGCCTGGCAGTTTGAGGCTGCAGTGAGTTATGATCACACTGCTGCACTCCAGCCTGGGAAGCAGAGCGAGACCCCATCTCTTAAAAAACCAATATGCTCCTCGCCCCCCAAAAGAACAGGAGAAGACTGATAAGTAGAACCAGAATCAGAGAAGAGCCATGAGGATGGCAGGGACTTAAAATTATTATATATGAGGACCAGGAGAATATCACCTAAAATGTGATAACTCTCTAATATAGTTGAAGGAATGTTCCATGGAAAAGTGACTAAATTCATTCTTTGCTATTCTAAGGTCCAGAAAAAGGAATCAATAGAGTTTACTCAAAATATGAAAGCACATTCTAATACTACCATTATCTGAAAACAATGAATTATTTGGGGAGATGAGTTTCCAGGCATTGAGTTTGTTTAAGCAGAAGGCCTACAGTTCTTTGTGAAGGATGTTTTAGAAGTGATTGATGCAGCAGATGGAGGAGTTGGGTTAGAAAACATCTAATGTTCTCCCAGCCCTATCTTCTATGAAATATGTTTGTGATTAGGTTTTTCCTTTCTCATAAAGAAAATAAAATTAAACAGAGCAGTTATATTTCTAAAATTCAGTTAAAGTTTTCTGTATGTATTTTAAAACATGGTCTCAGTAGAAGCATTACAATTATTTCAATGCTTTCTTTAATAAATGTGTCAGATCTTACATATACATGAGTATTCTCATTTGAATACTTTCTCTGAGAGCATTAAGAACTTTCTGTTCTTAATCCAGAATGAGGCTTATCTTGTGGAATTACCATTGGAACCATAACGCTGATACCTTTGCTTCACAATTAGATTTCATTTCAGTTCAAAGTTGTTTTTCCCACTTCCATACCTCTTAGTCATTTTGACTTGGCTGTGAATGACTTTTGGTATCTACAGAAATCCAATCTAGCTTTTAAAGATCTGTAGGGTAACCATATGTCCTGGTATTCATCTGATGTCACAGCTTAATTATTAATAGTACCCAACCCCTTTCATTCTCTGAAATGTTCTGGTTCTGGTTTCCCTAGTTATATACCAGCACTGAAAATATTCAGTAGCTTAGGCACCAAAAGCAATTTAAAAAGAAGTTAAAAAATTACCTTAGTGAGTATCAGCATCATTAGACCAGTCTGCAGTCCCACAGTGACTCTTTGGAAGGCAGCAATACGCCCTTGGATGTGAAAGCTACTTTTGAGGTATACCTCTTATTTTCTAACCAACCCAACTGCATTTTGGAAAATTTTCTTTTAGACCATAATGAGTATGTTTACACACATACAGCCCATAAACATACATTCATATATATATATTTTAAAGAAATTATTTGACAGTGATTATGGTCCATTTGTGTGAGTAGCTGAAATGATGAGTACATAAACACAAGTCCTTTCCACATCATGTACTCATTAAGTTTGAAGAACGAGTTAAAGTTACCAAGATTTCTTTATTCAGGTTTTGTTTTGTCTACTCAAACAGAAGTATTTGCTGGGCAACAAAACAGTGATTCTCTTTGTAATCTGTATTTGTTCAAAGCCATATTTATTTTACCTGTTTCTGTGATTGGAAAATAGAGCATGTAATTTGTTCTCCTGATTTGTTTAAAGTTTACCAGTAAATCAGAAGCTCTATTACTAAAAATACGTGGAGTTATCAACCAGTTGGCATTTGGCATTGACAAAAGGTACTGCTAAGATATTTTTTATATCATTTATTGAGTGATTGATTTAGCCAATGTTGTCTCATCTGATTATTGTTCTACTCAGTCTCTTGTGTCTTGACCAGGAAAGTGACCCAGATGGCTTTTCTTAAAGGGATAATTTCTTTTTAAATTATTATTATTTTATTTATTTTATTATTTATTTTATTATTATTTTTAATTATTAATATTATTATTTATTTTGTCAAGACTCAACATAAAGGGGATAATTTCATATTATTTCCTGCTTCTTATATTCTTTAAATATTTCTTAAATTTTACAACCAAAATGTTACATAACATTTAGTTTGAGGCTGGAATAAAATAATGATAATATTATACTAGCTCCCTGATTTCTTTTACTTCCTTTCCCACACTTCAGTAGCTTCCCTCTACTATCACTTTCTTTTACTGATTTGAAATGGAATTGAAAATTTTGGTATGTATCTTCTTAGCCTTGCTACTTCTCTTGGTTTTGATTTAAGGTAATAGGGTCTGTCACTTTTTTTCCTATAAAATGTTTATTTATGCTATATGTTAATTTTTGAAATCACTTAAATTGATAGTCACTCATTCATTCGGGGCAATGCTCTCATTAGTGGCTAAATGTAAAACTAGCCGATAATATTGCTGTCATATTTACAGGAGAGCGTGGCAGCAAATCTAATTGCTAAACTAATTTAGAATCTTTCTCTTCTCCACGTAGCAAATCAATATGTGTGGATCAGAATAAACCGCTGTTTATCACAGCAGGATTGGATTCTTTCGGTCAAATAGGTTAGTGAACTTATTAAGATTGTTCAATCTTTTTTTAATTGCTTATTGATTTTGTCCTACTCCATGTTCACTTTGTCTCCAACATACTCCTATTTCTGGTTTCATTATCATTGCTGTTATTTCCTGTGTGTTTGTTTATATGCCCAGTATTAATGTAACATGCATCACATTGACATGTTTGTGATGGAAGTGATGTCACCACATAAGAGACTGATTTTTCATTTCTGATCTCTATTCCACTGAAAAACAAATTGCAAGTATTTTCTTTCCCCAACTGATTTCCAGGTACTTTTAAATTTTAGCTCCTTGGCTTTAAAGAAGCTAGGAGCATAGAGTAGTGAGGAAATTCAAAGCTACATATTACAGGCAATTAGCAAGTATATGAGAGACTGAAGTGGTAGAGTAAACCAAAAAGAACACAGTTGTAACAATTAGGTATGATTTGATTTTTTGTTATGAAATAGCATGCCTCATCTAATGGAATGTATTTCCTAAACTCATAGACTCTATAGGCTTCTGAATCAAAAGGAAGTTTAAGAGTTTATATCTCAAGGCCCTTACCTTCCCACAGAAACTGTTTTCATTGTGAAGATCTTTGAGCCTCGCACTTCTTTATCCTCTGCAGGTGGCGTAGTTTGCTTTTAAAACTCTAATGGGCAGTAGGGTTTTTTTTTTTTTTTTGTATTTCCCATCCTCTGTTAGTCTTACAAGCTAAAGGTGACTTGACTTCAAATATAGAAATCTTTGTAATGAGATTATAGATTAATTGGAATGAAAGGAATGGAGGTGATTTTGCTTAGTGAATGGTCATGGAGACTGATGTTTATGATTATAATTAGCACCAACTTAATTCCAGTAGCAGTGAGAATCACTGTTGTACTGATAGATAATGCTGATGGAATTCTTTTGCTTCTATGAATAGTTGGAGGCCAGAAGAGAGTTCATAATTGCTGAATTTAAAAATCATGGCGCCTAGATCTCATCGGAATTAAAAACTTTTGCTCTATGAAAGCCCATGTGAAGATGAATAGACGTGCCATAGTGTGGGAGAAAAGAATTTCAAACCACATATATGACAAAGGACTAGTGTTTAGAATATATAAACTCAACAGAAAAATAAATAATCCAATTAGAAAGTGGGCAAAAGACATAAGCAGACATTTCATTTCAGAGAGGACATAAACATAGCAAAGCAGCACATGAAAAGGTGTTTAATATCATTAGTTGTTAGGGAAATGCAAATTGAAACCACAATGAAATATCACTATACATTTAACAGGATAGCTAAAATAAAAAATAGTGACACCACCAAATACTGGCAAGGATGCAGAGAAACCAGATCTCTCATACATTGGTGGTGGGAGTGTAAAATGGTACAGCCACTCTAGAAAACAGTTTAACAGTTTCTTACGAAACTAAACATGCAACTACCATATGACCTAGAAATTGTGCTGTTGGGCATTTATCCAAGATAAATGAAAACTTAACTCTCACACAAAAAATCTCTAGGCATATGTTCATGGCAGCTTTATGTTTAGTAGTCAAAACCTAGAAACAGCCCAGAAGTTGTTCAGCAGGTGAGTGACTAAACAACTGTGGTACATCTGTACCAGGAAACACTACTCAGTCATACAAAGGAACAAATAATTGATACACACAGACTGGATGAATCTCCAGGGAATCATGCTGAGTGAAAAGCAGCCAATTAGAAAAGATTACATACAGTGTGATTCTATTTATAAAAAATTTTGAAATGAAAAACATTTTAGAAATGGAGGCAGATTAGTGGTGGTCAGAGGGCAGGGATAGAACTATGGATGGGGAGACCAGGGGAGGGGTCGGGAAGGAGGAGGTTATGTCTATAAAACGGCAACACAGGATCTTTGTGCTAGTGGAATTAAGTTGGTGTCTCGACTGTGGTAGCAAATACATGAACCTATGCAGGTGATAAAATTGTATAGAACTTAATATACACACAGACACACAAAGGAATACAAGTAAAACTTGGCAAAGCTGAATAACATCAGTGGAGCGTATCAATGGCTTTCGCACCAAAGTGGTAAGGATGTCCTGGAAGATCACCAGTAAAACAGTTTTGGGGAACAATACAGTTGTTGGAAATAGAAAGATGGGAAATATCCAGTTACAAATTGCAAATGGCAGCAAAGTTTTAAATTTTTCAAATTAAATTATACAAGTAACACATAAAGATATCTCCTTGTAAAAAGGTAAAAGAGTACATACAAGGAGCAAATTTGTGTTCTTTCCAATTTCCTATGCCTTTACACACATGTGTATATAGTGTAAAAAAACTATTTGCTTTAATGTAATTATGTGTTCAGTCTATATCATTTTGGAATTTCCCCTTTTTATTCAATATACCCTATTATTCAGTACCTTTTAATTCAATATACCAATATACCTTAGTAGTTTTTCCATATTAATGCTGTATGTGGGTCTATTTCTTATTTTAACTGTTGGATAGTGTTACAGAGCATGGCTATGCATAGTAATTAATGCACTGTTCACCACTGATGAATATTTTGGTTGTAGGTCAATTTTTCACTGATAACAAATTATACTGCAGTGTGAAATCCTTAATACAGTACCAGTTTGCAGGTGTTTCTAGGGCAAACACTACCAAAAACTGGAATTACTGGTTAATAGGATATAGATACAGGTATAGGTATAGGGTGTGGAGAATGAGAGTTACAGTTTACCCATTACTCTTTGCCTCCTCTTCTTTCAGTACTAGAATCTGTCCCAGTGACCTTGCTATGCTGGGTAGGGTAAATTTTTATGGTGACTATATTAAGGAGAGGGAAAATGAGTGATCCGAGATGTATACCTTTGTTAGTGTCATTTCTTTTATTGGTGGAGTTTGTAATATTTTAATCATTGCAGTCATTTGTGGTAAAACTTGCTATTTTAGGATCTCCTCCTGTTCCTGAAAATGACATTGGAAAGCTTCATGCCCACTCACCTATGGAGTTGTGGAAAAAAGTGTATGAAAAGCTCTTTCCACCAAAGGTACATATTTCTAATTTTTTTAAAAGCAAGACTTTTAGCACTGTCTAACAGTTATAGGAAATGTGTCAAAGGGCTTATTATGATAACTTTGTTTTCATCTTTTATGCTCAAAAATCAATTAAACATTTGCTGAAAATGTAAATAGGCACTGTGGGGGTTAAAAAAAAAAAAAGGTAAGACATGGTTCCTGCTCCACTTTCAAAGAGAGTTATCTGGCTGTTAGAGAAGGGAGAGACAACTGAAAGGGGACCTGGCAGAATTGGAAGTGGGCCTCAGTGGTGATGAGAAAAGCTAGAAAGATCATAGAGAGCCTTTGTGGCAGGCTGAGGAATGGGAGCTTGGTTTATTAGGCAGATGGTAGCCATTGAATTTTGGTTTATGGGCGTGAAGTGATTTTGAGATTTGTAATTTCAGAGTATTAACACGCTGAAAGATATCAAGGACCCTGCGAGAGATCCTCAGTATGCTGAAAATGAAGTCGATGAGATGAGAATTCAGAAGGATCTGGTATTATCCTAAACATTTACTTAATTTCATCTGAAATTTTAACACAAAACCTGGGGTGCCTTGGGAATTCCTTACATTTTTCTCTATGTATTTACTTAGAGTATCTTCTTTACTATTAAAATTATTTAAGTAGTACATCTATTTAAATAACACACTAATAGTATACTGTAGAAAAAATAAAAATTTGATATGAATAAAGAAAAATTTTTAAATCACCTGTCATCCCACCACCCAGACATGACTTAGTGTTCACATAAACCTTTTTGATTTTCCAGTTTTCATTATATTAAAGATGAGTGGTGATTCTTACCTTGCTGCTGGAGAGACATTTTCTTAATAGTCTTTGGTTTGTGGAATTACATGAAGAGCTTTGTTTTTGATTAGGACATTCAGACATACCTATACTTTCCTTGTACTAGAAAACGTATCTTGCCCAGTTAAGGACTGAAAGCACGATCTGAAAGCACACAGACATACCTGACATAACCCAGGTTCTCTCAGGAAAATGCTTAAAAGTGGACACCACCATCCCATGTATCACTAGATAGCCCCATTTGAACACACAAGTCTGATGTAAGAATGTTAAGAGTTGGCAAATTCACCATCACTCAAATACTTAGATTTTTCTTTTCTTTTTCTTTTTCTTTTTTTTTTAAGACGAGTCTCACACTGTCGCCCAGGCTGGAGTGCAGTGGCATGACCTCGGCTCACTACAACCTCCGCCTCCCGGGTTCAAGCAATTCTCTGCTTCAGCCTCCTGAGTGGCTGGGATTACAGGTGCCTGCCACCACACCTGGCTAATTTTTTTTGCTTTTTTAGTAGAAACGGGGTTTCACCATCTTGGCCAGGCTGGTCTTGAACTCCTGACCTCGTGATCCATCCGCCTTGGCCTCCCAAAGTGCTGGGATTACAGGCATGAGCCAGTGCGCCTGGCCTAGATTTTTCTAAAAACAAACAAGCAAACTTAGATTTTAGTTTTATTTGATAAAATGAGACGTTGTACAGAATCTGTCCTTATATGAGTAAACTTATATATGCTAAGCACTAGATCGAAAGCCCCAGCAACTTCTCAGGTGGCAGTCACGTTGTTGCGAGGGTAACCTGAAAACAGCTGTCAGCTGGGAGTAGGAGCCAGGGTTTTTTTCTCAGTATTCACCTTCGGGGGCTGTTGGAGAAGTAAGCAAAACATTTTATGTAAACGGTCCAGAAGACTTTTGAAAAATATGCCATGAATATTTAGAGGTTTTATAGCTGTAGCAAAGTGAGAGGCATGTTGTAGAAACAGGAAAATGACCTTATGTAACCCTTATTATGTTTGCAGCCTGGCTATAAGGATTAGTTGGAAGTCATCCCTGATTAATATTTATCTAGGAGTCAATGATTAACTGTTGTTGTTGATAAGAATATCTGTTTATATTGTATAATGATCACTTTTATTAAGTTCATATACATCAGTATTATTAAAGGATTAGGGTATTTGTGAGCATCATGAGTTTTCACATTCAAATCTGTCTTCTCTAAATGACTTAAAACCATAAGAATTTTGTGTGGAAAAGGAAGGCAGCCCCACAGTACCCATATCACCCTTCATTCATCTCTTGTATCTCACTGCCAGCAGATCACCAATTCCTGTCATCTCTTGGTTCGAGATTTTTTTTTAACCTACCTGAAAAGTTATGCTGTCCTAAGTTTGCCTCTAAACCACTTTTATTTGTGTGGTTTTAGACGAATTGATTCCAGATTGCACACACAGGACCTTAACATAATTTTATGCTTTAGCTGTAAAGATACCCTAACAATTACCAGTGTTGTTGCTGTTATTTCATTGATAATCCGAATCTAAATTTTGACATTCTACTATATAAAATTTTTAATTTGAATATTATTTCATACTATTTCATGAGTAGTTGTGAGACCTTAAGTTGTTTCCAATTGTGTGCTGTGAAGTCAGTCCTCAAGGATCTGAGGATTGGTAGGAAGACCCCTTTCATCTTTCCTGCAGACTTAGGGTCTTTCGTGATTAGCCCTCTTTAATTATTTAAAGTTCTGTCTTTTGCCAGACTTCACATGGGCACCAGAAAATACTTAAGTAGTATTTTCTGTTTTTTAAAAGTCCTCTAGCTTTAGAGCATTCCCGATTTTAAGGGAATGCGAATGTGGAAAGCACTTGCTGAGCCCTTCTACCTCTTTTGTGTTTTTTTCTTTTTCTTTGATACTGTGTCTTGCTCTGGCATCCAGGCTGGAGTGCAATGGGGAGATCATGGCTCACTGCAACCTTGAACTCCAGGGCTCAAGGGATCCTCCCATCTCAGCCTCTCAAGTAGCTGGGACTACAGGCACACATCACCATGCCCGGGTAATTTTTTTGTTTTTTGTTGCCCAGGCTGGTCTTCAACTCCTCGCCTAAAGCAATCCTCCTGAGTTGGCCTCCCAAAGTGCTGGGATTACAGGCATGAGCCACTGTGCCCAGCTTCTTTTCTATTATTTTTGTTAAAGCAAAAAAAAAAAAAAAAAAAAAAAAAAAAAAGGTTACAGTTAACATTTATTTTTAAGGTCTTCTTGGCCAACCACAGTTATCTTCGGAAAACTTTACTTGCTATCCCTTTAAAACATCAATGCATTATTTTGAGGCCGTATCATTGTCATGTTGAAGATCTAGTGGACTTGGTGGTTTTTGTCTCATATTGGTTATTCCTTTTTCTCCCTCTGGCATGGCCTGTGTGATAGCCCTAGTTTTCTCACAGTCTGCTGTCTGCAAAAGGGAGATACTACCAGCAAAGAATCTCAAAACAACATTTTCACCTTTGTCATTGGTAAAAATAATTTAACTTCCAGTTAAAGACAAAGTTTGCAGTAAACAATTTGTTTATTCTTTATGAGTTAATCTTTAAAACCGCAAGTGGTAGATAACTGGTGAACTGAATTAGCTTTATTAGAAAAAAATAAAACAAGCTGTAAAGACTACATATGATTATTACCATGAAAATTCTTCCTAGAATCCAATGAGGAAGTTAAAGGAAAAAAAAAAACACACAAGGAAAAATTCTTCCTAAGTCTATATACCATTTTGAAACATTTAACATTTAAATTTTAGTAACTTAGGGTATAGGTATGAAAGGTACGCTCTGCAATTTTTCTGAAAATTAGAATGGATTTTCTTTTCATAGCAACTGTGAACTTCAGTTATGTTAGCCAAAGGGCATTGATTGCCTCATCTTGCAGAGTAACCACGTTTTATTTGAAGTAGTGACAACCTTTGTACAGTTATTTAGACATTGAACAACATGTAGGAGGCCAAGAGGCATCCCCTTAGATGGTCCCTTTTACATGTCAGTTGCCTTGTGCAGGATAGCCACCTCCACTAAAATTTATTTATGAATTGTAAAGGTAAGATATACTCCTTGTGAAAAAATTCAAGAGCTATAGATAGATGTATATAAAATAGAAAATGGAAGTATCCTGCCCTCTCCCTATCTGTGTGCTTTTTTCATGTGGCACACATTATGTTTTCATGTGGCCACTGTTATTTTTGCTGGCTGCCTTGGAAGCCACCTGTGAATGAACGCTAATTATTTAATCAGTCCTTACTGGGGGACATCAAAGTTGTTTCCAGTTGTGCTGAGACAGAGCAATGGGTTTCCTTCTTTTACATCCTTGTGCATTGCTCTATTGTTATGGATGATAAATTTCTAAAAGTAAAATCACTGGGACAAAGGATACACACACACACACACACACACACACACACACACACTTTTTTGTGACAGGATCTCACTCTGTCACCCAGGCTGGAGTGCAGTGGCGCAATCACAGTTTACTGCAGCCTTGGCCTCCCAGGTTCAAGCGATCCTCCCACCTCAGACTCCCAAGTAGCTGGGACCACAGCGCACACCACCATGCCTGGATAATTATTTTTCTCAGTTTTTGTAGAGACACGGTCTCCCTATGTTGCCCAGGCTGGTCTCAAATTCCTGGGCTCAAGCAATTCTCCTGCCCCAGCCTCCCAAAGTGCTGGGACTATAGGAATGAGCCACCGCACCCAGCCTGGGTATGTATTTTTTAAATATTTTGCTAACTTCAACCAAGTTTTTGATTAGAGCTGAACAGCAAACAATTAAAATAAGATCACTTTTGAATACTTGAAGGATGACAGATGTCTAGTTCATTAGTTGAAAGACAATTCATATGTATTATGTAGTTTATGTACATAATTTTGTCTGAAAGTTTAATAAATTCATCTCTGAGTGCTGCTTAGCCACACAGAAACTCTGAAGACAGTATTTCTAGAAAATAAGTCCTAAGCATAATCATTTACAAAATAATTGGCAAGAAATATTTAGAATGATAATGCTACTAAGGATTCATTGATATATCTAAAAAATGAGAAGGCAGTTTTAAGGTGCCTCCTTGAATTAGTAAAGTTGATTTTTCTTAAAGTGATACATATTTTTGTTTTAGGAACTGGAACAGTACAAAAGAAGTTCTTCCAAGTCTTGGAAACAAATCGAGCTTGATTCTTGAACCTATTTCAATTATTGTATATTTATTTCTTCTTTTCCAAATACAAATAAGATTATACTGTGAATTAACTATTGTGGCAATATGTGAAGAAAGTTAAACTGTATAATTTGTTAAAGGACAAGCTGGATTTCTTGGACTAGTGCATCTCCCTGTATATCTTGAAGCTTTTTAAAAGGAAAAATTATTGTAGAACCACGTGTAATTTTTTTTAAAATAAAAGAATCTTCTACTACCTACCTCTAACATGTTTAAGTGGTATATACTCAATTCAGCATGTATAAGTTTCTGCTTATATGTTTTTAGGAATATAAAAGTAAGAGTATTTGGTTACAGTTTTAAATGCAAGGTTAAGTGCCCACGTTAGACACATTCTTTCTAAAAGGCATTCTCAGCTGTAGCTGGGAGGAAACCGGAATTGGGTTCACAGATGTCAAAATTTTACTCTTAACAGTGAGGCGCAAGAAGCACCTGAAATAGGAGATGCACATTCCCAGGTCCCCACACCTAGAGTGTCGCCATCAGTGGTCTGGAATGGGGCATTTTTAATCAGCACCAATTTCACCCTGCTGTGAGACTGACACATTTATTTTAAATACCACTTTTTGAAGAACAGGCACATCTAAGGAGATATCCTATCAAGAAGCAGGACAAAACATCATGTGTTGCGGATAACCAGGATTATTTCCAAGGTGGGATAGCCTTTAAGAAGCCATTCCAATCTGTAGATGTGTGTACCTGCTAGCCAAGTTCATTTTGAGTAAGTATAATTGCTATGATTAAAAATGATTTATTCTATGTTCTTCCATGTCCACATACAAAATATATTGACTCCCAGCTTCAGATAAGCACATTTACTACCCCAAGGGAGTACTGTCTGAGCAGATAGCAAGCCATCTGCTTATTGCAATGAACTAGGACTTCATAAATTATTTGCAGTACGTATGGTTCTGACACCCTTGAGAACAGAATTTTCAGCATGTTTCCAAGGAACCTCAGTCTTTAGCACACGTTTCTTGCTGAGTGCTATGGAAAAAGAAATCCCTTTAAATTTACAGTGAACATTATGATCTCAGAAACATCACTGACTTGGTGGGAAGAAACAGCCTATTCCACAAGAGTAATAGGAATTGTTATTATGTAATTTGATTTTCTTACACATCACTGTCCATTTTTGACTTGAGACACAAACTGTCACATGTTGAAAGCCATTGTGTTTTTCTAAGGTGCTATCACTAACATTTAATAGCTTGAAGTCACGTGTGATGTCAGTTTTCCAAATGTTTCTGAGCTAGAATGAAATTCATCTGCATATGAATAGTAGAAAATGTTTCCACTTATGTTGTACACCCATATCTTTAGTAAGTTGAAATCAGTGATTTCAAAAGAGGTTCCTGTGGGACTCTCTTTGAACTACTTTAATAGATTATCATCTCCAGAATTGTCTATAACTGATGTGACATATATAATCTGTAAGACATTGTGTAACTATTACACCATAATCATCCATGTCAAAGACCTTTTATAAAAATTGACAATACTAGTCTGATAATTTACCAATGCCTCCACATCCTTAAATACTGTTCTAAGAAATAGAATTTTACTGTGGTTTCCTTAATGAAATGATCTTTCCTATTTCAGTGTGAGACATTTCAAATGCTATAATTTATCTTTCTTCACAAGTTAGGTCACAGTCAGTGAACAAGTTCATGCGCTCTCTACCATATTCTCACCCAAAGTTACCATAGTAACACTGAGACAGTTTCATTTCAGGTTTGTACATGGAATTACTTGAAGATCAATCAGAAAGAGAATCAGTAATTTTAATACAGAACCTTTTTTTTTTTTTGAGACAGAGTCTTGCTCTGTCGCCAGGCTGGAGTGCAGTGGTGCATTCTCGGCTCACTGCAACCTCCACCTCCCAGGTTCAAGCGATTCTCCTGCCTCAGCCTCCCAAGTAGCTGGGACTACAGGCGCCTGCCACCATGCCCAGCTAATTTTTGTATTTTTTAGTAGAGACGGGGTTTCACCATGTTGGCCAGGATGGTCTCAATCTCTTGACCTCGTGATCCACCCGCCTCGGCCTCCCAAAGTGCTGGGATTACAGGCATGAGCCACCGCGCCTGGCCAGAACCCATTTTTAATAACCTATTTACATTATTTTATCCTTGAAAATATGTAATACAGGTGTCTGTATTTATACATATCAGCACCCTTTACAGTTCAAGAATGTGAATTTCTAGTATGTACCCTGTTCTTTGTAAACAATATGTCAGCACTTTTTTTCTTTCTTTTTTAGAGACAGGGTCTTGCTCTGTCTCTGTTGCCCAGGCTGGAGTGCAGTGGTTCCATCATAGCTCACTGCAGCCCCTGCCTCCTAGGTTTAAGCGATCCTTCCACATCAGCCTCCTGAGCAGCTGGGATTACAGATGTGAGACACCATGTCTAGCTATGTCAGCATTTTTTTCTATATGGACTTTAAATAACAGCTGATCTCCAGCCTTAATGGGGTTATTTCTCAGTGCATATACTTTAGTAAAGTTTACTTGTAATTCTTTTTTTTTTTTTTCGGTAGGTTTTTTTTTTTTTATACTTTAAGTTTTAGGGTACATGTGCACAATGTGCCTATAAGTAAACTCAGCTGAAAGTGAAAAATAGCAAACGAATCTTTAAAAACATAACCAGAGGTTTGTCTGGTGTGCTTTGTTCACTGTTGAGCCCATTCCTACGGTTTTTTATTTTAATCCTCAGTAAAATCACTGGGTGCTCTGTAGCAGTGGTGCTCACCATCCATCTGCCCAGCACTCTCTCGATGTGATCAGGTAACTCCGACCCCTCGTGTGGACATCTGCATTTAACTCTGGGTCTTCCAGGAACAGAAGCATTCTTACCCAATTCTGCATGATAACCTTGCTTCATCTAAACCCACAACTCTCTTTCTCTGTCACTTATGGTCAGGAATCCTTGAAACATTTTATTTTTGCCTAATCCTTTATCCAATGTAAACATATTTTTAAGCTGACCTATTTTTTTCTGTGCCTAGAACAAGGAAAAAAAATAGTCACACGAGTCTCCCATAGGTTTATGAATATTATTTACATTCTTGGGTCCGCTCAGTCACAATTTCCAAATAACCACATGTCCCTGCAAGTTGTAAGAGCAAGGGACTATAAACCACTTCCATTGCATTCAAGGCCTGCTTGGATCCAAGAGGCACAAATGGAGTCTTAATGGTTAAAAGACTTGAGATGTCCTGTCAAGAAAGAAATACATGGCACTCTCATTTCAGACGTTCAGAGCAGTCATGCACAGTCGGCAGCTTCACTTCCATTTTCCCAGCCATGGCTTTCACTACCTGCTAATGAGATGATCCCTTATTTTGAAAACAACTATTCCTAGGATGACAAGAGCTGGAATAAATGAATACAAAATCAGAAAGTTCATTGTGAATCTAGATGTTGCACCTGGGCAGGTTTTCTCAATGAATTGAATTCCTTGAGTGAAGGCACACATTGGATTAGTTGTCACAGAAACATTTGAGCTGCCTGTCAAGGAAAAGATTGACAGTGTCAGGTGTGGTTTATCTCAGGTAATTTAATCAACAAGTATTTACCAAGCGCTTGCTAAGTACCCTTAATGAAAAATACAGGACACTTTAGCAAGCCCAGAGTTTACAATTTGATGAAGCAAGAGTGAGCAGTTCTGGCCTTTGGCTTCATTTGAAGATGGACATGCTTTTGTTTCTATTTTGGGTATAGATTCATTACCATATTTGTGATAAAAATCATGATCCCTTAGCACAGACTATCCTAAAGTTACTGACATTATCACTTAAAATTATTTAAAACACTACTAAATTCAGCCATATTCTTTGGTTGTCTTTGGAGTGGCCCTGAGATTTTTTTGGTTGTTTTTTTTTTGTTTTTTTTGGGGTTTTTTTTTTCGTTTTTTTTTTTTTTTTTTTTTTTTTTGAGACACAGTTTCACTCTGCCGCCCAGGCTGGAGTGCAGTGGCTCGATCTGGGCTCACTGCAACCTCAGCCTCCCAGATTCAAGTGATTCTCATGCTTCAGCCTCCTGTGTAGCTGGGATTTACAGGCACGCACCACCACGCCTGGCTAATTTTTGTATTTTTAGTAGAGACAGGTTTTTGCCACGTCGGCCAGGCTGGTCTCGAACTCTTGACCTCAAGTGATCCAACCTCCGACTCCCAAAGTGCTGGGATTACAGGCGTGAGCCACTGTGCCCGGCCACCCTGAGATTTCTAATGGCCATGAGGTCCTTGTCTTGGTTCTACTTCCATCTGGTGGGATTGAGGAATAGACTTTTGCCAAAAGTAGCTTTATTTAGCTATGTACGATGTACATTTTGGGGAACAAGAAGCCACTTCAGCCTGCTTGAATGTGTTCAGTAGATACAGGAACTGAGTCTATCCAGAATATTCTGGAGTTTACCTCAGTGTACATAAGGTCTGTCATTTTCTAACAACATCCAAGTGTCCCTTACCTGTTGACCTTTGACAGGAGACTAACTTGACTACTGCTTATTTTCTTTCATCTTAAAAATCAGAGAAAATGTTGGACTGTATTTCAAAACAGAGTTTTAAATTGAATTATTATAAAACACAGTTTTTATTTCAAAAATACATTTCCTCCAAGAAATTGCTTCCTCAGAGTAACATGCAAAAATAATATCCCCAAATAGAATACTTACCACAAGTGAAATTCAGTCCGTAGAACTCATTGACTACAAGAATCTCACTGCAATATTTTTGGAATGTAAAATAACTGATGATTTTAAAAGGAATGGGCATTTCTTGTATGTTTCTTAAGAAAAAGAAAACAAAAATGAAATTCAGTAGGCTCTGGCAATAGTCCTACCAAATGAAAAGAAAGGCAATCCTTATATTTTCCAACAGGAATATAGTTTTCTATCTCCTTATTATAAAAATGATGCTCACTATAAAAAAACCTTCAAACAACATTGAACAATATAAAGAAATACCGTTGCCTAGAAATAACTATTGTTAACATTTTGGTAATATATATAACATGTGTGTTTAAAAGTTTTATATAAATGGAATTAAACTCTTCATGCTCTTTCCTAACTTACTCTTTTTCTGCCAAACATATGTCTCAGACATCCTTCCAAGTCAGTAAGCATAGCACTTTGTCATTTTTAGGCACAGCTTGGTGGCCTGTTATAGTGAAGACCTTAATTTAACAGTTCTCTCAAGTAGACGATTACTGTCTACTTATTTTGGTAAGCACTACTGATATAAACGTACAAGAAAATACAGACCTAACACATACCAATTGGAGGAGGAGATTTGTGATTAAACAGAAAGTTGAAGGTACCAACGTAGAAAGTTAGAACTAACCTAGAATACAAAGGAAAAAGGAAGGAGAGACCGAACCAACATTCATTGTGAAAATGAAATATGTCTCCTCTCCAATCTATTTCAGGTGAAACTGTGTGCTGACACTGTGGTCTTCTTAGTCCACTGTATATTTTCTGTCAATCAAAAGGTATAAAATTCTTTCTGTTTGCAAGGCACTAGTTCTAGGAGCTTGAGAACTTCAAAAGATGTATCCTATCCCTAAAGAACTCATAATGTAGTTGGAGATATAGAATATATCCTTAAAACTATAAAAATATACAGTAGTGAACTATTTGTGCCAAGAAAGTATAAAAAAATGTGTACCACACATCCATGATGTTCTTGTATTTAGTATTTATGGTTTCACCTATTTGCAAGGTGTCCTCAACCTTTCAGTTTCCTAAGGCACAACATTGAATTAACCACATTGAGAGGTTGCTAATTGAAAAGGATACGTGGGACTCTGGGAAGGAATTAGGGGAAGAGGATGGAAATTCTAGGAAGGCAGAAATGGTATGAGTACAGGTATGCCAAGGGCTGCATATGGGACTGACTGGACCAGAAACACTGGAAGAGAGGATGTGAAGGAACAGTGGGAGGGGAGCTCGGAACAATAGCCAGCAACAGCCATTTCAGGGCCTTGCTGTGAGTTGAGGTTGAATGACCATGAATGAGACAGGTCACGTTGAAATCAGCATTCTGAGAAAATTAACGTGACTCCAGCAAGAAGGATGGCTAGAATGAGGGCAGAGTAAGAACAGGAAAAGAAAAAAAAAAAAAAAAAGGACCAGACTACAAAAAAAGTTCAACTATGAGATGACAAAGGCCTGGAGTAGGATGATGGCCATGAGATGGTGGCTGCCTAGTGGCTAGGGTGCTATCTTTCTGAGGTAGGAACTGTGAACCTTTGTTTCTCCCTGTACCACACAGAGTCAAACACAAAATGTTCCACATGCACCTATGGTTTGATATCAGAAAAGAAAACCAACATGATTTGGTGAGTGATGCAGTGTGTATACAGTTCAAAGACAGAGTCATTTACTTATTCACTCAACAAATAATGTTTGCAGGCCTAATTGGTCCAAGGCCTAATTGGGCTGGCTGCTGAGAGGGTCTAAAATGATGAATGAGACACAGCTGCTGCCTTCAAGGGGTGGATAATCTATTACAGCAAAGGAAGACCGTGACAGGAAGTAGTGTGTGATAGGCTGAGAGAGAAAACAAAAGGGGCCTTCAAAGAGAGTGCGCCTCTAGCCTTGGGAACAACCAACAGACTTTGTGCAGGTGGCGGAGAGAGAGAAATGGATCAGTGAAAGGCACAGACAGAAGGAGAAGCAGCGGGAGGAACCATAGATCTGGATGTATTGACATGACATTGTCCACATTAGGTTGGTTTGTGCTTTGTCTTTTTTATTTTTTGAACGGAGTCTTGTTCTGTCACCTAGGCTGGAGTGCAGTGGCATGATTTTGGCTCACTGCAGCCTCCGCCTCCCAGGTTCAGGTGATTCTCCTGCCTCAGCCTCCTGAGTAGCTGAAATTACAGGCACGTGACACCACACCCACCTAATTCATATTATGTTGTTAAATGGGAAAAAAAGTATGCATATTTTATATCTTATACAACAGGATGATTTCATCTTTGTTAAAAATTATATAAAATTCTAGCAAGAACTACAACAAAATTTAACTCTAGGCTCTGATACTTCAGGTAACTTTTACTTTCTTCCACATCCACATTTATATTGTGAGCACTTCTTCCCCCAAGAACTTGCATGATTTTGTAAGCAGAAAACACAGCAAAGCTAATTTCCTTTGTGTTTAAAAGAGAAGGGAGCCAACAGCACAAATGCCTTAGGCAGTTCACCCAGAAAGATGATGACTGGGGAGAAAAATGGGTAAATGGAATGACTAGCAGGTTGATGTGGCCTTTAAGAGTGGAGTTTTAATTTTCAGCGATGGAAGTGGAATTCATATGAAGCCTTGGGTTGTTAAGATTTTGCAACTAATCTGAGAACATTTAGTATTCTTTGCAACTGCCTACCTTTTAAGAGCAATTAACCACCAGGTATAGTGGCTCACGCCTGTAATCCCAGCACCTTGGGAGGCCGAGGCAGGGAAATCACTTGAAGTCAGGAGTTTGAGACCAGCCTGACCAACTTGGTGAAACCTCATCTCTACCAAAAATACAAAAATTAGCTGGGCGTGGTGGTGCGCACCTGTAATCCCAGCTATTCAGGAGGCTAAGGCAGGAGAATTGCTTGAACCTGAGAGACGGAGGTTGCAGTGAGCCGAGATCGTGCCATTGCATTCCAGCCTGGGTGACAGAGTGAGTGAGACTCTGCGTCAAGAAACAAACAAAAATAAAAATAAAGAGCAACTAACCTCCTTTTCCTAAAACCCTAATACAAATGCTTCTTATGATGGGGTTACTTCCAGATAAACCCATCATAAGTTGAAAATATTCTAAGTTAAAAATGCATTTAAGGCCAGACGCGGTGGCTCACGTCTATAATCCCAGCACTTTGGGAGGCCAAGGCAGGCAGATCACCTGAGGTCAGGAGTTTGAGACCAACCTGGCCAAAATGGTGAAACCACGTCTCTACTAAAAATACAAAAATTAGCCAGGTGTAATGGCAGGCACCTGTAATCCCAGCTACTCGGGAGGCTGAGGCAGGAAAATCGCTTGAACATGGGAGGCGGAGGTTACAGTGAGCCGAGATCGCGCCACTGCATTCCAGCCTGGGTGACAGAGCGCGATTCCCTCTCAAAACAAACAAACAAACAAAAAAACACATGTAAGACACCTAGCCCACCAAACATTACAGCTTAGCCTGGTCTACCTTAAATGTGCTCAGAAAGCTTAACGTTAACCTACAGTTGGGAAAAATCATCTAACACAAAGCCTATTTTATAATAAATTGTTGAATATTTAATGTAATTTGTTGAATATTTAATGTAATTTATTGAATCCTGTTCTGAAAGTAAAAAACAGGATGATTGTATGGCTACTCAAAATACAGTTTCTAGGTTGGCTGCGGTGGCTCACACCTGTAATCCTAGCACTTTGGGAGGCCGAGGTGGGCGAATCACTTGAGGTCGAGACTAGCCTGGCCAACATGGCGAAACCCCATCTCTACTAAAAATACAAAAATTAGCCGAGCATGGTGGCGCACACCTGTAATCCCAGCTATTCAGGAGACTGAGGCACAAGAATCACTTGAACCCAGGAGGCAGAGGTTGCAGTGAGCTGAGATCGCGCCATTGCACTTCAGCCTGGGCGGCAGAGTGAAACTGTGTTTCAAAAAAACAAAAACAAAAACAAAATACGGTTTCTACAGAACGAGTATCACTTTCTCAAAAAATCATAAGTCGGGGATCATCTGTACATGAAATGGCACCAGATTAACTGAAACAATGATTCAAATAATATAAAAGAGGAAATGCTGCCCAAGGTTGGCTCTGTACATTGCTGGCTTGATTCTGTACTCTTGGTGTGATTTGATTTCTGCATTTTTCATAAATATTAACAATCCACTTAAGCAACACGGACAAATACAATATCATGGTCTTCGTGTGAAAAAATATCCTCCTTGATTTATCAAAGCCTAATTCACTTTGCTTTATAATATCTCACTTCGTATAACTCACTGCAATTTATAATGTGTTTTCATATTGATTATTTCCGTTCCTTCTCATGATCCCTTGAGGCAGGTGGGGCTGAAATAGTGATCTCTTTTTTATAAATGAGGAAACTAATTTAGATAGAAAAGAGACTGGCAAGTGGTAGAGGAAGTTTCTGACTCATAGGTCAGCCTCTCTCCACGAAGTCACGTGCGTCACAGCCTTCATAGTGGTGTGACTTGAGCAAAGTCAAGTCTGAGCTTCATTTTCTTATCTGAAAATGGATTGCTCTGAGAGTTAAATAATTAAACACACACATATACTTTTATATAGTAGATGCTCAGTAATGCTTTTGCTTTTTGACTTGATTTTTACATTTTTAAGTCAAAGAAACAGCCTTCATGTTTCCTTGGGGACCCAGAGATTACTTACTAGATCCCACTCACACCACCTGCCTGGGATCATTTTTAGCCTTTTAAAATTTTCTGCCCTTTTTGCTGCTGCTTTTTAAAAATGTGTGTGGATACATTTTTTCCTGGTTATAAAATGATACTTGTCCATTACAGAACATTGATAAAATACAGAAATATGAAGAAAAAAATTAAAATCAATATCACTATTGATATTGATTTTAGAGATAGAGATAATTACTGCTATCATTTGGTGCATATCCTTTAAGCCTTGATACTCTTTGGAGCAGTCTTTTATCCTGCAGGCTTTTTTTTTTTTGTCTGACTAGTCTTAATTCCTAAGAATAACTGGGAATTGAGAACTGCAGTTCACACTCAACAGTACCAGGTCAGAAATGAACTAATGCATGCAATTTATTTAGCCTATCATGTGGGCTGTGAGTTTTTCCTGGAACATCCGGGCTGGTTTTCTTCTCTTGGTATAATGGTTTATTACATGTGAATCATATCATAACATAAACTTGTTAGTTCCTGATTCCCGATAAAAAAGACATTTTATTGAACAAATGAACAGTTCAAGGTCTAAGGCAATGATTAACGAGCAGTATAAATGCTCTAGACTATAAGGTAATATCCATAACCACTATCAGTTCTCTGGTATTCCTTTACTTCAGTCATTATTAGGTGATCATTAATAACAGATTATCCCAATCTAAATTTTTTGAATTATGATATCTTACCTGAGGAATCCAGATCCAACAAGCACCCCCGCAATGGACAGCAGAGCCACTACACTGTTGACTATATTTGGATTTTGGACGATACCAAGTAGCACAAGAGTTAGAAATTCACCAATTAAGTGGGGGGCCAAGAGAGCAGCAGAAAAATATCCAAATCGGGCAACCTCAGGATGTAAGCCCAGCGTCCTAGAAAAGCATAAGCTCTTTAGTTTCCTCTCCAAGGGCTATCATTTAAGAAAAATACTGCACTTGCCTCTGTGAATAAATCCTTTGTGGTGAGTGGGTGGGAGAAGTTTGCAGGGCAAGCCACACTCCCCTTTGAAAGGCCGTTTTGGAAAGGAGTCAACATGAGACTATTTATTATATCAAATTGTTCCCATTGGCTGCAACTCATTGGGAGCCACCTTTTCCCTTTCACGGCTCCTTCAGCTCTCATAGGAAAACATTAAATTACTTAGACAATGGTCACAACTAACCGCAGTAAGCAGGCTTGTTGAACTCTACAGGCATCTTCATAAATAACCATGTTCTGCCTAGCCAACACCACACCTACCTAATGTTAAAGGGCTCACCCAACCCGCTTCCCAGCACCCCCTTCCCTGAACCTCATCTCTGTTATATGGGATTATTGCCTACGTGAAAATCCCTCACTTCTTTTGTCCTCGATCAGGTTAGCCCTCCCCAGCCCTACTCCATTCCATTCTTGTCTTTTATTCTACCAACCCCTTCCACTGATTTGACCTTCGTTTTCTTTTTTGAGACGGAGTTGCACTCTGTTGATCAGACTGGAGTGCAGTGGCGTGATCTTGGCTCATTGCAACCTCTGCTTCCCAGGTTCCAGTGATTCTCCTGCCTCAGCCTCCCAAGTAGCTGGGATTACAGGTGCGCACCACCACACCCAGCTAATTTTTTTGTATTTAGTAGAGATGGGGTTTTGCCATATTGGCCAGGCTGGTCTTGAACTCCTGGCCTCAAGTGATCTGCCCATCTCAGCCTCCCAAAGTGCTAGGATTACAGGCATGAGCTACCATGCCTGGCCTGACCTTCATTTTCTTGTAAACAAACCACCCTATATCCATGCACCTTTCCTCTTATATTCCTTTCTCCAAATTACATTTCCCTGGTGATAGCGTATCTTCAATGACCATTAGGCATGGCTGCTCTTTATCCCATTTGTAGAGTAAGCAAAAAATGTTGGCATGTCTTATACTCGCCCCTCCTTACCACTTACTCTTCAAGGCCATCTACTTTTCCTCTGTACAAATCATGAAGTTTGCTTATGCTATCAATGCCGTTCCTCATTGTTGTCTTCTGTGATGTTTAAAACATCCTCTTGCCTTTGATGATTTTATAGCATCTGGACCAGAGTCATTCTTTTTGCTCCTCTCCCCTATCATTTTCCTCAAGCTCTTTAACCTTCTTGATGAGCCATCCACATCAGTGGTTCCTAATTAGCGAATCTCAATTCCAATGGCTCCAGCTACCTAATCTGCATCACTCACCATGTCTTGGACTTAAATATTACTCAAAATGGTTTCGCTCCCAGGATTTCAGAGTCTGAGGACACCCTCTCTGAGCACAGCCTCCTGCCTCTCACTTCCCCAGTGCCCTCACTGCCGCAGATGCTGGACCCCTTCTGCCATTCTTTGCCTTATCAGTTCCCACATCTGGGGACCCTATTCTCCCTTAAGCAATGGAAGGTGTGCTGGACAATGCCTATTGCCGCACTAACTGGATCCCCTCTGCCACTTTGCCTCAGCTGGCCCCTGGACCCCTAAGATTTCCTTGTTGTGTCTTGAATTCTAATAGCATGTCCCATGATGACTGATATAAACCTCTACTTTAAAATTTCCCCCTTCCCAATTTCAATCTCTCTCCCCAGTGCTCAGCAGCTGAATTCACCTCCCATTTTATGAATTTCTTGATATCTTCATCATCTCTATTTTTCATTCTCTCTCTCTCCCCCTCTCTTCCCGCACCCCATCTTTGAAAGTGTGACCCTAGCTGCTTGCATCCTTGATCCCATGTTATTCTGATTCCCCTATCCCTACCTTGGTCTACTCTGGGAACTTCCTCTTTGACTTATCCAAATTTTGGCTGCATTTTCATCTACTCTCAATCTGATGTTTTTTGATGGTCTTATTTACCACATCCTAAAATAACCATTTTTTGAACTTGATCATCATTTAAGTAACTGCCCCTCTTCATCCTACCCTGTAACACCAAGTTTCTCAAAACAGAATCTGCTTCCTCCATCTTACACCTTCCCTTCTTGTAAACCTGACTTGCACCCCCATGACTCTACCGAAGCTCTTTTTTGGGAAATTGCAATGGCCTTCTCCCTTTATGCTTCACCTCCTTTAACCCCTGCAATATTGAAGTGTTTATGACACTTCCTTGAAACTCTCTCCTTCCTCATCCTCTCTGATGCTGCCCAATCCTGCTTCTCTTTCTACCTCCCTGATCACCCTCTGCCTCCTCTGTTGGTTGCTGTCCTCTTCCCACCCTCTGAATGTGTCTGTTTTAAGGTTTTACATTCAGGCTGCTTTCTCCCCTCCCCCAGGCCCCCCCCCATGCACCTGGGTCCTAGCTACTTCAGAGTCCTCTCTTCTCTGGCCCAGGCCCTGCCGTGAATGTGGGACAGGTCATTCCCAGGCACATGTCATCTTGTTGGTTTGTTCTCAGGTCTCCTGCAACCCACAGTTGGGCTATTTACAATAAAATTAATGTCCTGGAAGATACGACATTGCACTAGACACTGATGGGCAAAGTGTAGATCCTCCAGAGCAGAGAACTTCACCCTGGAGCTCTCCCTGCACGAGTCCCACTAGCTCCATGACTCCATGGGAGCCCGGCCCTGGGTGAACTGAACAACCCCTCACCAGTAGCACACACTGCTGAAAATCATGGTGGCAACAACGCTGAAGGGGAGGACGTGCAGTGCATAGGCCAGCATCATCTGCCACTTCTGGTAGAGGCCGTCCTGACTCTCCTGGTCGCTGACAGCTCGCAGCACGGGAACTGGGGATGGAAGGCAGGTTTCAGAACAGTCAGTCACCACCCAGCTGAAAAAGGGAGGGCTAGCCCAAGCTGAATGTGAGGTCTGTCAGGGCTGGATGGTGAGGACCAGCTAGGGGGGTTCCCTAGTCATAGAAGGAGGGGACCTGCCATCCACAGGACAATAAATCCCCACCCCGGAAATCTACACTCTACCAGAATTGCAATACAATTGCAAAAGATGTCATTTATTTCCTTCTCTCTAAAGTGGGGAGTTGTCACCAATTCACGAAAAGTACATGCAAAAGGGGCATGAATAAGTGATTTGAAGCACTTTGTCTTCTTTCTGTGCAGGATTCCCCCCACCCCACCCCGCCCCCACCACCAGCAGCCTGCATTTTAGACTTGCTCTCGGAAGGCCAGGCAAACCCCACAGATGCAGACACTTAGCATTGCCCCTCATGTCAAGCTCTAGAGCAACTTCACAATAGCGAAGTCCTTCCCTCTTATTCCCTAACAGTGTTGCCTTTGGGGAATCCCTCTAACACCTGCTTCCTGCAACGTTAGGCAACCAGGTTTTGTCTCTGGAATTCCACTGAATTTGAAAATTAGGTGCTGGCTGTCCTAAAATCAGCTCCAAAGAGAAGCTAACGGTACAAAGTTGGCCTGGTCGCTGAGCACCCCATGGGCTGTGCATCTGAGATGGCCAAGATGAGATAGGAGGAATGATCTTTTGAAAAACTCCTCAAACTCTCCCCACCAGTACATTGTCACTTCATGTTTCCCTGGATCCTTAGCCCTCAGAGAGATCCACCTGGTGAGCTCATTCATATTAACGTGTTGGTAACTCAATAGTTGCCTTTCCCCAGAGAGGGAACCTGGAGAGGGCTGGGTTTAGCTCAGAGAAAAACCCTTATAATGGTAGACTTTTGTAAGGTTACAGCTGGAGAAGGGAGGTATTTAGGGAGAAAGAGGTGCACCTCCAGCACGTGGGCACTTACACAGATTCACAGCGTTCAGCATGCCTGTGTACGGGGTGGCGCCCACAAACTGGTAAAGGAGACCTACGCGGTCCTGGATAGCACCCTTTAGCACATTGCTTCGGACCCGCAGAACGAAGAAAAGGAGGAACAAACCCATGATCAGATTCTGAAGGAGACGCGTAATCACTGCCAGCTTATTTCTCACCAAGTTTCTTGTCACTCTCCTGAAAACAAACAACCCTGTTTTAATTCCTTTTCAGAATTGTTATTGGGGGATGGCTAAAGACCTCTAACAGGCATTTCTCACATTTGTGAGCCTCTTACCTCAGGAGAACACCCAGTTTAGAGAAAACTCCAGGAGAATCTTTGGTTTTGAAAGGAACCATTGGTAACGTTTTCAGGTGTTTCATTCTTTCAATATTCTTCAAAGTTTTATGACAAATTGCTGATTTCTTGTAGGCAGATTCTATCATCTGGACTCTCTTGGAGGTTTCTATTTCCCGTTCCTTGCTTTGGGTATCCACTGACGTCAGGTCCACTAAAAGTTTTTCCCAAAAGATGTCACCCATGTGTTTTTAAATGCATGTATGTACATGGATATACAATTGGTACAGGAGTACTGGCCATAATACCTCATCCCATCAAGATAAAATTTGTGGTTAATGCCCACCTATAAAATCAGAATACTTTAAAGCATCCCAGCAGGGCCTTGAGGATCCCATTGGGATTGTCTGGGAGAATTCAGAAGCTCAGCTAATTATGCTCTGATAAAGTAGTAGCAGTGCGCCAGTTTGTTTGAGAGAGATCCCTGACCTCATTCTGATAGTCATCTCTGGCAAGTTCATTGACCCGGCCAAATTGATTCCTTGAAGAGTATAAAACACAAAAACAAAAGCAAAAATCAAATCCACTAGACTGGTGTCATCCAGGCAGAAGTCTGAGATGAGAAAGTTTAAAAAACATTCATGATGGGGAATGTGAAAGAAAAACTTACTATAGAAGTCAAAAGGGTTTGAATGTTCAGGACAAGGGTAACCGCAGTCATTGAAGAAATCAAGCATTTCCGCTGGCGTGCCACAGAAAATCAGCTCTCCGAAGCTCAGGATGGCAATTTTGTCAAAGAGCTGACCAGACAACAGACGTAGTTAGTGTGTGATCACAAGGGTAGCGATGCACTTTGAATGTCTCTGGGAACACTGATGCAGGGCCAAGGTCAGGTATTCCTTATGGTCACCAAGTCCTTATGGGAAATGCATTTCCCATAAGCAGTCAGTCCTTCGATGACCTTGGCCCTGCATCAGTATTCTTGGAGACATTCGAAATGCATCCCTACCCTTGTGAGCCTAGGCTACCACTGTGGGTCATGCTGCCTCCCATCCTGACGCCCAGCTTCATATCTGGGATAGACAAGCATGACTGGACCTGGGCGTAAGTCCCAGCCAAGCCAAGTGAGTGACCTCGGGCGAGCAGGGGTGGGTCTTAGTTTGTTTTTTTGTTTTCATTTTAAATCTCAGCTCCTCCTCTGTAAAAAGCAAATAATAGCTAACTAAAGGGATACTGGGCGGAGAAAGTGAGTTTTTTTGGAAGGAAATCAGTATGATTTCGTGGAAAAACACAGCCTTTGAAGCCAACTTGGCTGTGAAAGGCTAATGCTAGCTTTTTACTATTAACAACTGTGTGATCTTGGCTTAATTTGTTGTTGTTTTGTTGTTATTGTTGTTGTTGTTGTTGTTTCTGAGACCGAATCTCACTCTGTCACCCAGGCTGGAGTGCAGTGGCACAATCCCAGCTCTCTGCAACCTCCTGGGTTCAAGCGATTCTCCTGCCTCAGCTTCCCGAATAGCTGGGATTACAGGCGCACACCACCACGCCCAACTATCAATTTTGAATCATTGCTAAGTTTCACTCTTTTCCTCTGTAAGGTGAATACACTGAAACACACCTCATAGGAGTGTTGTGCAGATGAAATGAGCTATGTACAGAAAGTATTTGGAACATGGTAGGTGCTGAAAGAAGTGAGTTTTCATCCTTTGCTCTTCCCCTCTCAGGAGCTGTTGGCTCCAATTCTCTAGCACTAACGGTTTTTTGTTTGTTTGTTTGAGATGAGGTCTTCCTCTGTCACCCAGGCTAGAGTGCAATGGCATGATCACGACTCCCTGCAGCCTTGACCTACTGGGCTCAAGCGATCCTCTCACCTCAGCCTTCCAAGTAGCTGGGACCACAGATATGCACCACCATGCCTGGCTAATTTTTCTTTTTCTTTCTTTCTTTCTTTTTTTTTTTTTTAGAGATGGGGAGTCTCACTTTATTGCTCAGGATGGACTCAAACTCCTGGCCTCAAGTGCTCCTCCTGCCTCAGCCTCCCAAAGTGCTGGAATTACAAGTGTGAGCCACTGTGCCTGGCCACTGGTACAAATCTTGCCCCTGCCCCTGTGATTCCCAGCTCAACACACCATAGACCCGGCCTTTACGAGTTGAACCTCTTACCTGAAAAAGCTCAGAACGGGGCTGGTGAATGGTGAGAACCACAATTCGGTTCCTGCGAGCCAGTTCCACCAGGAGGACGACAATCTGATTAGCAGTCATGCAGTCCAGGCCTGTGGTTGGCTCATCAAACAGCATGACCTCTGCCAGCAAAGAAGGGCCAGACTTCTAAGGTAGTGCAGAGCCCAGGCTCTGTGCTTAAAACTCAGAGTTCTGAACTGTTCCTTATTGAGTTTGTACCCCATTCAAACAGTGTGCGGTGGGAAGTAAACATGTAAACTGGCTTTCAGCCTGAGCTCAGGAGAAAGGACCTGATGTGGAAGGGCCTAGTTCCCAG